>NC_000021.9:31785076-32095030 GCF_000001405.40 Homo sapiens | reverse complement strand
CACACGTCACTTCCATAGCATCCCATTTGCTGGAATTTAGTCACATGACCATGGTTAGGCACTGGGGAAACTGGGAAATGTAGTCTGAGTGGTTCTATAACTACTAGGAAGAAGGAAGCATGAGAGAGAGAGGTCCTCATGGGAGAACCATAGTCAGCAAACAGTAAATGATCTATGTTCCTACAAATTGATAAAACAAAAATTGTGTCTTATAAAGTCTCTAAATAGGGTGCTATAACTAATAACTGCCTTCGTGAGTGTTTTTCCATGCTAAAAGAGTTCATGCATGGTCTTCAGCCCTGGGGCCTCTCTGTGGCACCTCTGAAGGCTTCATAACCATTTACTTGCACAGCAGAGTGAGATGGGAGATGCCCTTTGTGAATCTGCCAATAGGCCATGTGCTGACTGGTCCCAAAGTCTTCCACGGAGAGCAGCCAAAGCCTTCAGAGGTCCTGAGCTGCACCATGACCCAGGGAAGAATTGAGGAGAAGAGGGAGTCCAAGATTGGCTTCCTCCACTACTGCATCATCTGGGCCCCTGGGATGGCCAAATCTAAAATGCCTCTTATCGAAACCAAGCCTTCTACTTCTTCTTGTACCTCTCTCTACATCAAAGAATCAGGCCCCACTCCCTCCTCCGCCTTTCCATCCCTCTTCCTACAGCTATCTCCATGGACAGCAAAAGAAAGTCCCATGCAACTGACAAGATAATCCCTTTAAGTGTTAGTTTGTGTTCGTGCTGCTTCTGTCTCCTCTTACCCTCATTTCAGGCAGGTGGCCAGGCTTGGCAATTTCTCACTGGAGAAGCAAGCTGAGGCCCAGAGAGGGCCCCTTGCTCCAGAGTGAGTGACATCCCTCGGGTCACAGATCAGACAGACCTCACTCAGGTGGTTGACCACCATTCTCTAGCCTCTCCCAGAGCCTGCCCAATGGTGGGTTAGAGTCCCCACTAGAGTCCTTACAGGCACTCAGGTTTCCACAGAAACTGCAGCATTGTCCTTGGCTGTCCAGGCAGATGCCTCACAATGTCAAAAAAGCAGGCTGGCTATCAGCGGGTGGTGAGTGTCCTGTGACAGCAGGGAGGGAGCGCCCAGGCATCGCCTGCAGGTCTGGGATGGCAGCTGAGGACCAGGGCAGTATCCCTGCAAGTTAAGCTGCTGCTAAAAATGGCAGCAGAGGCAAGGCTCATAAAGCAGAAGGGCATTCAGATTGAGGAGGCTGGCCTCCTCCCTTCTCTAGGGCCCATGGAGCCACTTGCAAGCAGTCAGCTGGCTGATGCCATCCTGGGCAGCCTGACATTCCTCATCTGTGCACCTCACTGGCAGACTTCTAAGGAGATGGACAGATGAAGGGGAAGAGGACATGGGGGCAGGAGTAATGGAAAGAAGGAAGAGAGGGGACAGGAGAGAGGGAGGGAAAGAAGAAAGGGAAAGGATAAGAGGAAGGGGTAAGGGAAGGAAGGAAGGGAGGGAGGGAAGGAAGGAAGAGGGGAAGGAAGGAAGGGAGGGAGCAGAGGAAGGGAGGAAGGGAAAAAAGGGAGGGAGAGGAGGAAGGGTAGGAGAGAGGGAGGGATTGTCTCCTTAGCCCAGTTTAGGGGGCTCAGGCATTTCCAATTCATACTCCTCATCATCCCAAGTGTTCTGGGTTAAATTGTGCCTCCCTCTGACATGGTTTGGCTCTGTCCCCACCCAAATCTCATCTTGAATTCCCACATGTTGTGGGAGGGACCTGGTGGGAGGTAATTGAATCATGGGGCAGATCTTTCCCGTGCTGTTCTCATGATAGTGAATAAGTCTCATGAAATCTGATGGCTTTATAAGGGGTAGTTTCCGTGCACAAGTTCTCTCTCTTTGCCTGCTGCCATCCATGTAAGACATTGCTTGCTCCTCCTTGCCTCCCGCCATGATGGTGAGGCTTCCCCACCCACATGGAACTGTAAGTCCATTAAACCTCTTTCTTTTGTAAATTGTCCAGTCTCAAGTACGTCTTTATCAGCGGCGTGAAAACAGGCTACTACATCCTGCCTGCCAAAAAATGGTATTTGAAGCCCTAACCCTCAATATCTTAGAATGTGACCTTATTTGGAAATTGGGTCACTGCAAATGCAATTAGTTAAGGTGAGATCATCCTGGAGCAGAGTGGGCTCCTCATCCAATATGACTGTTTTTCTTTTTAAAAGACACAGAGGTGCAGGGAGAAAGCCACGTAAGCATGGAGACAGAGATTAGGGTGAGGCTGCTGCAAGCCAATGTCTGGAGCTACCAAAAGCTGGAAGAGGCAGGGAAGGACCCTTCCCCTACAGGTTTCAGAGAGTCCATGGCCCTCCTGACAACTTGATTTTGGCCTTCTGGCCTCCAGAACCAGGAGGCAGTAGACTTCTGTTGGTCTAAGCCCCCCAGGTTGTGGTACCTTTGCCATGGCAGCCCTAGGGAACCTGGATACCAGGTATTCTGACTATCTTCAATCTTACAGTTTTCTTGGAATGAGAGCTGGGGACTTTGAAGAAGCTGACCCCATCATGGAGCTGGGAGATCCTGGTCAGTCATCACCTCCCCTCTTGGGGGTTTGTAGCCACAAGAATGGTGCTCAGTGAAGACCCCACTTGTAGGGAGGTGACAGAAGAGTGTGAGCCCTGAGCAAGGGCATGGGCAGTTGATGGACCATTCGCATCCCATGCAGCTGGAGCAGTCAGCTGACCATGACCCTTGCTGCAGAGTGGCTAGTGGACACTAGGACAGTGCCCTGCAGCTTTGGAGTGGCCATGTGTTTGGAATCTCTTCAACTCCCTTCCTTCTGGCTTCTTCCACTTCTACCTCTCTACACAAAAGCTCTCATCTCCTCTCCCACAGTTGATTTTGCAGCCAATTCCAGAGTCCTTGGTTGTCTATTAGAATCGGAGAATAAATCAAAGACCACAGGAATTACCAAAAAAAAAAAAAAAAAAAGATAGGGGCTCACATTCCCACAGTCTTCCCTGGAGGGGAAGGAGGCTCTTCTTCCAAAATGCACTTGCTCCTTGCAAGAGATGGGGTGCTTATATTCTCGCCTGGGAAAGAGTTTCCTCCCCCCTCCTCCCACCAAGAGCCAAATGACACCAAAAACAAAGATCAGTTTGGAAGGAGAGGAGAGGGTGGGGCAGGCAGTCTGCCTCTCTCAAGTCAACCATAAAAATTATGTCTTCCTTCTTCTTGTGGTCAGGAAAATAATCTCAGGTTGAAAATTTTTAGACGTTCATCTGGATGGAAACTCTGACTTCAAGGCTACTCAGTGGCCTTCACATTAATAGGCCTCTGCTTCTAAAATAGGTTGGAAATCCCTCCACATTAGTGAAGTGGGGGTGCAGGTGGAGGTGCAGCAGCAGCGCTCATGGAGCAGGAGCTCTGAGCTTTCCAGATGCTAGGGCAAGGCATGGGAGTCCCATTCTGTCCATCAGAAATGTTGTTTGAGTGCCAATCACCATAAAAACTGTCAACCAAGGATGAAGCCCATGCACTCTATGAAAAATACTGTCTATAAAAACTGACTTGAGTCCTTCTCTCAAAATACCATTTCCTGAGCCCCTCCACAGATCAATCGAGTCTCAATTTCTTGGCCAATAGGGTGCAGGGATCTGAGTTTTCTCAAAAGCTTTCCAGGTGACTCTGATATACTGTGAGCATGAAATTCACTGGTCTAAGGTCTGTTTACAGAAAGTTAAAGAGAGGAAGAACTCTTACTTACCAAGGTGATTTTTTCTAGAGCAGGAATACAGAGCAACACTTCCCAGAAGGAAAAGACATTCACCCATTGGCCTCCTGGAAAACTTTGTTTCCCTTTTTCTTCCTTGTAGCTTATGAGTCAAGAAGTTTCCCCCGATTAGTCAGGGTTGCGGGATTGATAAGAACAGTCCCATCAGTTTGAACCATGGCCCTTACAAGGGTGAAAAGAAGCTGGTATGGAGTCAATTGCTTCTTGACATGTGCAATAAATCTGACTGAGGAAGCAGCTCAGTTTCCAAACTGAAGAACTCCAAACCAGGGCTATTGGTCTCGCAGAACTCCTGAATGTTCAGATGATCACAAACCTCATTGATCTTGTCCAAGATAGCCTATCTTGCTAGGAACAAGACTGCAATTAAAACGTGAGACTCATAAGAGAGGAGTACAAATCCTACTCTCTTATGGAGACGGCAAAAAGAAATAAAAGCATTGAGGCCGGATGCAGTGGCTCATGCCTATAATCAGCACTTTGGGAGGCTGAGGCAGGCGGATCATGAGGTCAAGAGATCAAGACCATCCTGGCCAACATCTTGAAACGCCATCTTTACTAAAAATACAAAAATAAGCTGGGCATGGTGGCGCGTGCCTGTAGTCCCAGCTACTCGGGAGGCTGAGGCAGGAGAATTGCTTGAACCTAGGAGGTGGAGGTTACAGTGACCCAAGATCGTGCCACTGCACTCCAGCCTGGTGACAGAGGGAGACTCTGTCGACAAAAAAAAAAAAAAAAAAAAAAAGCGTTGAAAAATCAAAGAGCAAGTATGATGCAGATTGGAGAGAGAAGTGCATCTATATGCTCAAGTTCCTGGGATGCCCCTCCCTGGTGAGCTAGCTGCCCCTGCCAACTTCACCCAGAGTTATTCATAATGACAATGGCTGCCACTATGGAGGCCCACCATGTGCCAGGGACTAAGGTGCAGACTTTTGTAAATACCATCTCGACTTTTTGTAATAGCACTACCATTTTCCCCATCCTATAGAAGGAAACAAAGAAACAGCAACAAGAAAAAACTCACAGGTCCAGAGAGGTAAACTAATACGCTCGAGGCCATTTAGCCAGTGGCATGCTGGTGTACAAATCCCGATCTTTCTAAGTCCCAGGACAGCTATTCTTGCCACAAAGTCTCCCACCATGTCTTACACTTAGGGAGCCATCCAGGTCAGAACCTGCATGAGAGATTCCATCTCCTTTACTACTCTGAAGAATTTTATTGCTACACGTTGGACTTCTGTAACAAAATTTTTCCATAATACAATGGCTTAAATGAGATAAAGGTTTCTTCCCTTTGAAAAAGTCCTGGCAGGAGGCCCAGGGTCGCAGGTGAACTCTGTGTGGACCCAGGCTCTTATCATCTTGTTGCCTTACCATCTGTACAGGCTTCTTCTTGAACAAATGATCAAAGGTGACTCTCCACCACCTCCACATCCCAGCCCAGGAGAGAGGGAAGAGGAAGGAATGCAGTGTATGCCCCTTTCCTTTTATAGGAACACCCTAGAAATTGCACACACTGTTTTCCTCACATCCCAGTGGGCTTGAACCTGGCCATACAATTAGTCATATTTAGCCCCAAGAGAGGCTGGATAACTTAGTTTTTGACTGGATTGATCAAGCTGAAACTTTTATTACTATAGAAGGGAGTGAAAGATATTGTGGGAGGCAATAGCAGTCCCCACCACTATAATAAATGGAAAAGATTTCTTTTCTTTTTTTTTTGAGACGGAATCTTACTCTGTCGCCCAGGCTGGAGTGCAGTGGCACAGTCACGGCTCACTGCAACCTCCATCTCCCGGGTTCAAGTGATTCTCCTGCCTCAGCCTCCTGAGTAGCTGGGACTACAGGTGCATGCCACCACACCCGGCTAATTTTTGTATTTTTAGTAGAGGTGGGGTTTCACCATATTGGCCAGGCTGGTCTGGATCTCCTGACCTCATGATCCACCTGCCTTGGCCTCCCGAAGTGCTGGGATTACAGGCGTGAGCCACCGCACCTAGCCTTTAAAGATTTCTTAACTAGAGCACATACAGAAAAAATGGAAGCTTGTCCTGAAAGTGGGAATCACCAGCTGACCTGTCTTCCAGCTTGTGCTCATGGTCTCCATAGTAACTGCTCTATTTGGATCCTCAAGCCGAAGGACTACTTCACCTGTTTCATCATTGGTTTCCTTAGCCCCTGTCTCTTTCTGATACCATTTTTCTGCATCAACAGCATTCTAAGTTGCATTGTAAATTGCAAATCTAATTACGTCACTTCCCTGCTTAAATCCTTTTGATGGCTCTTCACTGCCTGTAGGATCAAATCCAATCCACTTAGCAAAGCATTAGTATCTTGGTCAGTTTTTAACTCTCATCTTCTGCTTCCCCTACATTATTACTCTAAGCTCTGAGCAGATGGAGACATCAGCAATTGTTCAAATGCTACACTCTCATCCTTCTTTGCTTTGGATGTGATGTTTCTTCTGCATGGAAAGCCCTTCCCTGCTTTGTCCTTCTGATAAGTGGATTCAGCTCAATCTTCCAGGGTTGAGGCTCAAGATGTAGCTTAAATATTCTTCCTTTGTGCAGCTAAGCTCCCCCTGAAGCCCTCAGGCAGAGTCAGTCAAAGAGAGTAGTGGAAAGATGCCAGGTGTTATAATCAGTGGGATCTAGATGCAGAGCTCATCTCTGCCACTTACTAGCTGAGTGAACATGGGCAATTTCTTAAACCTAATTTTTCTTATCAATATGACAGAGCTAATCATACCTACACCATGACTTTATTGTGAAAAATAAAATATGCATTATATAATCCCTGACACATAAAAGATGTTCAGCTCTTCTAACTATTATTAATATTATGACTCTGTATATGATTTAAGGTAAAGCTAAGCTGCTGTAACAGAAATACCCTAATAGAAATTCTGGGGAAATTGAATGATCTTGATCTTGATAGTGGTTTGGGTTATGTGGGTGTAATATTTGTCAAAGCTTAACAACTACACACTTAAGATTTATGCATTTCATTGTATGTAAGTTTTTTCATCAGAAGAAAAAGTCTAGTTAATAATTTGCATGCCAAAGTATTTAGGTTGAAATGTAGAGAGGTCTGCAATATACTTTGAATTTTGTTCAAAAATTAAGAAGGACTGATGAGTGAATAGATGGGTGGAAAAATAGGTAGGTCTATAATTTTAAAAAGGAAAGTGCAGTAAAATTTTAATGGTATAATTTAAGCTGTGGATATATAAATGTCTATTGTACAATTTTTTTTAGCTTTTCTATATGTGTGAACATTTTCATAATAAAAATGAATAAAAAGACCCCATCATAAAGTGGTTTTAAAATTATAGCTGTTTCTCCTCCCCCTCAAGTAACAGTTCTAAAGTGAGTGGGCCAGGTTCGTGGGCAGTTCTGTTCCATCTGCCCATTCAAGAGTGCCAGGCTTGTGGGCAGGGACTCAATTTCTTCCAGGTTGTCAAGTCTTTGCTGCATCATCCTCTAGACCCAATGGCATTGTCCTCATCTATGGTCAATGTTGGACTATATTCTGCCCCAGTTACAAGGGGAAAAGAGGCAGGAGGTATGCCCATCTCCTAAGCCTAGACCCAGCAGAGGTAGACATGACTTCTGTCTACATGCCACTGGGAGAAGTGAGTCATGTGGCCACATGTAACCTCAGAGGAGGCTGGGAAATATTGAACTCTACACTCAGGAAGAAGGGGAGTGTCCTTCACTCCGTGCTCTCTGAGAACCCACCAGGAGCTATTTGCCACATGGAATTGTGGTCATTTGAAGAGTCCTAGTGGACTGCAAATACCTTGAGGGCAGAAATAGTGTTTTGCATATCTTTGATCACCAAAACCAAATATGGGGCCTGAAATAAGTCTTAAAGAAATGTTTGCTGAACAAATCAATGTGTGAATGAATACATAAATAAACGAAATGAAGTATTAATAGTACTTTCTTGGACCACACATTTGTTAGTATGAATCTACTTTTATCCATGAAAAACAAGCCCTCTCGATTTTATAGATCTGTAATATGCCAACTCATTCTAATCAAGTAATTCCTTATTAACTTAGGCCTTCCTCCCATCCCACCTCCTCCCTCAAATTTGCCTTCATGAGAGATGAGAATTACTATTTATACAAATTTACTAAACACAATCTCAGATGCCTTGGAAGGAAAATATTTGATCTGATTAAGAATGGAAACTATTTTTCACATTATTAAAGCACTTGAGTAGCACTGATTGGATTAAAATAATGTGAACTGGCACATGAAAATTGTCTACTTACTATAATCGACCCATAAGACTTCTACTTGGTTGCTTGTTTTTTAAAAATCTATGTAAATATTTGGAAGTAATTTTATTGTGTTTCTTCCACTATATTCTGCAATTCTAACTTTCATTAACTCATATTGAGCTCTTTACCAATTGATCCAAATTACTGTGTTTTTATTGCCCCAGTCACCAGCACTTCCAGAGGTCAGGTTGATACTGTGTGGTTCAAAGTCCCCACCATAAATCACATTGATAACATAGACCCTTTGGGCTATCCCAAGCCCCCCATGTAAACAAAGGCATTCTTTTTTTTTTTTTTTTTTGAGACGGAGTCTCGCTCTACTGTATAGGCTGAAGTGCAGTGGCGTGATCTCAGCTCACTGCAAGCTCCGCCTCCTGGGTTCACACCATTCTCCTGCCTCAGAAACATTTCAAGGGCTTAGAAGTATTCAAGTATTCAAGTATTAATTGGATCACTATTGAAAAAGCAGAATAGGAAATCTAATTTTCTCTCTTGTGTTTGATGGATTTGTCTTATGAAAGCTTCAGAACTGTCCTTCCCAGTTCTCATGTTATTTCTTTCTGTGAGATTCCGGGGCCTCCTGCTTTTCTGCGTTTACGTCAAGACCTCTACTTGTCATTCTGTAATAAATAGAGAATTTCCTGGGCTCTTTTAACTGGATCTCCTTGTGTCTGTATATTGGAATTTATTTTCAGCAGACTGATATCATATGGAAATGCCAGCTCAGAAGATGTGGTGAGCTTTGATAATTCAGGAATTGACTGACAGAAGGAGGACCTCATTTGGGCAGGTATGAACCTGGGGTATGTGCCTGATAAGAGAAGGTAATGATGCAGAAAAGGGAGATATCTCTAGAAGAGGATAAACAGCAGGTGGGAGGGTTTAACCTGGTTTGGGGATGAGGTAGGAAAGGCTCCAAAGGGAAACTAGGAGGTCAGACTGTTCTAAGAGTGCAGTGGCTGAGAAGAGACCGATTGACCAGAAAAGAAGGAAAAACAGAATGTCCCCAGGTTCTAGGATGAAGATTGCTAATCGCTTTTCATGGGAGTTCTGGCCAGGTGAGTTGATGCTGGGATTCTACTTTGAAGGTTGCAAAGTTCGGGTGTCTACAAGATCCTCCTCACTTCTGACACCAACAACAAATTGAAGATCCCCAGGACCATCTCAGATTCAATAATTTGCTAGCAAGATGCACAGAACTCAGAAAAGTTATTATATTCATGGTTATGCTTTATTACCATGAAAGGATACAGATTAAAATCCTCCAAGGGAAGAGGCATATAGGTCAGATTTTAGAAGTCATTAAACATGAGTCGTGCAGAGAGCACCTCTCAGACACAACATTTGACATCATGCACAGAGTATTATTAACCAGGAAAAACTCACCAGAGTCTTGGTGTGCACAGTTTTTATTGGGACTTGTTCACGTAGACATGATTGACCATCTGCTGGGCTGACCTTGGTCACCAGCACTTCCAGAGGTCAGGTTGATACTGTGTGGTTCAAAGTCCCCACCATAAATCACATTGATAACATAGACCCTTTGGGCTATCCCAAGCCCCCCATATAAACAAAGGCATTCTCTTTTTTTTTTTTTTTTTTTGAGACGGAGTCTCACTCTACCGTATAGGCTGAAGTGCAGTGGCGTGATCTCAGCTCACTGCAAGCTCCGTCTCCTGGGTTCACAACATTCTCCTGCCTCAGAAACATTTCAAGGGCTTAGAAGTTACCTCTCATGTGCTGAGGGCAAAAGTCAAACCTCTTTTGGACAAGGTGAATTATTTACTGCACAGGAGTCCTTCTTGATCAGGGAGATCTATTCCCAGGGCAGATCAGAGGATCAAATCTGTGGCAGAATATCAGACCAAAATGAAACTGTCCTTGTATCCAAGGGGCAATCTCAGGATCATTACAGGGGATAAAGGCTCAGTCTGGTCAGGGAAGATGGGCAGTAATGAGAAAGGAGCTTCTCATTACTGAGATACCAGGAGCTTGTTCTGATTTGGGTGCTTATCCTATGATGCTTGGATGGGTCCTTCTGCTTAAAATATCCAGGACTGGGAAGACTGAAAACACTTTTTTAAAAAATCCAAGCAGATAGATGCTTGAATCACATTGGTTGTGATTACTAATCGAGCACCTGAAAATTTCTAAGCTATATATAGCTTGACCTGGTCATACAGAAGATAGTTATACCTAGAATGACTGAACCCATAATATGCCGACGTCCTCCCCAAGTGAGGATGGTCTTGGGGACACGTGGACTTTGGACAGCCACAGAGGCCTGGGTGTGGGAGTAGGCTGTAGGCTCCCAACTGCATCCAAGAAGACAAGCTTCTCTTCTCCTTGGGGTGGGAAGAAGGAGTGACCACAGGTGAGCTCAAGGTTCCTCAAGATTATTCGTAAACTCGTGAATAGCAAGGTCTGCTGTCATGCCTGCCTTGCCAGAAGAGTCCAATCCAGAACCAAGCTCTTCCTCCATTCCTCAGGGTAGGCCATATTGGATCAGGATGAGATTACTGAGTATTGAGTATCTCTAGGACAAAAATAAGATGGAGAATCCTTCTAGAAAGACTTCAGGGCTGGGTGTGGTGGCTCAAGCCTGTAATCCCAGCACTTTGGGAGGCCGAGGCGGGTGGATCACTTGAGGCCAGGAGTTCGAGACCAGCCTGGCCACATGGCGAAACCCCATCTCTACTAAAAATACAAAAAATTATCTGGGCACTGTAGCTTACACCTGTAATCCCGGTTGCTTGGGAAGGCTGAAGCAGGAGAATCGCTTGAACCTGGGAGGTGGAGGTTGCAGTGAGCCAAGACTGCACCACTGCACTCCAGCCTGGGAGACCCTGTCAAAAAAAAAGAAAAGAAAGGAAAGAAGGAAGGAAAGAAAGAAAGAAAAGAAGGAAAGAAAGAAAGAGAAAGAGAGGGAGGGAGGGAGAGAGAGATGGAGGAAGACTTTAGCAGAGACTGTAGCCAACACAACCTCTGTAATAAATAGTGAATTAGTACTTAGGATGCAGTTGTCTCTCTACCTCCTAACCAGAACAGACTCCAACCATGACTTTCGTATCAGGTGTGTTTCCAGCTTTCTCGGCGCTATTCCTGATCACTTTCTCTTGGTCACCAGGGATTCTAGACTTCTCTGAAGCTTTGAAACCTGTCAGGTTCTGATTGGTCAGGTCCATCCCATAAAAGTGGTTAAATATTTTGAACATCACTTCTAGCTGGGTCCTTTCTTTATCTTCCCGATCAAGGGCTTTCTTTTCTCAGAGAGGACTCCTTGGTCTTTCTGATAGACTAGGATTGCTCCAGAAGCACTTTATGAAATCTTCCACTCCACTCCTTGGATGGTGATCTCCCCTGCCTCCTTCCCCAGAACTTCACAAACCCTAAGGATTCATCTCTGGACAATGAGCAAATCTTCACTGGCTTCACTTTAGCTCAGCACCTAATGCAGTGTTTGGTTCTGAAAAGCCTCCTTTGTGTGTGAGGAACTGTTCTGAAATCTCCCGACAAGAAAGTGAGTCACGGTATTTTGCATTGTATGGGAAATCCATACCATTTCTCCCCCTACCAGTAAGGCTAATCACTGCCAATTCATGGGGATGTTGTGAAAATGAGCCATTTGGGAGGATGCCAAAATAGGCAGAGAAGAGAGGAAAGCAAATTGGCCTGATGGATTTGGTGGCATTAAATAACACAGATGGAAGTGTAGCAGTGCACTTAGTAGTATAATGTTTTTAATCCTTGCTCAGAATGTTTATTTAAGAGAGAAGTTACTTAGATTTGTGACATTTGTTAATATGATTATATCACCCTTAAAATTTTTAATTTTTGACTAGATAATATATGCACACGTTTTAAAACTCAAAATGATAGGAAAATGCTCACATTAAGAAGTCTGGCTCCTAATCTCCTCCCACTACCCTCCCCCACAGGTAACTACTTTCATCAGTTCCTTTTATATCATTTCATGCTTTTTTTTAATGCAACTACAAACAATAAACTTTCTGCTTTGATTTGAGGGCTGCCACACTAGAAGGCAGAACTTGTCTTCACTCTATAAGCTCAAATTAACAGATACATTCCCAGCCTCCCCCCGCAGCTAGGGCGAAGGCATAAGATTTAGGCTCAACCAATGCCAAACACCCTCCCCAGACTTTGAATTGAAAGGTGGTGACAAACCGAAGCAGACATAGTGAAGAATATTCTCTAGGGCAGCAGCAGCCATATCTGATTTCCAGAGACAGCAGCGCTAGTGTTTCAAGCTGCAGCATCTTGGGTTCAGGGTCGGGGGGGTCTGCAGCATACACTAAGGCATTTGCAGAGCCAGATTAATGGTTAATCTAATGACTTAAATTTGGAGGTGCCTTACTATAACAAGCCTCTTCCAAGGCCTAGGAGGGTGTTCCAGAAATGTGTTCACATGTTTTTATAAAAGCTGCAAAAGCGAGATATTTGAACTGTAATTTGTTAAGGCTGATCATTGTCTCCATCCACTCCAACGTACCATTTGTCACACTTCCTTTCATGCCATGTGGTGTTGGAGTGGCTGTGGCATTTTTGGGGACAAACTAAGGGGAAGATGCATTAGGATACATTTCATTTGAGTTCAGTGTGGCATCATTTTTCTGTGGTTCCTAATTACTTCTACAGTCTGCTGGCCTCCCCGGGGTCAGAATGGCTGCCAGGAAATTTCTACTGTCCACTGTGCCAAATTAACAAACTTCATGATATGAAGGTTCTGGGACAGAAATTGAGTTGCAATATAAATATGTCCTGAGTACCAGGCTGTGGAATTACGTGGGGAGTGGAGGGGAAACAAGATCCAAAATGCATGCCGCTAGAAGCTAGTCTGTGGAAAACCCTTCTAGATGCTCAGATTGCAGATGAAACTTGATAGAAGCTGTTCCAAATTTAACAACAATCCTATAACTTTACATGACAATGCCCATAGTGGGTATGAAGTTAAAGGAGACTTTTCTAAATCATAATTAATGTAAAACAAATTTGGATCTCGGACAGATGATCAAGATTGACATTATCAGTGACAGCATATAATATGATGGGATGAAAATGGCATTTTGCCTCTGTGGCCTTCCTCCCAAAGGCCCATAACCCCAGTCTAACCAAGAGAAAAATGTCAGACAAACCCAAATGGAGGGACGTTCTACAAAATACCTGACCAGCACTCCTCAAAACGGTCAAGGTCATCAAAAACATAGAAAGTCTGAGAAACTGGCACAGTCTGGAGGAGGCTAAGGAGATAGGATGATTAAATGTAGTATGTTATCTTGAATGAGATCCTGGGACAGAAAAAGAGATGAGAAAACATCTAAGGAGATGTAAATAAAATATGGAATTTAGTTAATAATAATTTATCAATATTGGTTCATTCATTGTAACAAATATACAACAGAGGAAACTGGGTAAGAAATATGAAAGAACTCTTTGTACTATCTTCACAACTTTTTGTAAGTATAAAACTATTCTATATTAAAAAGATTACTTAAAAAAGAAATTTGGATAAACCATGCTAAAAGAAAGACCAAATTATCTATTCTTTCTACAGAAAATATTATAAAATTACATTTTATAACCATATTCTTACATAGCCTATTATTGACTGTTTCTCCTCCCCAAATTTATATATCGAAGCTAACCCCCTGTTGTGACTATATTTGTAAGTGGGCATTCGAAAAGTAACTTGGTGTAGACGAGGTTGTGAGGGGCAAAGCTTGACCAACCTGATACCCTAATTTTGACTCCCAGCCTCCAGAATTGGGAGAAATAAATGTCTGTTGTTTTATCCACCTCGTCTATGACATTTTGTTATAGCAGCCCAAGCTGACTAAGACACAGCCAAGAGCAAAATTGAAAAATACATTGAGGCCGGGCACAGTGGCTCATGCCTGTATTTCCACTACTTTGGGAGGCTGAGGCAGGTGGATCTCCTGAGGTCAGGAGTTTGAGACCAGCCTGACCATTATGGTGAAACCCTGTCTCTACTAAAAATACAAAAAGTAGCCGGGCATGGTGGCGTGTGCCTGTAATCCCAACTACTTGGGAGGCTGAGACAGGAGAATCACTTGAACCTGGGAGGCGGAGGTTGCAATGAACCAAGATCGCACCACTGCACTCCAGCCTGGGCGACAGAGCAAGTCTCTGTCTCAAAAAAGAAAGAAAAGAGAGAGAGAGAGAGAGGAAAGAGAGAGAGAGAGAGAGAGAGAGAGAAAGGGAGAAAGAAGGAAAGAGAGAGAGAAAAAATCTGTTGTAGAGTGGTGTCAGGCAAAAAATTAAAATATTATGTAGTATTTCTAAATTTCGTGATGACTATATGGGGCTTTGGGAGGTCATTTGGTTTAGATAAGGTGTAAATATTTAACTTTAATGATATTAAATTGGGGTTTTTTTCTCATGATGAATATTTACTTTGGTGCCTAATTTTCTGTTTATGATTTTTATTTTTCCGTTAGAATGGCTCCCAAAACCCAGTTGTGTCTCTGGGTGTGTAAGCCCAGCAGCAGGCAGTGTGTCATCGCTGTGTCAGTTCTATGGTGTGATGTGCGGAACTGGTACTGGAATGTAGACATCAAGGCTGGTTCTTCGGCTCTCCCAAAGGCCAAAGATATCTATTTAAATATCATTTAAATAAACCCCTTTATTGCTTAAATCATCTATAATTTGTTTCTGTTGCATATAAATAAGCATTTGATGAATCCGTTGGGCACCATTTAAAGAAGTGGGTCTTAGCCCTGGCTGCACATCAGAATCAAATTCCAAGGGAGTGGAGGGGACCAGGGGTTGAAATGTACTGATGCCCAATCCCAGACAGATTGACAGCATCTCCAAGGCATTGGTAGTATTTAAAATTTCCAAAGATGATTCTTTTTTTTTTTTTTTAATTCAGTCAGGGTTGAGAACCGCCAGATGAGTTTGGTTTCCTGGTGGTCCCAATCAGGTATTTATTTTATGGAGTCCTAATTTTGTGACCATTGTCACAAAATCCTCGGTAGCCATGATACATGCTCAGAAGTGTAAAACAGACCATCTGGGAGCTTTCAGTCTGAACATCCTAGAGTGGGGCCGGGGTGTCTGGGTCTTCCTTTAAGGAAAAACCAAAGAGAAGTGAGTGCCAACTGTCGGCACCGGGAAACGAGTGAAGGATGCTCAGGACAGCTGTGTTTTGCTGTCACATCTAGGGGTACTGAGAGATTCCGAGAGGGTGTTCTCCAAATCCCCAGAAGCTTCAGACAAATTTGAGTCTATAAAAAACCTTCTATCAGAACTCTTAGTTTTGACATTAATGGGGAAAAAGATGATCTTAAATGGCCTATAGACCCGAGTCCCTGTCCTCATGGAGGAGAAATACAAGAGACTAGCAATTATTTGTGTGACTGTTAAGAAAACAGAAAGAAAAGATTCTGCTCACAAAAATATAAGGTATTGAGGGGTTAAAAAAAAGTCTACAGAATCTAGAAGCAGAGATCTAAAAACTTTATTGAATAATAATTTTTAAATTTCTTAAAAATCTACTTCATAAAGTAGACACAACAGCGTTTGGGAAAGTTTAACATTGTAAATATGTTTATTCAACCCAAACTAACTATATATATTCATTACAATTACAGTCTCTATCCCAATAAAATCATTTCTGGAACTTGATAATGATTTTAAAGTTAATTTGGCAGAATGTGTGAAACTGGTTAGTTTTTTAAAAAGAAAAAAATAAAGATGGGTATTTGTTTTTCCAGATATTAAAACATATTTTAAAAGAAAATATAAATAAAATGATACTATCTTAGAAACAATAGATAGGTATAAAAAGCACAGCTACATCCCTGATCGTGTATAAGTAATGAGGATGAGCTAAAGATGCTGTTCCAATTAAGTGAGGAAGAATGAACCATTTGATAAATGGATTTGGAATAATTAGCTATCTGGAAAAAAAAGTGAGATTCCCTCCTCATAACATGTGGTGATAATTTGCATATGATTTACATATTTTTTAAAACATAAGAGTACTGAGAGGAAAAAGAAGTAAAATTTTATGTAAACTTGTAGTAAGAAAAACTTTTAAAGCATAACACCAAAGGAAAAATCAATAAAGTAACATATTGGGAAATAGGATTATAAAAAATATTTTACCCATAAATTTTTAAAAAACATGAATAAAAACACAAAAGGTAAATTACATCTGGGAAAATAGCTGTGACAAATTACAAAAACAGGGTTTAATATCCTTAAAATACAGAGAATTCTGACAGACAACAAGAGAAAGACAGCCCTGTAAAAAAATAAATGGGAGGTCAGGCGCAGTGGCTCACGCCTGTAATCCCAGCACTTTGGGAGGTCAAGGCGGGCAGATCACTTGAGGCCAGGAGTTAGAGACCAGCCTAGCCAACATGACAAAACCCCGTCTCTACTAAAAATACAAAAAATTAGCCAGGCGTGGTGGCGGGCACCTGTGATCCCAGCTACTCAGGAGCCTGAGACAGGAGAATCGCTTGAACTTGGGAGGTAGAGGCTGCAGTGAGCCAAGATTGTGCCGCTGCACTCCAGCCTGGGCAACAGGAGTGAAACTCCATCTATAAATAAATAAATAAATAAATAAATAGGATAGAATAAGAACCAACTATTCTTCCAGTAAGTACAAATAGCCAATTAATGGATGAAAAAAAGTATTCAAACTCATGAATGAATAGAATGCACACGAAACAAAGAGGAGACACTTTTTGCCTAACGGGTTGACAAAGAGAGTGTGGAGAAGACAGTTCACCCCCAAGAAATGTAAACTGATAGGTCATTTCTGGAAAACAGGTTGCCACTATGTCTCCGAAGTCATACTAATATGCATGTCCTTTGACCCAGCAATGTCCTTTTGTTTGTTAAAAGCACAAAGAGATAAGGATGTTTAGATATCTGCGAAACGAAAGAATCAATTTTTTAAAAGAATTATATTTTCAACATTTCAAAAACAGATTGGAGTAGGCATCACAGACAAACCAGAATTTTGTTGAACTTTCTTTATGGTTTACTATTGTTTTTCTTTTTTCATCTGAATGAGACAAGGGAATGAAGTGACTAAGAAACCATGATATTTTCACTGTTATCTTCAAGTCTGCTGACACTCTGTTTAAGGATGTTCAGTCTAATGTTAATACTTTCAGTAGTGAAAAGTTAGAAAAATCCAATACATGAAAAACAAATGATTAATGTATGACACGGTCCTAGAACAAAATACTAGGCGCTACTAAAAATTGTAATTGCAAATTTGCATGTATGGTTATGTTGATTGATACTGTAAGATATTTACCACTCAATTAGGTAGAGCATAAAGTTGGAAAACAATAACCAGGTAAGATCCCATGTTTTTTAAGTAAATATCTTAAAGTATATTGAGGATCGGGAAAGAAGCCCAGAAGAATAAACAGCAGAAGCATCCAGTATTTCGCTGTGCAGGAGACTTGAGGAGATGATGAGTGGGTTGGTTTTTTTAAAAAAATTATCTGTATTTTTAAAATTTTCTACATTGAAAGTGAATTGCTTTGGTAATGAAGAAAAGATGTTACTGGAAATTTTTGGCTGCCTGGTTTTAATAATTTCTAGAACAAGGCAGAGTCCAAATTAATTATTTAATTAAAAGAAAAATAGAGCAGCCGGCTCCCTCCCCCTGATCCTATCTATCTGGGAATAATGAGGCGCTGCGGGCAGTGCCGTGTGTGTGTGTGTGTGTGTGTGTGTGTGTGTGTGTGTGTGTATGTGTGTGTGTTGTGGTGTGTGTTAGAAAGTCATCGATTCCGTGCCTCCTGTCATTCTCCAGCATCTGTCATCTTGGCTTTCTCTGCTGCCCTGAAGGTGCCTGGGGAACACCCACACATTGTCAAAGAGAAGAGTGCAGAATCCCAGAGAGGTGGAGCGACTGGCCCAAGGTCACGAGCTCCCGAGTCCATGCCGGCCTTGAATCCGGGCCCTTCGGCTGCCGCTTCCCGCACAGTGCGGGCCTCAGGGCCGCCACAGAAGAGTCAGGTGCCAGCCAGTGCTGTGTGCTCTGCGCAGATGCCTCCTTTGGCCGTGGGGGTCCGGACCTTCCCTCTGCTCCTTTACTGCTTTCTCGCCACACGGGGGCTGGAAGCGAGGATGCCTTAAACATTCAAGGCTGTGGAGCAGGCTCAGGCCCTCAGCATCGTGGAGAAGGCACCGAAGCCCGCAGAATCCCACTGTCCTGTGGCAGGGAGAAAAGACAAACGGGTCATAATGCTGTCTTAGAAGGAGATCACGGAGGGCTGGATGTGACCCTTTGCGAGGGACCGGGGACCTTGAGGAGCTGTGAGTTTCCCAGACAGGGTGACACTGGAGCCTTGGAAGGGAGCAGCCTACGGACACCAGAGCTGGGGAGCTAGAGACCCAGTGGGACCCTCATGCCTCCTTTGGACTATGGAGCCCAATGCACCCCTGGGGCCTCGCCGGCCTCGCAGGGAGGTTTCACAAGGACTGTCCCCAAGCCCCTCTCCTGGTGGCCTGTGATCACAGTCTGAGCAGCCCACGTGTCTGCCCTTCTTTGCCTCCTCCTGCGTCTCCTGCCATCAGCTCCCAGCCCAAAACTTTCCAGAATGGAAGTGGGCTTAGCTCAAGCGGCCTGGAGCATGGAGCCCATGATGGGAGAGAAGTCACGTCAAGTCCTGTCTGTGATGTACACACAGCTGGATACACAGAGCAAGGCTCAGGGAGTCTGCTGCACCTGAGTTGTTCTTAGAATCTCAGCTTCTAAAGTGAGACATTCTCACACCCCACCCCCACAAAGTAGGGGCACTGAAGCCTCTGGGCAGAGCTGTTGAACTAAATGAGCAAGTTCATGTAAAACACCTGGAAGGTGGGAGGCTCTCAATCAATGGCAGTTGCCACTGAGACCACAGTCTCTTCATCAGAAGGGTTGGTGGGACGGCTTTGGTGGTCCCAGCCAGCTTGGCTCTCAGTGAACCAAAAGCGTGAAAGCCTCTCTCCCTCCCTTCAGGAAGCTAACCCAGTTTTCAAATGAAGGAATGACTCTTCACATTGTCATTAATTTTCCTGAAAAGATTTTCTTATATCCATTAGCTATACACTATAAATACATTGGGATCTTTTGTTTTTCTAGAAAAAAAAATCATTTTAGCCTTGTATTCTGGCACATTAGATTGTTCTTTTATCCTTGCTTTTTAAAAAACCTTTCAAACGGCTTGCCTTCCATGGAAGAATAAATAGTCTGTCATTTCTGGAGAGAACTTGTAAACTAATATCTTAGTTTAAAACAAATTTAGTGGAATAAGATGACTGCAAAGCTAATATTGACTTTTTTGCGCTTGGCTTCCGTCTCAGCTACTTTGACAGCACCTTTTTCTTTCCCCTTCAACTCTTTCTCACTGTGGAGAGCTCAAGTAAGAAACCAAAGTGTGGCCGGGGGGCGGGGGGTGGCTCACACCTGTAATCCCACCACTTTGGGAGGCCGAGGTGGGCAGATCACCTGAGATCAGGAGTTCAAGACCAGCCTGGCCAACATGGCCAAACTTTGTCTCTACTAAAAATATAAAAATTAGCTGGGTGTGGTGGCAGGTGCCTGTAATCCCAGCTACTCAGGAGGCTGAGACAGGAGAATTGCTTGAACCCGGGAGGTGGAGGTTGCAGTGAGCCGAGATGGCACCTCCGCACTCCAGCCTGGGTGACAGAGTGAGACTCTGTCTCAAAAAAAGAAAAAAAAAAGAAAAAAAAAAGTGTTACATGGAAGGCCGTTCTGCATTAAAGAGCTGCCCAAGGAGAAGGGAAGTAGTCAGTTTGCTCTTGCTAGAGATATGCAAACTCCACATGGAGAGTCCCCAGCTGGGGGCCAGAGATGCAGCCAGCCAATGGAGGATGGATCACCTTGACCTTCCAGGCTCCTTTCTGCCCAGAGGCCTAGGAAACACCTGCTGGCTGCCTCGCATGAGCGTAGAGACACAGGTGGACTTAATATTGCCCCTCCTTGAGGCAGGGCACAGTGGCTCACACCTGTAATCCCAGCACTTTGGGAGACGGAGGTGGGCAGATCACTTGAGGTCAGGAGTTCAAGACCAGCCTCACGAACATGGTGAAACCCCGTCTCTACTAAAAATACAAAAATTACCCGGCTGTGGTGGTGTCCGCCTCTAATCCCAGCTACTTGAGAGGCTGAGGCAGGAGAATCGCTTGAACCCAGGAGGCGGAGGTTGCAGTGAGCCAAGATCACGCCACTGCATTCCAGCCTTGGCAACAGAGCCAGGCTCCATCTCAAAAAAAAAAAAAAAGCTCCTTCTTTAAGGAAAGGCCAAATGCCAAATGCTATGGGTTGAATTTTGCCCCCACCATCTGCCCAAAATCATATGTTGAAGTCTTAACCCCCAGTGCCTCAGAATGTGACCTTATTTGCAAATAGAGTAATTGCAGATGTAATTAATTAAGACAAGGTCGTACTGGTGTAAGGTGGGTCCTAAATCCAATATGACTGGTATCCTTATAAAAGGGGAAAATCTGGGCACAGACAGGCCCACAGGAGGAAAATCCATGTGAAGATGAAGCCAGAGACCATGGTGATGCATTTATAAACCAAGGAAGGCCAAAGGTTGCTGGAAACCCCTGGAGGGTAGGTGAGGGCCTGGGACAGATTCCCCCTCGCAGCCTCAGGAGGAACCAGCTCTGCCAACACCTTGATCTTAGACTTCCACCCTCCTGAACTTAGACGACCCATTTCTGCCGTGTGAGCCCCCGGCCTGTGGTGTTTTGTCACGGCAGCCCCCGCAGACCGAAAGACCAGCTGAGCGCTCCTTTTCTCAGCATCAGCGGGACGGCCGCAGTTTCTTCCTCTGTGGGTGGATGGACCACTTTGCTGCCTTGTTGCTCGAAGGTGCACAGGAATCCGGCGCCAAAGGGTTGCTGGTTGGAGACAAAGCCACTTTCAAAATGTTCCGATGGGGAACAGCTGCCTCCTCCAAGCCCACCCTGTGCTAAAGCAGCCCTCCTGGGCCCAGAGCTCTGGCTCTGATGCAGTTGAGAATAATTGCCATGTGGGAGGAGGGCGGCCATTTTCCCCCGTCAGGGGTCAGAGCCCCTCTGCTCTGATAAAAGCAGCCACAGGGCCACAAGAACAAGGGGAGAAAATAGAGGAAGGGGCGCTCAGGCAGCCCAGAGAGCTAGGAACGGCCCCTGCTCCCTGTGGGCTCCCCCTTTATCCAGACAATGGTTTTATTCAAGCTGCTGGGGCTCCCTATCCTTGGCCCAGGCACACATCAGGAGTGTGGAGGCTGAACGTGCCTTTAAGAACCAGGACCTGCAGATCTAAGAGTCCTGGTATTGAGGCGGCTGTCAGGGAGGTCTCAATGGATGAGAGGCCAGAATCTGTGGCTTCTGCCATCAGTCTCTCATAAACACCATCATCATAACTCCCATCTCTCCAGCACTTCCTCTGCATTTGGCACCATAATAAGCACTTTCTGTGCATTTTGTCCTTTTATCCTCTAACTGCCCTAGCAGGTGGGTCCCTTTGTTATCTCATCTTATGCATCAGGAAACTGAGGCACAGAGAGGTTAAGGAACTTGCCGAAGGCCACAGAGCTAGTGGGCAACAGAGCCAAGCTCCGTGCTGGTAACCACCGTGGGCTGTGTTCTCCTCTCCGTGGGAAGTCTGTGGGCAGACAGCAGGGCCAAGCAGGAGGATTGCAGGGAAGGGCCTCTGAAGTCCATCTTGCAGGGCTAAGTTGGGGTCTTAGAGCCTGCGGCCCTGCAGAACATGAAATCATGCCTTGCAGAGCCGAACAGGGCCTTGAAATCATACAGTCCCCATTTTTCTCACAAAGAGGCTAAGGTCTATGGAGGTGAAGTGGCTGGTCCCAAATCCCAGAACAAATTAGTGGCAGAACCAGGCCAAGAGCATAGACGTCCTGGTTTCCAACCCAGCGATCTTTGTTAAATACCATGGTCCATCTTAACAAGAGGTAGTAATTTTCTTCCGTAGCTTTAGAGATTTGTAAAGGATGCTGAGAAACCCTTCCTGATCACAAAGGCTGTGACATATTTGGTTGAGTTTGCCATGGCAGTTCTTCTATAGGAGTTGGAAGAGTTGGACAGACACCATGATTCCAGCTGGGATGAGCATCCAACCTGCCATAGGCTGACTCCCCTGGAGAAGACCAACTGCAGGCCAAAATCTCCTAAGATCATATTTTAGATGTGGAGTTGAGTGAATTAACCTTTTGCTAGAAGTCCATCAGTCCTCCTATGCTCATTGTACCAATCACTGATAAATGTCAGCTGAAGACAAGGGAATCATTTTAGCACAGTAGAGACATTGAGAGACTGGATATCAACTATTGATGGTTCTTGAGACGTGTCTACAAAATTCTCCCATCCATTCAACCACTTAACCGTCCATCCTTCCATCCATCTGTCCATTCATCATCTTTTCATCCATTCACCCATCCATTCATCCACCCTTCCATTTATTTACCAGGTCCTTACTCTGTGTAAAGTATTTTGCTAGACCCTAGGATTTGTGAAAGAACATGGTCTAGCTTCTGACCTTAGAAGAACTTGGATTCAAATGATGGAATCAGGATGGAAAACTATAAATATAACTCTATGCATTCAGTAAAGGAAACAGCCAGAGGCCTGGGGAGGCTGGAGAGGGCTTCTTAGAGAGAGGGATACTTGATTGGATCTTCAGCAGGAATTTTTTAAGCAGAAAAAAGGGGAGAATGGAGGGTATTCCAGATATGGAGGGAAAGATAAACTAAAGCAAGATGAAGGTTAGAGAGGTAATTATGATGATCTGGGCATTAGTGTGGAGTTTGAATCACATTTACAAGATGTGTTTGTGACCCTTGTTGCAATTAATTCTCCAACAGCCATATAAGTTAGGGAAGGTGATCCAGGGAAGGGCATGTGGCACTTACAAGATGAAGTCATTACAAGGGAGAAAGAGTAAGACCAAATAGCTAACATGTTTTGAGCTCTCATTATGTGTCAGCTCTTCACAAACATTCCTTGTATTACCTCTATTTTCCAGATGAAAAACCAAGACTTAGAGAGCCTGGCCTTGGACTCACCCAAGGTCACTGATATGGTTTGGCTGTGTTTCCACCCACATCTCATCTTGAATTGTAGTTCCCATAATTCCCACGTGTCATGGGATGGACCCAGTGGGAGGTAATTGAATCATGGGGGCGGGTCTTTCCCCTGCTGTTCTTGTGGTAATGAATAAGTCTCACAAGATCTGATGGTTTTATAAATAGGAGTCTCCCCTGCACAAGCTTCTCTCTTGCCTGCTGCCATGTAAGACATGCCTTTCACCTTCCACCATGATTGTGAGGCCTCCCCAGTCACATGGGACTGTGAGTCCATTAAACCTCTTTTTCTTTATAAGTTACCCAGTCTTGGGTAAACTTTCTTTATCAGTAATGTGAAAACGTACTAATACAGTCACACAGCCAGCAGGTGCCAGAGACCCGGATCGGGTCTTCAGAGCCCTAGTCCAGATTAGATACAGCCAACTTCTCTTCCGTTGATGAGAGAGGACAAGCTCAGATGACAAAGTTAATAACAACCTCAATCCTGGAGTTCAGCTCTGAGTTTAAACTTCCTCTTCTGCAAAATGCTCAAATAAGCAGCTGGACTGACCGGAGGAGAAGCTGTGAGCAATGGAATCGGCAAAGCCAAACCCCAGGCCCAAAAGAGACACCACATCTGCCAGAAGCCAACGTACTCTTGATTATCAACCTACTCTTGATAGCCTGAAGTTATTTGTTCCCCCTACTCTCTTTTTCCTTCTCTCTCCATATGGATTTTATAAACAAGATAAAATCAGAACTCGAAAACTAAATAGACTCTGTGAGTCCTCTGTTAACAGCCAGGGCAGCCCAGCACTGTTTTTGCAGATGTTTTGCAGGTCTGTGTCTGCAAGAGGCCAGAGGCAGGAGGTGAGGGCAGGTCAGCAAGTGCTGGAAGGTAGGGGAGATCAGTTATTGGAAGGCCATGGAAGGTGGAAGATCCTCTGAACAAACACGGCAAGAGGCCTCTGCTTCCTTATCTTTAAGTTTTATGAGCGCCACCACCCCCGCTGTCCTCCTTGCTCTGCCCCCGTAACCTTCATAGTATCCTGATAGCTGTCTTCCTGGTAAAGACTTCGATAAAGATCCAGTCACATGTAAGGTCGGCCCCATTCTTCTTGATTCTCAAGCACAGGCAAACAAGGTTCACATCAGCTAATGGGAATGTACCTTGAGGTTGGGAAGGGATGGGCCAGCTTTCTTTGTTGGAGGAGGAACAAAGCTACTCTGCGTGTACCCAGAGAAGCTTTTCGGGAGGGAAGGAAAGCCTCAAAGCTGGGGGTTGTTGTAGGACCAGTGCCTGGAGTGCGTCTTGAGTTTCTTCCTATCGTACTGACTCGATGAGGATTGTACTATAAAAGGAGGCCGCAGATCAGTATCAAACTGCGAAGCCACCAGGGTATTCAGACCAACACATTCATATTTTGCTGTTTAAACCTGAAATTGTGGGAAGAGGTAAAATCAAATCTGCTATTGGATTGGCAAGTGGAGCAAGCCCACCATATGTCACGTCAGAAGATGATACCACAATTGCAGAAGCAAAGAAATAGTGTGACATGCAGTTGTAAAAACAGTCATTAAAAGACCAAGCTGGAATTTGAACGCTGCGCGGTCTGGTTAAAGAGTCCATCAGCTTAGTCAGTACACCATGGGAGCTAGAAGGCCTCACATGTACCTTTCCTGGCATTAAGTGTTTGGACTTCAAGAGGCACAGCCAGGCCAGGGCACTAACCAGGGGGTAAAAACTGGCCCCCCTTGCTCTTAGCTTCAGCACTTGAAGGACCTAATGGGAAAATGGAGAATGGATTTGGGCCTGGTCTGGAGGCTTGGGGGCCATCCTGTAAGCTGTATTTCTCAAAGGGCCGCCTGAAGTAGAATCACTCTGGGGGATTGTTAAGATGCAGACTTCTGGACCCGGACCCATAGATTCAGAACTTTGGAGGGTAGAACTCTGAGAGGCTGCATTTTTAACAAACTCTTCCTACCCCATACCTCCCACACCCCCTACAGTGACACTGATACATAGTCAAGCTGAGAAGGACCAAGTTGACTGCCTGCTCCCAGCTCACCGTTCTGACTTCACATCGCTCCTTCCAGGGGCCGGGAGCAGGGCATGTGGGTAATCGAGTGACATTTGATAACATACAGCTCTTTTATTTATTACAAAGCAATTGTCATCCACATAGATGACTGTGCTCTTTCGGATGCATATTATAGTTAAGAGGAACAGAACAAACGGGAGATACATATGTACAGATAGATGTTAGGTAGATATAGATTGATAGGTAGGTAGGTAGATAGAGATAGATACAGATCTCTGTCTGTCTGTCTGTCTATCTATCATCTATCTAAGGAGATTTATTTTAAGGACGGAGCTTCTGCAATTATGGAGGCCGTCAAGTCCAAAATCTGTAGGTTAGGCCAGCAGGCTAGAAACTCAGGCAAGAGTGTGATCCTCTAGTCTTGAGGCAGAATTCTTCTCTAGGAAATGTCAGTCTTTCCTCATGAGGCCTCTTCCAACTGATTGAGAGTGGGCCATTCACAGTATTGAGAATAAGCTCCTGTACTTAAAGTCTCCTGATTGTAGATGTTAACCACATTTACGAAATATGTTCACAGCAACATCTAGATCCGTGTTTGATGAAATAACTAGGTACTAGAGTCTCATCAGATTGACACATAAAACTAACTGTCACAGAACATTTCTTAATTGGTTAACCTACTTACCCAAGGTAGAACTGTAGGGAAAGAACATTCATTGAATAACACAAGTAAGGTAACTCTACAGTTTATGGCAAAAACTGGCTTCAAAGAAAATTCAAAGAACCCATGTCTGCTGCCACAGAGAATCTTCCTTAAGCTACCCAAGGCATAGGGTCGCTTCAGTAATGAGAATCCCAGGTTCAATAAGCAGTGACCTCTCATAATCCTAAGGGGTTTTCTGTCTTATCCAGTCTCCTGGCAGCCCCGAGCACTGGCCTCATAATGAACACTTTAATTAAGATGGATGTTTGCAAGTACCAAAGGGAAGGAAAGTTGTGCCTTAATTACTTTGACTCCAATCAAATAATTTTCCTAGGTGTGCCTCCCTTCTTACTGAGAATTTTAAGAGACAAAGAGATGAGGGATGGGGGGAACCTCAATTTAGGGAAGATTCATGTATTCATGTAGGTTGGGGTTCACAACATAGCATCCACAGATTTCCTGGGCATTCTTGCTATTACATATTAAATGTGAATAGGTGTCTTTTGTTATGTGGGCAAGATCCACACTTTCATTGGATTGTCAAGGAGGTCACTGACTCCCAAATAGGTTGAAAACCTTATTGAGTTTGGGAAGATAATACCCTATCATTTACAGGGCAGCAAGGTGGCTGACCCATGGTCATAGGAATTTTATAGATTAACAATATTTGGTTTAAGCTGATGACTTCCAAGTGAGCACTAATTAGCCCAGTAGGTTGAAAAGCCATTGCTGATGTCCATTTTTCAAGTGGACAGGCTTTTCTGTCTGAGACAGGAGGCTCCCAGGCTGGCCTGGCAGAGGGCTCTGCAGCCACTCAGCCTGAGTTCAGATCCCAATTCTTATTAGCTGTGTGACCAGGGTGCCTTCCCAGCCCTCTCTGCACCAGTTTCTTCATCTGTAAAATGGGAACAATGATAGTAGCACCTACCTTGCAGGTATTAACTCTAAGTGAGTTAACACATATAAAGTGAGTTGAGCAGTACTTGGCACAGAGTGGGAGTTTTGACTAAGTTTGGGGGTACATAGGGGTAGTCCCAGGAATTTGTATTTTAACAGGCTCTCCTGGTGATTCCATCTGCAGGTGTTATTTAACCACACTGTGTCAAGACCCAGCGAAACTGAACTTGCCTATTCACAGTGCAGGGCCCTGCTTTGTAAGTTACCACTCACCATGCAAAGAAATACCTGGTGAGCTCCTGATCCCTGATGCTGGTGCCCTCTGGATAGCCAGCTGGGCACGGCCAGCCGTGAGCAGGAGGGAATGATGTCCTGGCCCTGACTGGCCCTCTTGGCAGGGCTTCTTCAATGGTAGAATGCAATCCAAATGTTTCCTGGCAACATGGTGGCAACAGAGGTGATGGGCGGAGCATCTTGGCCAGGATACAGAGCCGCCTGCAGGTACAGCTCCCACCCGCCGTCCTGCCGCAGGAACAGGTGTCTCCAGGTGCCTCCTCTCTCCCTCTGCCCCCCAGCTCTCCTCCCTGATCCTGATTTCTCTCCCTTCAACTTTTTACTGAGGTTTTCCCCTCTCTGCCCAAATTACAGTGGCTCCAGGGAACATTTAGATTCCAAATTGTTCCCAGAAGCTTGATGGTCTCTCCGTTCTGGTTTATGGCAGCCTGTAGGTAGGTGATGCTTCCCAACACCACAAGTTGGCCAGAGCCGGGCCCTGACAAAAAGATAATCTGCAGAAGAGCCCACAGCAAACAGCCAGGTCCACAGGGAGCAGCATCTGTTCACGGCGGGCAAGAGTGTGGCCTCACGTCTGGGAAAGGTGGAAGGTTGAGAACTAAGACCAAGACAGGCCCCGACTGGAAGAACAGAGGCAAGTAGGCAGGAAGAAGGAGGAGAGAATCCTTGTCAGAGGAATCAGGGTCAACAATCCATCTGGAGGGACTTAATTGTCCCCAGCCCTCAGCTCAGCATTGCTCGTGAAAATGGAGGCTGCCCCTCAAGTGGACATTGAGTGGCTGCAACTGCTAGAAGGAGGTAGCATACAGGAGTCAGGACCCCATTAGGACATAGCCCACGGACAGCTGGGGTTGTTTTGTGTTTTTCCGGTTTGTCTGGATTTTTTTTTTTTTTGAGACAGTCTTGCTTCATCACCCAGGCTGGAGTGCAGTGGCACGATCTCAGCTGACTGCAACCTCTGCCTCCTGAGTTCAAGCAATTCTCACGCCTCAGCCTCCCAAGTAGCTGGAATTACAGGCACCCACCACCATGCCCAGCTAATTTCTGTATTTTTAGTAGAGACAGGATTTTGACTTGTTGGTCAGGCTGGTCTCAAACTCCTGGCCTCACGTGATCCGCCTGCCTCAGCCTCCCAAAGTGCTGGGATTACAGGTGTGAGCCACCACTCCTGGCCAAGGGGAGCTGTTTCACAAGCAAGTCACAAATTCCAGGAATGGCAACTACCACCATTAAATTTGGAGGCACTTAGTAGGTGTCAGACATACTGTTAGACCCTCTATACCAACCCCATAAACTAAGCTTCAATGTCAGAAGCAGAAGAGCTCTAATAGTTAGGAGTGAGGACTCTGGAGCCAAAAAGTCTGGTTCAAAACCCAGCTCTGCCACTTGCTAGCTATGTGACTTTGGGCTCATTTCTTAATTTCTCTGATCCTCAATTGCCCATCTGTAAAATGGGTATGACAAAAGGAGCTCCTGCCTCAGCTGTTGTGAAAGTAAATGAGATGATTCATATAAAGCGCCAAGCATAGTACCCAGCACCTAGGAAGGAAACAGAACAATGCTGCTGTCACAGGGTCATTGTTGCTATTATTATTCCTTTTGCTTGGGTTCTCAAGGCTGAGCTCACATGGCCCTGTCAGGGGAGGAAGAGGAGCAGAGAGGTAGGCAAATTGGTGCTCCTTGAACCCATGGGATCTGAGCCCCCAGAAAAGAAACTGCTTTAAACAATATCTTATGTCTGTTTCCCTCTGCCCATACTTTAGAGACGTCAGGAACACACTGCAAACTGCCTTTCACATTTCACACCTCCAGGCAATAGTAACAGCCAGACTTTCCTTGAATATTCTTCCATGAAGACTGCAGAAGACAAGGGTCTTTCTTTGGAAAATAACAATAATACTTCACTAGAATGTCAATAATAATTAAGCTGGGGGTGTATAGGGAAGAAATAAAAGCAACATCCCTCAAGGGTTATATTATTTCTAATGTGCAAATCTTTGCACACGTGACCTCTCTGCCCCGGTGTGCTATCGATGTACACCCATCAAGGCTTAAGGTAAAGAACCACCACACCCGATTATATGTGTAATGTGGCTGCACCCTTTTGGGCTGAGGGCAAAAAACATCTTACGCAAATATCATCATTGCGCAAAGGCAAATGTAAATGTATAGGGAGAAGGAGCTCTTTGGGGATGGGCGGTCATGCTGGTGGATGTGAGGAAACAGCAAAATAACTGAAAGGAAAGAGAAGACATCTGAATGAGGTCTTCAGAGTTAGGACACGCAAAGGCTGGCGCCTGGTGCATGGCGATGGATACGTTAGAGGATGGGATGAAAGGGGGAGTGATGATGGGTCAGACGCACTGATCCATCATGAGGAAGGACCACGAGCCTGGGAGAGCAGGTTGCTTCAGGGTTGACCCCCAGGGCTGCCATTTCCCAGGGTGATTTTGAGCAGGTACCTACTTAACTTGGCAATGCCTTAGAAACCTAGCCCAGAAAGACTTTATACATGATTCTGTTCATCTATATACAAAATAAGAACGAGTATAATTGTAATAATATTTATAAATAAACATATGCATAAAGTGTATGCACTCATTCTTCCCCAATCCCTCATGCCCACGTACATCATAGGTACTTAGGAAATGCTGGTTTAGTCTATGTTTAGGTTTAGCAGGTAGGTCCAGGGTTGCAGTCCCAAGGAGACAGCCCCTGCTATTCATCCTCTAGCATAGCGTACAAGTAAAATGTCTATTGGCCACAAGCAATTTCAGACTGTGAATTCCTGGAGGACAGGGAGGGGCTGTGTGTCATGGTTGAGATCCCACATTGTCCACACAGTAAGTATTTAAATGAATAATATGGCAGAGTGGAAACCAGCAAGGGGAGTTCATAGCCAGCCAGGGTGGTGGCCAAGGCTCTGGTCTCTGGGAGACAGATGATAAGACACATCTCTGAAAATTTCTGGGTAACAGGATCTGTTTCCACACATAGTTGGGGGAGGTGGCTGAAGGGAGCATCTCCTCCTAGAAGGTCCAGCGCCATTCTTCAACGAAGCACTCTGGAACTTATGCGAGTGCTTGAGAGACAAAGACACTTGCCACCTCTCCCCAACCTAGGTTGATAATTCAGCTTAAATCTGAGTTGTGTCAGAGGACTTGGAGTTGGGGTCAGAAACGGCCTTGGCCAATTGCTTGTTGCTCCACTAAGCATTGAAGTTCTGGAGTCAGCAGCGCCCTTCAGTGCATCGTTAGGGATCACATGTGATCACACAGTTAGGGACAAAAGTCTCTGCAGCACCTACAGCTGTGCAACTTTGGTGTGTGACTAAAGAATCTCTCCCCTTCCTCCTCCTCCTCCTCTCTCTTTCTCCCTCCCCCTCCCCCAGTCCAATACTGCAGAGTGGGAGAAAGTCATGCACATTAGGAGTTTGGAAAGGATTAGTCAATAGAGCCAGGTCAGATGGTTAGCTTTGGGAGGCTGGGGGGATAAAGTTATATCCTTCACTTCAACCTAGACCAAAATTAATTCCAGATGGCTTAAAGAATTAAATGTAAAACATGAAGCCATTAAAAACGAAACTTCAAAGGTGCTATGGATTAGGGGATGATCCCACAGATGAACCTCCCAAACATGAAAGTAAGAAAAGGAGTCAAAAAGAAAAAGCTTGCTAGATTTGGCTACATAAAAATACAAAACTTCTGCATGCCAGAAAGACATCCAAAGCAAAATTAAAAGGCAAATCACAAAATGTTTGCAACACAGTTTACACCATATACAGTAGGTACATATGCAATATGGCTCATATTATGAATATTTACAGAATTCTTACAAAACAATAAGAAAATGGGGGGAAAACAACAAAATGGAAAAAAGAATCTGAATACATATTTCACAAAAGAAATACAAATAAAACACATAAGAAAATAGTTTTTAAAAAGCTAGAAATTAAATCAATATAATTTAAACCAACAATAAAATATCACTCAACCTGTCAAAATTAGCAAATATTTTGAAAATTATATTATCCTAAAGATGTGATAATGATCACACTAGTACACTGCTCTAAATGACGGCAGCCTTTCTGGAAAAACAAAGTAAAGTAGAAATATGTATAAAAGATATCAAGTACACTCCTACTCTGTGAGCTGTAACCCCCACTTTTGGAACCTATTCAAAGGAAATAATAAAAGACATAAAAACATGAACGAAGACCTGCATTTAAAGATATTTCCTATAGCATTATTTATAACACTGGAAGACTAGTAAAGGCCCAAATGCCCATCAGCTGGGAATTCACTTGAAAAAGCTACTTCCTCATGATGGGATATGAATTAGCCAATGACATTCATAGCTAACGCTAAGTGAATAAACTTATGCCACACTGTATACAAATATGATGTCTGTTTTGGAGTCTCTCTCTTTCTCTCTCTATCTCTCCCTATCTCTCTCTCTTTCTATCACACAGGCACTTAAAAGGAAATTAACCAAAATATTAGTAGAGGTTCTGTCAGCAGGGTGAGTGTATTAACACTCTTTGTACTTTTTACAAGTATGTAGTACTTCTTTAATAAGAAAAAAAAACAATTTTTATAATGTAAAACACACAAAATCTTACATGAGCCCCCATCTCCTAACAGCAAGGTGATAAGCACAGGGGACTCTGCAAGTTGGATGCTGCGTAGCTGTGAATATTTACGTGACTCTTCCTGCACACCACCCACCCATATACCCATGCCATGGCTGGGATATTCTTTAAGAGGTCATACAAAATAAAGTTCACCAAATGATGGCAACCTAGGATTCTAGTAAATTCCTCCATAAGGGACTTTTGTGGACAGTTGTACCCTAAGCGTTACCCAACATGGACTCACTACCCTGACTTGTAAAAATTATCCAGTGAAGTGCTTCAAGCAGAAGGAGCAACCGCTTAGAGCAGCAGTCAGTGAGCTATGGCTTGTGGGCAAACGGACTCACCACTGGTTTTTGTACAGTTAGGAGTTAAGAAGTTATGAGTTAATAAAATAAAGACTTAGGTTTTGGGCATGTTGGGTTTGAAGTAACTGTGAGGCATCTAGGTGTTTTACATTTTTGCATTCTTATATAAATACCTACATAATGTTCTCAATTGTGCCTCTTGGATCTCAAAACCTAAAATGTTTACTAGATGCATGCCCCGCCCCCACAACCACTCTGACTTGGCGTTTGGTTATTTGGAGTTGAAACACATGTGCCTTAGCCAAACACTCATAACAATTGTCAAACAGTAGTGCCTTCTTTGAAAACCGAAGGAAAAAAAAAGTAATATTAACTACATGTAAGACCATGTAAGGGGGAGAAAGTAATTCTCTTATATTACCAAGAAGGCTGATCACTTTTGAGAGTAATTTGAAATTTTGTATTGAAAAGCCTTCACTATATGCAAACTTATTTACTAAGCAATTCCACTTTTTGGAATTTATTCTAAGGAAATAATTCTGTATGTACATTAAGATTTACCTACGAGGAAAATTGGAACCAGCCTCAACATCCAGCAGTAAGGAATTTGTTGAGCAAATTATGGAACATCTATTCGATGTAATATTATGCATTCATAACACATGCATTATTGATGGACATTCAAAGATGTTCGTGATATGGTGTCAAGTAAAACAAAATAGGTTACAACAATTATACAATACGAGCCTATTTTTTATGATTATTAATATATGGAAAAACCATGAAAGAATATAAACAAAAATGCTAACAGTGGTTACCTCTATGTGATGAGATTATGGATAATTTTTATTTTTCTCCTTCTTTGCTCATCTGGACTTTTGAATTTTTATGCAATGAACATACATTATTTATGCCCCCACTCCCTTTCCACTCCCAAATCCCCAGAAGTAAACTAAAAGCTGATGAAAATACAGGCTGACATGTCTTACAGCATTTTTCAGAAGTGTTGTGCAAATATTATTTGGAATTAATTTTCATCTAGATTGAAGTGAAAGATCTAACTTTATCCCTCCCATCGCCACCACAGGCTAACCAACTGATCCAGCTTCATGGACTAATCCTTTCCAAACATTTCATGTACATGACTCTCTCCCATTCTGCATATTTAAAATGTACCAAATGCTGGGTGCAGTGGCTCATACCTATAGTTTCAGCTACTCAGGAAGCTGAGGCAGGAGGATTGCTTGAGGCCAGGAGTTCAAGACCAGCCTGGGCAACATAGTGAGACCCCAACTCCACAAACAAACAAGCAAAACATGCCAGAAAGCGCCATGTTTCTGTTACCTATTGCTGCAAAACAATATACTCAAACATAATACTCATACCTAATACTCATAATACCCATACTCATACTCAAACAATATGCTCATACTTATTGCTACAAAACAATATACTCTAACAATATACTCAAAATTTAGTGGCTTAAGCCATCATTTTATTATTCCCTCCAGATGTTGCAATCTGGGAAGAGTTCAATGGGGAGAGCTTGTCTTGCTCCACGTGGTGTCAACCTGGGTAGATTGACCAGCTAGAGCTGGCTAGAATGGCTCAACCTGGGTAATCAGCTGGGGCCTCGGCTGTCACGGTTGCCCAGTGTGAAGTGGGTAGTTCCTTGATTCTCCCGCTGTGGCCTCTTCACATGGTGAGTGTGGGCTTTCCTCCTGGCATGACATCTCAGGGTAGCTGGACTTCTTACATGGCAGCTGGCTTCCCCCAGAGGACAAAAGCAGATGCTGTTGGGCCTTTGAAAGACACGGGCTGGGCACAGTGGCTCACATTTATAATCCCTGCACTTTGGGAGGCCGTCGGGGGAGGATCACTTGAGCCCAGGAGTTTAAGACCAGCCTGGGCAACATGGCGAAATCCCATCTCTATAAAAAAATACAAAAGTTAGCTGGGTGGGGTGGCATGAGCCTATAGTCTCAATTACTCAATGGGCTGAGGTGGGAGGATCACTTGAGCCCAGGCAGGGGAAGCTGCAGTGAGCTGTCATCATGCCACTGCACTCCAGCCTGGACAACAGAGCAAGATGTTGGCTCTAAAAATGAAAAAGAAAAAAAAAAAGATGTAGATCTAGAATTGGCCCAGTATCACTTCTGCCACACACTTGACTCATTAAAGCAGGCCCAGGCAAGGCCAAATTTAAAGTGAGTTCTGGGAGGTGCAGTTCACTGGGAATCACCAGAAGAGCATTCTCCCACACTCAGTATTTATAGGAATATGTTAGCAGATTCTCTGGATATGCAGACTGATGGACTGCTAATGTATCAGTCACAGTAATTTATATCCCCTCTATTGGATTTCTCAAATTCGGCAATACCTATAAAGGGACAGTTTGTTATATATTTTACTGCTAATTTGCACCTCTCATTTGACACAGTGCATGACTGATCTGTTGAAACATCTTAAAATGACTACTTTTAAATATGCCAGCCAGTGACATAACTGTCATTAAAATATCAACATCTACTTATGATTCTCTTAGAAAGAGCTAATAGCAGCAATAAATTTGAGTTCAAATATTGCTTTGGAGCCAGACTTCTCTGGTGAGATTCAAATTAGGCTATGTGTTTTGGATGCAAGTTCAAAAACCATTTCCAGCCAGATCAGTGTCTATCCCAAATTGGCAGGAATGACCAGAGTAGCCCACAGACATTCAGCTGAAGTCAGTCTGGCAGGTGAGGTGTTGCCTGATAGGGAAAGGGGAATGTGGGAACTGGGGTTCGGGGACAGTAATGAAACCTCTTGACCTGCCGACTCCCCCCACCACAGCACCTGCCTGTACCATCTTCCTTAGGACCAAAATTGTGTTCTTCAGTTCTCTCTGCTCTCTACTGTCTTTTCAGTCTCTCCCTGTTGGCTGGTGATAAGGTTTTGCTGTGTCCCCCCACAAATCTCATCTTGAATTGTAACTCCCACAATTCCATGTGTCATGGGAGGAACCTGGGGGGAGGTGATTGAATTATGGGGATGGGTCTTTCCTGCGCTGCTCTCATAACAGTGAATGAGCCTCATGAGGTTTGATCTTTTAAAAACTGGGAGTTTCCCTGCACAAGCTCTCAATCTTTTTGCCTGCCACCATCCATGTAAGACATGACTTACTCCTCCTTGCCTTCTGCCATGATTGTGAGGCCTCCACAGCCATGTGGAACTGTGAGTCCAATTAAACCTTTTTTTTTTAATAAATTGCCCAGTCTCAGGTATGTCTTTATCAGCAGCGTGGAAACAGACTAATACAGCTGGTAATTGGCAAAATATTATACAACTCAAGTCTTTCTGGGATTAAGACAATATGAGCTGTACACTCTAACTGTCCGTCCTTCAGCTCTTTGCACACCTTCCACTACTCCTGCTGGAGTCTTCCTCTTTCCTCATACCCAAACCCCTGAAAAAAGAGCCTGCACTCATGTCTCTTCCACCTCACTTCCCACTCAGTTGTTAGCCTACCCTGTCTCCACCTCCCCCTTCCCCAGAGAGGTTCAGGCAAAGCTTACCCATGACCACCACGCTTAAATCCCCAGTAGACTCTCATCAGCCCATGTGGCTTAATTCTCTGCAGCTAGAACACCGTTGATCCTTCCATCCATTCTTGGCACATGCTTTTCTTTGCTTGGTTTTTAGAGCACCTCTGTTCTCTTCCTCTCTTTCCATCCAGCCCCTCTCAGTCTCCTACATGGGCTCCCTCCCTCTGCCCTCTTCCTCTCTTTCCATCCAGCCCCTCTCAGTCTCCTACGTGGGCTCCCTCCCTCTGCCCATGCCTTGCATGTTGATGTGCCCATCTACCTGTGCTTGGCCTTCCTTTGACTCATAAATTCATTCTAGGTCAAAAGTTCTTAATTTTGAGTCCAGGACTTCGTGAAACCCATGATTCCAGAACCAGAAGCCATATGACGATTTTTGAGTGTGTTATTGTTCTGAGGAGAAAGCCAAAGCTTTCAAAAGATTCCTCCAGGGTGCTGTTACCTACACAAGGACAACCCATTGTCTTAGGCCATGTCATGTGCTGTCCTGGCTTCATCTCAACTCCACAGGCTGAAGATTTGTTAATATTCATTTCCAACCTGTGCGTCTTTCCTATGCCCCAGTCCTGTGTATGGGTTAGGCCTGTGAATACTTTTCTGAAACTCCTTCTGAGCCACTGAAGTCCCAGGCTGCTGGTGACTCAGAGGTGCTCAAAAACTCTGCTGCAAAAAGCAAGTGTCATAATATTATTCTCTAGCCTGGGTTAATTATAGTGATTTTTCTCTATTCAAGGCAGCTAGAAAATCCTCTATGGCATGCAAGGATTAAGGTTGCTGGGATCTGGGAGCATCTTGCATTTATTGTCTTCCCACTAGCTTTGGTTTTCCTTTTATAGGTTGGCCTAGTCATCTCACAGTTACTTCAAACCCAACATGTCCAAAACCTAAGTCTTTATTGTATTTTTTTGAGACAGGGTCTTGCTCTGCCATCTGGGCAGAAGTGCAATGGCACGATCACAACTCACTGCAGCCTCAACCTCCTGGGCTCAAGTGATCCTCCTGTCTCAGCCTCCTGAGTAGCTGGGACTACAAGCACATGCCACCACACCCAGATAATTTTTGTATTTTTTGTAAAGACCAGGTCTCTCCATGTTGCCCAGGCAGATCACGAACTCCTGGGCTCAAGCAATCTATCTGCCTTTGCCTCCCAAATTACTGGGACTACAGGCATGAGCCACTTCACCTAGCCAACCTGTCTTTAAATCCTAAAACCTGGCTCTTTTTTCTCTCTTACCAAAGCTCCCAAGCTAGAAAATGATCTCCTTTCCTCACCCCATAATCAATCACTGGCCAAGTCCATTAATGGTACTCCTCTTACATCACTCCTGGGCCTATATCTTTCTGTCATCTTCACCTCTGTTGCCTTGGTTTAAGTCAGGGGCTGACCAACTTCCTCTATAAAGGGCCAAATAGTAAATATTTTAGGCTTTACAGGCCATGCAGTCTCTGTTGCAACTACTCAATTCTATCACTGTAGGGCAAAAACAGCTCTAAATAATGTGTAAATAAATAAGAGTGGCTGAGTTCCAATAAAACTATGTATGAACATTGAAAGTTGAATTTTATATAATTTTTACGTGACACATTATTCTTCTTTTGATTTTGTTCAACCACTAAAAAATGTAAAATGCACTCTTAGCTTGTAGACCTGCAAAAACAGATGACAAGCCAGATTTGGACCATGGGTCGCAGTTGGGCAACTCCTACCTGAAGGCATAACAGCTCCTGCCTGAAATGATCTTCCTTCTGCCAGGGTTTTCCCCTCTGATTATGTGCTGTGGTGCTACTACAGTCATCTTCCTAAGAAAAAAGCTGGGAGCGCCAATCCCCAGCTTAAAACCCCCCAGCAGTCCCCATTACCCTGAGAATAAGTGATATGGTTTGGCTGTGTCCCCACCCAAATCTCACCTTAAATTTTAATAATCCTCGTGTGTCAAGGGCGGGACCAGGTGAAGATAATTGAATGATGGGGCAGTTCCCCCCTACTGTTATAGAAGAAGTGAATAAGTTTCACAAGATCTGATGGTTTTATAAATGAGAATTCCCCTGCACAAGCTTTCCTGCCCACTGCCATGTAAGAAGTCCCTTTGCTGTTCCTTCATCTTCTGCCATGATTGTGAGGCCTCCCCAGCCATGTGGAACTGTGAGTCCATTAAATCTCTTTTCTTTGTAAATTACCCAGTCTCGGGTATGTCTTTAGTAGCAGTGTGAGAACGGACTAATACAGTAAGGTTCTCAACCTCGGCGCTATTGATATATGGGGCTGAATAATTCTTTGTTGTAGGGGCTGTTCTGTGCGTTTAACAGAATCCCTGACCTTCACCTATTAGATGCCAGTAGCATTCCAACTCCCTGGAAGTGATAGTCAAAGACGTCTTCAGGCATGGCGAAATCGTCCCTGGGTGACAGCCTCTGCCCTAAGAGTGGTGTCGAAGCCCCTCCCCTGGCCCCGCCTCCCTCCCCACATTGCCTGTTGTGCCCCTTGCTCCAGCCATGCTAAGCCTCCTGCAGTTTCCCAGGCCTGCCAGGCTCTTCACAGTTCTGGGTTTTGCTCATCCGTCCCTTCCAAGAATGTCCTCCCCTTCCTGTCACTGGGTAAATGCCCTCTCACCTTTCTTTCTTTTTTTTTTTTTTTTGAGTGGAGTCTCGCTCTTGTCGCCCAGGCTGTAGTGCAGTGGAGTGATCTCAGCTCACTGTAACCTCCACTTCCTGGGTTCAAGCGATTCTTCTGCCTCAAACTCCCAAGTAGCTGGGATTACAGGGCTGCGCCACCACGCCCGGCTAATTTTTGTATTTCTAGTAGAGACAGGGTTTCACCATATTGGCCAGGCTGGTCTCGAATTCCTGACCTCATGATCCACCTGCCTCAACCTCCCAAAGTGCTGGGATTACAGGAGTGAGCCACTGCGCTTGGCCTCACCTTTCAACATAATTGCACTTGTGTCTTGTGTGTCTCCCCAGACAGAGAGAACTGAGTTTTCCCCCACTGTGTTTTCATGGTCACCCCTATGTACTTCTGTCGAAGCACCTAAAATGCCTTCGAACCCTTGTGTGAGTGTTTGCCTCCCGTCCTAAACGGCGAGCCTTTTTAGAGTTTGGGCTGTTCCTGATTCCCCTCTGGAGCCTCAGCCTGTGGTTGAATAATTATATGGGTAAACTGGGGCTCAGAAAGTCAATGTCTGTATTGGTGGAGGCTAAGATCGAGAACTTTCATGCTGAGCCCAGGCCAGAAGGTAAGTAAGTCTCCTGGCCCCAGACTCTCTGCCATGTGTACCCCCCACGCCTTGGCTGATGGTTTTGGTGTCTGAAAACTTTGCTCTTACAAATAAAAAGGAACCATTTCCAGGTGAGAAGGACAAGTTGGGGAAGACACTTTGGACATACGTTGCTGCACCCTATGCTGATCAGTCCCCTATTAAAGCTCTGGAATTTGCTAGCTCTGCCAGTGGATGAGGTCAGAGTGGCTTACAGTGAGATGGATAGGTGTCTGTACAAACCTAGCCTGAGGTAACCTAAAGGTAGAAAGACAGTGGCCTCTCCCTGGAGGCTGAGAAAACCAAAGCTAGAGGGAAGACAATAAATGCAAGATGCACCCAGATCCCAGCAACCTAGATCTTTGCATGCCACAGAGGATTTTCTAGCTGCCTTGAATAGAGAAAAATCACTATAATTAACCCAGGCTAGAGAATAATATTATGACACTTGCTTTTTGCTGCAGAGTTTTTGAGCACCTCCGAGTCACTAGCAGCCTGAGACTTTAGCAGCTCAGAAGGAGTTTTAGGAAAGCTTTCATAGGCCTAAGACATCAGGCATCTGGTTTTTATTTCAGAAACCTTAGTAAGTCATGGAGGTCGCTGAGAGGATTATAAAAGCAAAGGCAAGAAGTCGAAAAGCAAGCCAGAACTTCTGAAGGCTGGGGACAATCCTGCTTTGCTTCTCAGAGGGGGCAATGCTGCAAGCAGCAGACATCTGGACACTTGCTCCATCCAACACCCCAAGCCCTTGGTTTGGACGTGGCAGTTGGTGCCTGAGTGTTCAGCCATCTGGACCTCATTCAGAAAGCTTCCTCAGCCCTCTTCTCTGGCTTTCATCAAATGCATCAAGATCCTCTGCCTCTTCTCACACTTCCCTCCCACACATGCAAACCACCATCAATCTGTGACCCCGTCAGGGAGCAGGGGAAGTCAGGGCCACCCTCTCCTATCCCCTCGACCCCCACGTAAAACATACAGGAAGAATCATTTAGGAGGAGTAGACCCGAATACCTGGCAGCCAGAAAGTAGGCTGTGATCATCTCCCCAACCATCTGCTTTACAGAGGAGGAGCCTGGGGACAGACACTGAAGCACCTATCCAGGGAAGGCCACTGGCCTGAATATGGCTGGATGGGCTCTAAGGCTCTGCTCTCTCCCAAATTTCCAGCAATAGAGGACGGGTCCCCTAAAATGTGGTATTCCGCCCCGTGCAATGCTGTGCAGCCTTTGAGAGAATGCAGAACTCTTGAAGGGGTGATACAGAACAATCTTTTTTTTTTTTTGAGACGGAGTCTCCCTCTGTCGCCCAGGCTGGAGTGCAGTGGCACGATCTCCGCTTACTGCAAGCTCCGCCTCCCGGGTGATACAGAACAATCTTGGAGGCACATTGCTAAGTGAATGAAAGCAAGGTATGGAACAGTGACCACTTGGGTGAAGAACAGAGCAAATACATATATTTGCTTGGATGCTACTGTGTGTTGAATTGTATCTCTCAATTGGCCGTATCTACATCCAAGTCCTAACTCCCTGTACCTGTGAATGTAGCCTTCTTTGGAAATAGTATCTTTGCTGAGGGAAGCAAGTTGTGGATCTCAAAATGAGATCAGCCTGGATGTAGGATGGGCCTAAACCCACTGATGAGTATCCTTATAAGAGAAAGGAGAGGGAGGTTTGAGACACAGAGGTACGTAGAAGCAGCCACGTGAAAACAGAGGAAGAGACAGGAGTGAGGCTTCCACAAGCCAAGGAACTCCTGGGGCCACCAGAAGCTGGAAGAGGCAAGGAAGGATGTTCCCCCAGAGCCCTCAGAGGAAGTGTGGCTCTGTCAACACCTGGTTTGGGGGCTTCTGGCCTCTACAACTGTGAGAGAATAAATGTGTGTTGTTTTAAGCCACCAAGTTTGTGATACTTTGTTGTAGCAGCCTAGGAAACAAATCCAGACGCCCAGAATATTTTTGGAAGTAAATTTAGATTTTACTGAATACTAGATCATTATTTTAAAAAATCAATAATCAATAGTACTTATATACTAGTAATAAATAATTAGAAAATAAATATTTTAAACTGTACCATTGATGATAGGATCAAATATATTAAATACATAGGAATAAATATAACAAAAGATATATAAGACCTCCACATAGAAAAACATAAAATATTATTAAGAAGGTCTAAATAAATGAAGGTATATGTTATATTGTAGATTGGAAGAGTCAATAGCATAAAGATATCTATTCTCCCCAAATGAATTAATGCAATGAAAGTGTAGATTAAATGCAACCAAAAATCAAAATCTAGGTAGATATTTGTGAAAATTCATAAGCTGATTCTAAAATGTGTAAAGAAGTTCAAAAGTTTAAGAAAAGTCAAGACAACCTTGAAGAACAAGAACAAAGAGTTACCCTAGGAACTTACCGTACTGTCAATCAAGACTTATTATTAAGCTACAGTAATTAAGGTAGCATGTTACTGGCACAGAGGCAAATCTAATGATGGAACATCCAGGAACAGAATCACATATATATAAACACTTGTTTTTGATTTATAAAAAAAGATCCAGCTGGGTGTGGTGGCTCATGCCTGTAATCCAAGCACTTTGGGAGGCCAAGATCACCTGAGGTCAGGAGTTCGAGACCAGCCTTGCCAACATGGTGAAACTCCATCTCTACTAAAAATACAAAAATTAGCTAGGCGTGGTGGCAGGCACCTAAAATCCCAGCTACTCGGGAGGCCGAGGCAGGAGAATTCCTTGAACCCAGGAGGCAGAGGTTGCAGTGAGCCGAGACCGTGCCATTGCACTCCAGCCTAGGTGACAAGAGAGAAAATCCATCAAAAAAAAAAAAAAAATCCACACCTCAGAACAGAGGAGAAATGTGAGCTTTTCCATCGATGATTCCAAGTCAACTGGTTATTCCTAAGGAAAAATATTTCTCTTGCCAGGTACCTCGCATCATACACAGAAATCAATTCCATGTCAATTGTAGACCTAAATGTCAACACCAAAACAATAACAATCCTAGAAATACAACAGGGAAATGTCTTCCTGAGCTAGGAATAAGCAAAATTTTCTTAAACAAGACACCTAAAACAATAACCACAGTGGAAAATACTGATTTACTGGATTTTACAAAAACTGAGTTTCTGTTCATCAATAAACACTATTAAGAGAGTGGAAAAGAGGCTGAGGTGGGAGGATTGCTTGAGCTCAGGAGTTCAAAACCAGCCTGGGAAACATAGTGAGACCCTGTCTCAACAAAAGAGAGAGAGTGGAAAGCCACAGTGTAGGATAAGATGTAAGGAAGGACTTGTATAAAGAACCCTTCTACTTAAACAATAGCAAAAAGACAATCCAAAGGAAAATGATGGGTAAGAAAATGGATCAGGCACTTCATAAAAGAGGCTACCCTAATAAACATAAAAACAAACAAGAAGATGTGGAGCCTCACTATTCAGCAGACAAATGCAAATTAAAACCATAAGAAAAACCATCCTTACCCATCAGAAAAGCTACATTTAAAAAGACTGACAATATCATTTATTGAAGGATATGGAGCAACTGGAACTCTCACACGCTGCTAGAAGGGAAAAACTGTACACCCTTTTGGAAAACTGTTTGGTAGTATCTACTAAAGTCACACCTGTATATAGGTTTATGGAAAGACATAAGCAAGAATGTTCATAGCTGCATTATTTATTGAAAGCTGAAAGATGAAACAACCCAAATATCCATTAGCAAGTGAATGAATAGACAAATAGTGATATATTCATATATGGAATACTTAAGTGACTGAATGAATGACTGCTCCAAGCCAAAACATGACATAGGGGGAAGGATGCCAGACTCAAAACAAGACAAATACCTTATGTTCAGACACTAATCTGTGGTGTTAGAAGTCATGGGAGAAGGAAGGGGTAGCGATCACAGAGTGGAGGTGGGGAGGAAGGCTGAAGATAATGATAAGGTTCCATTTATTCACCTGGATTGTGGTTACATGAGTGTATTCATTTTATGGTGATTCATTGAACTGTACATTTATGATATGCTATGGTCTGAATGTTTGTTGCCCCCAAAATTCATATGGTAAAGCCTAAGCCTAATCCCCAGTGTGATGGAATTAACAAGTATAACCTTTGGGAGGTAATTAGGTCATGAGGGTGGGGCCCTCATCAGTGGGATTAGTGCCCTTATAAAGGACTAAAGAGAACAGAGTTTTCCCCTTCCACCATGTGAGGACACAACTAGAAAGCACCATCTATGAACAAGGAAGCAGGCCCTCACCAGACACAGAATCTGCTGGTACCTTGATCTTGGACTTCTCAGTCCCCAAAACCGTGAGAAATTAATTATGCTATTTGTAAGTGTATTAGTCCGTTTTCACACTGCTATAAGGAATACCTGAGACTGGGTACTTTATAAATAAAGGAGGTTTAATTAACTCATAGTTCTGCACAGCTGGGGAGGCCTCAGGAAACTTACAATCATGGTGGAAGGTGAAGGAGAAGCAAGAACTTTCTTCACAAGGCAGGAGGAAAAGAGAGCAAAGGAGGAACTGCCAAACACTTACAAAACCATCAGATCTTGTGAGAACTCACTCACCGTCACAAGAACAGCATGGGGGAAACTGTCCCCATGATCCAATCACCTCCCACCAGGTCCCTCCCTTGACATGTGGGGATTACAATTCAAGATGAGATTTGGGTAGGGACACAGAGCCAAACCATATCAATAAGCCACTCCAGCCACCTGGGTATTTTGTTATAGCAGCCCAAGCAGGCTAGGTACATGATGAATATGTGTATAAGGTGCATAAGAAATGTGTATGTTGCTTCACTATGCCCAACATCTACCTATTTATTGAAATGTGTGCGTTGGGTCACTGTGCCTCTGTATCTACTTGTTGATAGAAATGTGTGTTGGGTCACTATGTCTAACTGAGGGGGAACTGAGGTTAGAAATTGATGGGGGGAAACTCAATCTGGTTTTCCTCTGCTCTCACTCCACAACAACAAACACAGAAGACTTCTGTGATCAAATGTGTGTGTGGTTTTCCCCACACACCAAGGACGCAATCCATTCTGCAACAAGACACCAACTGGTGTCCTCCAGTTCAGTTCCGATGCCATCTACCTGGAGCTAGCATAAGACAGACCCCATAGGGTGAGGGCTCAGTCCCACAAGGCTGCCCTCTGCTTCTGGGGCAATCACAAGCCCCAGGTTATTTTGCCTGTGCTTTTTGATTCACTGGCTATAAATTGGGGTTCCATGACCCCCTCCTTGAGTTTGATTAAATTGCTACGACTGCTCACAGAACTCAGAGAAACACTTATATTCACCAGTGTATTACAAAGGATATTTTAAAATATATAAATAAACATACAGATGAAGGATACATAGGGCAAGATCTGGAAAGATCCCAAGCACAGCTGCTTCTGTGCCAGTGGAGCTGGGGTGTGCTACCCTCAAGCACGTGTTCCTGAGGGCTGTCAGCCACTCCATAAAGTATGAATCTATCAGTTTATCTTCATCCAAGGCCCAGCTGATAAGTATCCAGGAATAGGGGCCTCGTGAGAGGAAGGAGCAGGGGAAAGTACTATTTTTAAACAAGCCCAGGAGGGAGAAGTCAGGCTCAGATGGATGATCAACCAGAGGCCTCTGGCCAGCCAGGAGGCGGCATGGAAGCTCCAGGCACATGAGGACAATGGAAAAGGAATATCCAAGAGCCTAGAAGATAGGATCAGCCGACTTCCTGGTATTGCCAAGTGTCTGCCTAGCCTGGGATGTTTCAGTCTCACTTCTCCTGGGCCCATCTGTGAAGGTCATTAGAGAATTGGCTTTATTGACAATCCCACCTGAGCTGGTGGTGCCTGCCTCTATAGGTGACCGGCATGACACCCAGCTCAGCTCAGCCCCAGAGGAGGAGCATTTAACCTGCAGCTCAGCCCTGCCCCACCCTTGAGCACCAGAGGAAGGGCTAGTCAAGGAGGTCCCGTGGTTTAGAGAATAATGGTAGCCTGGATCCCAGTCTCCAGCCCACACCAGCTTCCCAGTAGCTGTCATTACCTCTTGCAGACGTGCTGAGCCCCCTGAGTGTCCCGTCTACCTTCTGCCTGTCATTACACTCTGCTTGGCCAGCCTGTGCCAGCCTGGCTGCACCTCCTGCATGCCCATCAGCTGGGCTGGATCTCCATGCATCTGCTTCACCTCTTTGATTTCTAGGCATGGCTTTTTTTTTTTTGAGATGGAGTCTCACACTCTGTTGCCCAGGCTGGACTGCTATGTCACGATCTCAGCTCACTGCAACCTCCATCTCCCAGGTTCAAGTGACTTGCCTGCCTCAGCCTCTGAGTAGCTGGGATTACAGCCATGTGCTGCCACACCTGGCTAAATTTTGTATTTTTAGTAGAGACGGGGTTTCACCATGTTGGCCAGGCTGGTCTTGAACTCCTGACCTCAAGTGATTCTCCCACCTCAGCGTCCCAAAGCACTGGGATTACAGGCATAAGCCACCATGCCTGGCTCTAGGCATGTCTCTTTACCCCAGAGCTCCATGTTGTCAAGAGGAAAATTGCTGTTAGCAAACATGTATCTAGGTTCTGCTGTGAGCCAGGCACTGCTGTAAGCACTTTACCTATGTGATCACATAGCCCCACAACAAACGTATATGACATGTACCACATATTAGCATTCCTGTTTTACAGATAAGAAACTGAGACACAGAGAGGGTAAGAAACTTGGTCAAGGGCACACAGCTAGTATGTGTAGTACCAGAATTCACACTCTAAACCCTTGTGCTATGCTGAATCAGGCAATAAGGAGGCTGAGTAGTTCAGCACAGTGAGCCACTTGCAAGACAGGGGAGTGATCACATACAGCAAGAGACAAAAGGCTTCCAATGGTGAAGAAGGCATGATGCTTCCTTTCTGGCCATTGCTGCCAGCCAGCATGAACACAGCATGAATAGAGCCTCTCTGCATCAGGCTGGGACTCCAGTGATGGCAGGAAAAAGAGAAGCCTCTGTTAAGGAAAGAAGCCTTGTTATCAGAGCCGACTGTCTCCATGCTGGGCTTTGAAGCTGCTTCCCAGCGAAGTTCTGTCGTGGGTCAGGCCCTGCCGAGACCACAGCCAAAGGTCCCTGCAGAGGTAGGAGGGAGCCAGCCCTGCTAGAGCTCCAAAGCCAGTCTTGTGACCTTGTCATCTCCTCCTCTTCCTCCTCCTTTTCCACCATCACTAACTTCTGCTTCCTTTTTGTTACCTGACCTTGCCCGTCACTGGAATGTAAGCTCTGGTGGTCCATAGGCCTCATCAGGTTGTTTTTCCTTTGCTGCATCCCAAGCACCTGGAACCATGGTAAGATACAGCAGAAGTACAATAGATGTTTATTAGATATACACATGGGAATGAACGAATGCAATAACACACACTCTTTCAATCGAATAGAGTCAAGTGAACTGGTCATTCTCCAAATTTGTTTTGCAGCCTTTGTGGGCCTGCTCTGTGCCTAGGAGGCCAACTCCTCTGGCCTGCACTGCTCAGGCCCTATGGCTGGTGGCTGCCTGTGCACCAGTAGTCAATAGGAAGACAAGACCAGAGAGGGTGGGGACCAGTTTTATCCATCCCTCAAAAGCTCCCCGCTGGGCTCAGATGACACCACTTCCTCCCTCCTTCCTTGGGGCCTAGGTGGGGGAGGGCAGTCATCCCCCTGTTGCTGGCGTCTGAGAGCCTCACCATCCCCTGTCAGTTCCTTATCCCCACCCACTGCTTGGAAAACCGCTTTCATCAACATCTCTTCATCTGCACGGTTTAGGATGAACTGCTTCTTGTTTGAATCTTGTGTGATACATTAGCAGCCCTCCTTTTGTGTGTTTATGATTTAGATCTCTTTTCTGTATGTACAAATTTGGTGTGCACTCAATTTTTTCTTTCTTCACTTATTTATTTTAAAAATGTTTTTAAAATCGTGGCTCTTTTTATTTTTACATTTTCCTCAAGTACTGACATAACAATTGAAAGTACCTTACATCTGCATTGTGGGGTGTGTGTGTCTGTGTGTGTGTGTGTGTGTGTGTCTGTGTGTACAGGTGCATGTGACATTAAGGGAAAACTTGTTTTTTTAATTTTACTTTAAGTTCTGGGATACATGTGCAGAACGTGCAGGTTTGTTACACAGGTATACATGTGCCATGGTGGTTTGCTGCACCTATCAACTCATCATCTAGGCTTTAAGCCCCGCATGCAAGGGAAAACTTTTGACTGTATAAAATTTAGAAATGTTTAAACAACAAACAGTATCTTAAACAAAACAATAAAGTCTTTAAAAATTACAAAATAAGAAAAAAAGTGGTTGCAAAATATCGACTCCCCTAAATCAATCTATGAATTTAGGGCTAATCTAATAACAACATTATGATGTTTGAGTGGGGAATTGTTGTTGTTAAGGGGTGTTTCCCCTCAACTTTTTAAAACCAATCAAAATGTATTGTGGTGCCGGGCACGGTGGCTCATGCCTGTAATCCCAGCACTTTGGGAGGCCGAGGAGGGTGGATCACGAGGTCGGGAGATTGAGACCATCCTGGCTAACATGGTGAAACCCCGTCTCTACTAAAAAAATACAAAAAATTAGCCAGGCATGGTGGCGGGCGCCTGTAGTCGCAGCTACTTGGGAGGCTGAGGCAGGAGAATGGCATGAACCCGGGAGGCGGAGCTTGCAGTGAGCAGAGATCGCGCCACTGCACTCCAGCCTGGACAACAGAGCAAGACTCTGCCTCAAAAAAAAAAAGTGTATTGTAGTAAATATGAAATTACTTGAACAAATGTCTAATAGCTGTCCCTAGCGTACAGAAATGGTCTTTGTTGTTCTAAACATTGTTATTCAATGATAGTTTAAGTAACAGCGGACCCTCCATTTAAATTAAAATACAATATTTTGCTGGGCATGATGGCTCATGCCTGTAATCTCAGCACTTTGGGAGGCCAACGTGGGTGGATTGCTTGAGGTCAGGAGTTTGATACCAGCCTGGGAAACATGGCAAATCTCCATCTTTACTAAAAATACAAAAATAAGCTGGGCGCAGTGGTACACACCTGTAGTCCTAGTTACTCAGGAGGCTGAGGCCCGAGAATCTCTGGAACCCAGAAAGTGGAGGTTGCAGTGAGCCGAGATTGTGCCCCTGCCCTCCAGCCTAGGCAACAGAAAGAGACTCTCTCAAAAACAAAACAAAACAAAACAAGATTTCTATGGCCTAACTGTAGAGAGTTCAACAACATGAAAAATAATGTATTCATAAGTGTTATATAAAATAAACCTTTATTTGAAAAATACTATCTTAAAGGCCGGGCACAGTGCTCACGCCTGTAATCCCAGCACTTTGGGAGGCCAAGGCAGGTGGATCACATGAGGTCAGGAGTTCAAGACCAGCCTGACCAACATGGAGAAACCCCATCTCTACTAAAAATACACAAAATCAGCCGGGCATGGTGGTGCATACCTGTAATCCCAGCTACTCAGGATGCTGAGGCAGGAGAATTGCTTGAACCCGGGAGGCGAGGTTGCAGTGAGCCAAGATCGTGCCATTGCACTCCAGCCTGGGCAACAAGAGAGAAACTCCATCTCAAAAAAAAAAAAAAACTGTCTTCAAATTATAATGCTATGTCTACTTGAATAAGAGCAATGGTAGCATCCATTAAATAAGAGCAGCTGAACTAAAAAGAAATACATCAAAATCACTTTAAAGAGACAGCACAGGCGGATGTCCTGCTGTGATTGTGGGTGTTCAGGGCCCCCCTGCTGTGAGAACTGAGTGAAATCTGAAGGTGACCCAGATCCTTGAGCCTCATAGCACCGTCCTCCTCCTTCCTGGAGAACGTGATGATTCAGGGGACCCCCTGGTAGTTCTGGGCCTCTGTGTGTTGTGCTTGGAACAGCAGGAATAAAAAGGCCACTTGGGAAAGGTGAGACTTGAACTTGACGTTAGCCAGGATTTTCCTGCTGCGATCATTTTTTTTTTTCTTAGCACGTTGAGTTTTCTCTCAGTCAACAGAACTGCCATCCAATTTTTCCCGTACTGTTTCCTCATAGAAGAGAATCTCCTTTTGATAGAAGAAAGTGGTTCTTCCTTATTCTTTGTCCATGTCTTGGGTCATCTTCTTGTAGAGGTTGTGAATCTGATGTATGTAATTCACATTTCTACACACGCTGGGAAGTTTCTTCTTAATTTCCAAGCAGTGTATTTCCTCCTCAGCCATTTTCTCTCTGCCATTGCATTACATGTTCCGGATGTAATTTAGGCAGTATTTGAAGCTTCAGCTAAAGCTTCTATATCTCATTTTCAAGCTGTGAATTTTCACACTGCCAAAATGCTTCAGTTTGGGGCCTTTTTATTTGTCCGGCAAGCTCTTCATTCATTTTTATTTTCCTCGCACTATTTTCTGTATAGTTCTTGTTCTTTTCCTTCAGGCCTTTCAAAGGACACATTTAAGTCAAATCATCAATGTGACTCTTCAGATTAACTTCTGACCCATAGATGGGTGGTCTTCAGCATGGTTCAGCCAAAGATTCCAACCGGCTCATTTTATCACTCACGGCCGGTTTCATTTGTGTGTTCAAGGGTTTCAGCATTTGTTCCTTTTTATCTCAAATTCTTTGCTTCCATGCTACAGTTTCTTGTTCAAGAAGTTCTGGACTTCAGCGTCTTCAGAAACACTGTCTCCAGAAAGAAAAGTGTTTTCATTCAAACCACCTGGCATCTCCTTCTGAAGTTGTTCTTTATGTATGTAGTGCTGAATTTCTGATGTGTATCATTTTTGTTCTCTCTTAAGAAACACAGTTCTTGCAAGGCAAATCTACTTGAAACAAATTTCCTCAGTCTTTGTCTGGGAAAGTCTTTCTTCCTCCACTTTTGAAGGATAATTTTACTGGGTACAGAGGTCTAAGTTGGTGATTTCTTTTTTCTTCTTTCAACTCTTTAAATAACTCTCTTCTTGCTTATATGGTTTCTGAAAAGACGTCTGATGTAATTTTTATCTTTGTTCCTGTATAGGTAAGGTGCCTCCCTGCTGTCTGGCTTGCTTCAGGATTTTCTCTGTGCCTTTAATTTTCTGTAGTTTAAACATGAGATGCCTGGGTGTAGAGCTCTGATCTTCTGCACACGGCTTTATGACTACCAGATTTCTGTGGTTTTAAAGTGGGAATTTTCCCACATACACCAAATCATGTCAGGAAATTCTGAATCAGAAAAAATAAGAGGTTCCCTCAGCATCTATAAATATTCCCCTTTATACGAACAAGTTCCCAGACTTTTTTTTTTTTTTTTTTTTTTTACTGGAAACCTGAGCCAAGGCACTCCACAGCCATTCTGTCTATTCTTGGGCCCCACAAATAAACGCCTTGAATTATGTGGTGCTTTGGGCTTCAGCAGCACGTTTCGCCCAAACTAAACATGTGTGTGCACACATGCTTCTCCAGTGTCCTTTCCGGGGGAGACAGGTGGCCATGGAGAGAAGGTTGATGGTGCTGCCTGCATCAGGGCAAGGGTCAATGTGGCCGTGGGGATGGCTGTCCGCAGTCTCTGGACACGTGGGGATGCTGCGTGCTCCAGCTGCGTGTCAGGGGGACCAGGTATCAAGCAAGTTCATGTCTTGCTGTCTCACACTTCGTGGAGTGGGGAGGCGGGGCATGCGGCCCAAGCACACAAAGCGCAGGGGCCAGGAAGGGAGTAACACCCCGGGCTAGAGCAATGTTTTGATTGACACCACATGTGTGGGGATCCAGGTCACACCATGGAAGATGTGGAGAGTCCCTGGCCTTGGAGTGACCCCATTCACTTGGCCGGCGTCCCCCCGGGGTGCATCGGTCAGCTCCCCTGCACAGCGGAATTCCGCTTTCTCACTCCTCGGCCTCCCACCGCGTGGAAGGGAAGCCTTGGGCTGTGTCCACACACCATCTTGTGCAGGTCCTAGCAGGCTCCTGAGCCAGGCCAGGGGGTACTTATTTCAAGATCTGGAAGAGCAGTCTGTAGTTGAGTCCTGTGAACAATGGCAGGATGTCCTTTCAAGATGCCCGGTGACAAGGGCCTCCATCCTCAGGAGAGTCCTGCAAGGAATGAAATCCGGACAAGTCTGTCAAGGGGAGGGGAGCCAGGCCCCTGCCTGCTCCGCTGCACTGCTCCACGTGCACACACACTCATGTGTACATGCTCACACACTCACATATGTACACTCAAACACGTACAGTTACGTGTGCGCTCACACACATGCATACACTCACACACTCATTGTACACACACTCACACGCATATGTACACACGTACACACACGTGTGCGTTCACACGCTCACACTCGTATGTACACATACTCACATGTGTATGCTCACACACGTTTACACTCACAGCTGTGTACATTCACACACGTGTACACACGCATACACACACTGACATGTGTATGCTCACACACGTCTATGCTCACACACTCATGTACTCTCATATATGTATGCTGACACTCACGTGTACATTGCACACGTGTACACTGCACACGTGTACACCTACACACTCACATGTACAGTCACACACATTTGTATGCTCACACTCAGATGTGTACACACACTCACATGCATACACTCAGACATACACGTGTATGCTCACACACGTGTACACTCACATAAGTACACTAACATGCTCACATGTAGTCACACACATTTGTATGCTTACACTCATGTGTACATGCTCACACACTCACATATGTACACACATGTGTAGTCAACACTCATATGTGTATACTTACACACATATGCATGCTCACACACGTACACTCACACACTCGTGTGTACACATGTGTATGCGCACACACATACGTGCACACTCACACATGTATGTGCTCACACACGTACACTCTTACACACGTGTGAATTCACTCAACACTCTCAGAACTTACCCACACTTATACTCTTGCACATTTTCACACATATGAAGACACATATATATATACTTATACACACATTCATGGACACACACAAACACGTGCACTGTCATGCTCACACAACTCTCACATGCGCATACACACTCAAACACACACACTGTTACATATGTGCACACTGTCATGCTCACACGCATTCACTCACACACACCTCGCTTCCCTGCTGGAGACAGAGCCCCACCTAAAGAGGTCATTGACTTGTCTTAACAAAGCCCTTCATGTCAAACCTCTCTTTCTGCCCTGGCAGGACATAGCAGCCAGGCCAATCCACAGAGCGTGAATCAGGGAAGACTCCCTCAGCAAGACCACTCTAATTTTCTCGAAGCCACCAAGAGGCTGGTTTGCAGGTGGGCTACGGAATACCATCTGCTGGTTGGAATGGGCTTCAGTACCAGCTCTGCCCAGCCGGGCACCATGGGCTGGGGGACTCTCAGCCTAGTGTAAGCCTGTGTGAAGGGGGTTTCCCCGGGCAGCCCTCAAACAGTCGCCCCACCCACCCCCTTCTGCCCGCCCTGGTCCTCTTGCATGTCTCTTGGCCACTGTCATCAAGGTGATCAGCTTTTTTCCCTCGAAGTCTATATTCCTGGGATCCCAGACTTCCCAACACTTTTTTTGCCTGTCCAGCATCTCAGCTGTGGCTCGCAGTTGTTTGGGAGATCGCAGAGGACGAATTAAACCATTCGTTGCTCCTTCATTCTTTCTCTCATTCAGTACATAAACACTCACCTAGCACTCCTTGAAGCCAGGCTTTGCTCTGGGAGCTGAGAATACGGCAGTGAACAAAGCAGAGAGGGCTCTGCTCCCATGGAGTGGATGTCTCAGTTGTGGGGTTGAGTGGAGGAGCAAAACATCACTAAAAGAAGCACACATACCCATTCAGTATGATATTGGCCATGGGTGTGTCATAAATAGCTCTTATTGAGATATGTTCCATCAATACTTCTTATTGAGAATATTTAGCATGAAGGGATGCTGAATATTATAGAAGGCTTTTCTGCATCTATTGAGATAATCATGTGGTTTTTGTCATTGGTTCTGTTTATGTGATGGATTACATTTATTGACTTGCATACATAGAACCAGCCTTGCATCCCAGGGATGAAGCCGACTTGATCGTGGTGGATAAGCTTTTTGATGTGCTCCTGGATTTGGTTTGCCAGTATTTATTGAGGATGGTGGCATTGATGTTCATTAGGGATATTGGTCTCAAATTTTCTTTTTTTGTTGTGTCTCTGCCAGGTTTTGGTATCAGGATGATGCTGGCCTCATAAAATGAGTTAAGGAGGAGTCCCTCTTTTTCTATTGTTTGGAATAGTTCCAGAAGGAATGGTACCAGCTCCTCTTTGTACCTCTGGCAGAATTTGGCTGTGAATCCATCTGGTCCTGGGCTTTTTTTGGTTGGTAGGCTGTTAATTACTGCCTCAATTTCAGAACTTATTAGTCTATTCAGGGATTTGACTTCTTCCTGGTTTAGTCTTGGGAGGGTGTATGTGTCCAGGAATTTATCCATTTCTTCTAGATTTTCTAGTTTATTGGGATAGAGGTGTTTAGTATTCTCTGAGGTTAGTTTGTATTTCTATGGGATCAGTGGTGATATCCCCTTTATCATTTTTTATTGTGTCTATTTGATTCTTCTCTCTTTTCTTCTTTATTAGTCTAGCTAGTGGTCCATCTATTTTGGTAATTTTTTCAAAAAACAGCTCCTGGATTTGGTGATTTTTTGAAGGGTTTTTCACATCTCTATCTCCTTCAGTTCTGCTCTGATCTTAGTTATTTCTTGTCTTCTGCTAGCTTTTGAATTTGTTCACTCTTGCTTCTCTAGTTCTTTTAATTGTGATGTTAAGGTGTGGATTCTGGATCTTTTCCACTTTCTCATGTGGGCATTTAGTGCTATGAATTTCCCTCTTTACACCGTTTTAGCTGTGTCCCAGAGATTCTAGTATGTTGTCTCTTTGTTCTCATTGGTTTCAAAGAACTTCTTTATTTTTTCCCTAATTTTGTTATTTACCCAGTAGTCATTCAAGAGCAGGTTGTTGAATTTCCATGTAGTTGTGCAGTTTTGAGTGAGTTTCTTAATCCTGAGTTATAATTTGATTGCACTGTGGTCTGAGAGACTGTTTGTTATGATTTCTGTTCTTTTGCATTTGCTAAGGAGTGTTTTACTTCCAATTATGTGGTTGATTTTAGAATATGTGCTATGTGGCCCTGAGAAGAATGTATATTCTGTTGATTTGGGGTGGAGAATTCTGTAGATGTCTATTAAGTCCACTTGGTCCCTAGCTAAGTTCAAGTCCTGAATATCCTTGTTAATTTTCTGTCTCATTGATCTGTTTAATATTGACAGTGGTATGTTAAAGTCTCCCACTATTATTGTGTGGGAGTATAAGTCTTTGTAGTTCTCTAAGAACTTGTTTTATGAATCTGGGTGCTCCTGTATTGGGTGCATATATATTTACGATAGTTAGCTCTTCTTGTTGCTTTGATCCCTTTACCTTTGAAAACTGGCACAAGACAAGGATGCCCTCTCTCACCAGTCCTATTCAACATAGTATTGGAAGTTCTGGCCAGGGCAGTCAGGCAAGAGAAAGAAATAAAGCGTATTCAGATAGGAAGAGAGGAAGTCAAATTGTCTCTGTTTGCAGATGACATGACTGTACATTTAGAATACCCCATCTTCTCAGCCCCAAAACTCCTCAAGCTGATAAGCAACTTCAGCAAAGTCTCAGGATACAAAATTAATGTGTAAAAATCACAAGCATTCCTATACACCAACAATACAGAAGCAGAGAACAAAATCATGAGTGAACTCCCATTCACAATTGCTACAAAGAGAATAAAATTCCTAGGAATACAACTTACAAGGGATGCGAAGGACTTCTTCATGGAGAACTACAAAACCACTGCTCAAGGAAATAAGAGAGGACACAAACAAATGGAAAAACATTCCATGCTCATGGATAGGAAGAATCAATATCATGAAAATAGCCATACTACCCAAAGTAAGTTATAGATTCAATGCTATTCCCATCAAGCTACCAGTGACTTTCTTTGCAGAATTAGAAAAAACTACTTAAAATTTCATATGGAACCAAAAGAGAGCTCTTATAGCCAAGACAATCCTAAGCAAAAAGAACAAAGCTGGAGGCATCATGTTACCTGACTTCAAACTATACTACAAGGCTACAGTAACCAAAACAGCATGTTACTGGTACCAAAACAGATGTATAGACCAATGGAACAGAACAGAGACCTCAGAAATAACACCACACATCTACAACCATCTGATCTTCGACAAACCTGACAAAAACAAGAAATGGGGAAAGGATTCCCTATTTAATAAATGGTGCTGGGAAAACTGGATAGCCATATGCAGAAAACAGAAACTGGACCCCTTCCTTACACCTTATACAAAAATTAACTCAAGATTAAGACTAAAGACTTAAATGTAAAACCCAAAACCATAAAAACCCTAGAAGAAAACCTGGGCAATACCATTCAGGACATAGGCATGGGCAAAGACTTCATGACTAAAACACCAAAAGCAATTGCAACAAAAGTCAAAATTGACAAATGGGATCTAATCAAACTAAAGAGCTTCTGCACAGCAAAATAAACTGTCATCAGCATGAAGAGGCATCCTACAGAACGGGATAAAATTTTTGCAAGCTACCCATCTGGCAAAGATCTAATGTGCAGAATCTACAAGGAACCTAACAAATGTATAAGAAAAAAAACAACCCCATCAAAAAGTGGGCAAAAGAAGACATTTATGCAGCCAACAAACATGAAAAAAACCTCATCATTGGTCATTAGAGAAATGCAAATCAAAACCAAAATGAGATACCATCTCATGTCAGTTAGAATGGAGATTAATAAAAAGTCAGGAAAAAACAGATGCTGGTGAGGCTGTGGAGATATAGGAACGCTTTTACACTGTTGGTGGGAGTGTAAATTAGTTCAACCATTGTAGAAGACAGTGTGGCGATTCCTCAAGGATCTAGAACCAGAAATACCATTTGACCCAGCAATCCCATTACTGGGTATATTCCCAAAGGATTATAAGTCATTCTACTATAAAGACACATGCACACGTATGTTTATTGCAGCACAATTTACAATATTGCAAATACTTGGAACCAACCCAAATGCCCATCAGTGATAGACTGGATAAAGAAAATGTGGCACATATACACCATATGCAGCCATAAAAAAGAACACACTCATGTCCGTTTGCAGGCACATGGATGAAGCTGGAAGCCATCATTCTCAGTAAATTAACACAGTAACAGAAAACCAAACACAGCATATTCTCACTCATAAGTGGGAGTTGAACAATGAGAACACATGGACATGGGGAGGGGAACATCATACACCGGGGCCTGCCAGGGCATGGGGGGAAAGTGGAGGGACAGCATTAGGACAAATACCTAATGCATGTAGGGCTTAAAACCTAGATGACGAGTAGATGGATGCAGCAAACCACCATGGCACATGTATACCTATGTAACAAACCTGTACATTCTGCACATGTATCCCAGAACTTAAAGTAAAATAAAAATTAAAAAAAAAAAAGAAGTGGAGATGAAGCTGAGTGCTATGGACAGGCATAAAGTCTGGAGGAGGCACTGTGCATTGGAGCAGGGGCTTTGGTGAAGGTGACAGGGCAGGGCCTTGGCTTCCTCCCTGCTAAGGTGGGAAGCTGCAGGGCAGTGCCAGTTTCATGCTCCCAAGGGGTCACTCTGGCTAATGGCGGGACAAAGTGGAAGAAGGGAGAACAGCCCAGGAAGAGGACGGCGGTGGCTTGGACCAGGTGTTTGGGGCAGAGCTGGTGAGCAAGGGTTGGGCCTTCTGCCCAGGCACTTGACACAGGGTTCATTACGTGCCCGAGCCCTGCTCTTCATTTTCTCCGGGCACACAGCCCCTCATGCTCAGGCTTGGACTGCTCTATTTCAGTTCCCAACCTCCCCCCGACATCAACCCTTTCTCCTGATGTTGTCAGTTGGTTGGTTCAGGTTCTTGACTTGGCTGCTTAAGAGATTTTGAGAGTGAGTCAAAAGCAAAAGTAAGTAGTTTATTGCAAAGCGAAAAGTACACTCTCATAGCAGGTTCAGAGTGGGCTGCTCGAGATAATGAGACAGCACCCACCGACACTGGGGAAGCTCCCTTTACGGGAGTCTTACATGATTATTCATGAAGGGTGGGAATGGGCATTGTTGTTAAGCATGCCATGGGAGGTCTCCTGGATGCCCATGCACTATTGCTGTACACGCTAGCACATACATCCCATGTCTCATTAGCGTCTGAAATCTCTACCCAGGGGTGTGTTTTTAGCATTAAAATGAGGATGGTTCAGCTTAAGGACATTGGTCATGGACTTGTGCACCTGTGTGGGCTTGGGGATTTTTCCCTTTTGCCCCTGCTCCTCTCTGCTCCAGGATGTCTTAACCAGGAGCCCCAGATGCAGTTTGTGCACTGTCGGGTGGTTTGTTCTCTCCATCAATTTGGCAAGTTTCCTGTTTCTTTTCAAGGGAGGCTATGACTACCTTCTCCAACCTACCTCCCAACACTCTGTCTTCCAGCTGCCCTAGTCACTAGGAGAGCAAAGCCTTTCCTCTAAACCCAACTGGCTGCATCTCCCTTACTCCAGAGTCCTTGCCTTGTGGGCCTCGAACTCCAACCAGACACCGGGGAGGTCTGGTCACTTTCCCACTCCTGTTGCCCAGTGACAGGCCCAGAATTTGTATAGAGGAAAGTCTTGGGGGCAACATCTCATTGGAAGCAGGTCTTGAAGCCATTGATTCACTATGATGGAGATAATGTTGGTGGTCCATATCAAAGAAAGGTGGGGGAAGGGTGAAGACGGGTGCGAAAGCCCCTTCCCAAGCTGCCCTTGGTGCTGCTATTGTGCGCTCTGCTACTCACCACCCCTAGACTGGGAGCATCTTAGGGCTGTGGTGTCACATCACTTTGGAAACCCCAGCTGGTAACTCAGGCCAGGCTCCCAGTAAGCAAAGACATGAAGGATGATTGGATCTCAGAATTGGATTGGTGTCCAGGCAAATGTGAAGAGAGGGAAATTGTCCTCATATTCAGACACTTCCTTGTATTCCAAACTATAGTCCATCCTAAAGCTCTGAGATTCATTGCAATAGAAGCCAACTCTAGCCCCTGGGGCCCACTAGGTCTAGCTGAATTCTCAGACGACATTTTATGTCACATTAATCTACTGCATGCACAAAAACACTTCAATCACTCCCATTCCAGCTAGACATGAATTGTTCTCAAGCCACTAATATCTTCTGCCACAGAGAATCTTTTCTGATGCTTTCTTTATAAAATAAGATTTAAACTCTCCTGTGTCTTTGGGGTATATGTGTAGGGGGAGAATGGGAAGGCACATGAGAAATGGTCTTTGATAAGAGCGTGATTTGACCAGGAATACTTCAGTGATGAAGCATCACATGTCAGAGGGTCAGGGACATTTTGCTGAGTTATTTCAGTATGCATTCAGCTTCTCTGAGCTGAGACTAAATTTGCAGGACAGATCCAGTAAAAAGCCCAGAGTAAAGTGCAGACACTCAAAATGCGAGCTGGACACATTTAGCTTCTTTATGAAGGCTGTTGCTGAAGCTTGATCACGTCAAGCAATCAATTCTGAATTATCCACTTTCATCCAATTAAATAAACTTATGTATCTTGCAAGATACCCTGTTAGGTACTAGGGAGGGATGCTGAAGTCCCTGCCCTTGAAGGACTCGTAATTGGGTTGAGAGTCAGATGCCCCACAGCAAGCTCTAATGCAAGACAAATTAAGCAACAAAAGGGCACCCCTTGAAATTACTAGAAGCATACAGAGGACCCAGGTGGACTTCATGGAGGTAGTGGCACTTGAGCTGGTATTTGAAGGAAGGTGAGATCATGCTCACGTGAAGGTGTGGTGGAGAACGCTGCAGATAGAACCAGCCTGTGAAGTAAGGACCTATGCTGATGGATATTCCATTGTGAAGGTTCAAAATGGGGGGGTGTCAATTGTTTGGGGAGGGAGGGTGGAAAAGAAAGGCATCATCAGGTGATGTTAAGGGAACATCTGCAAAAGGGCAGGCATGGGTAGCCCAAAGGGGTCCAGCAATTCTTGAGTGTCATGTGGACCCTGGAGAAGATGAGAGAGAATGCTGGTCCTCCGCCCTCCAAGGTTGATGTAACAGCCTTCAGCATCTTACATCTGTGCTCACTTTCTTTTCTCTATTCCTTAACCTAACAGAGGGCCCCTCCTTTATCTTCCCAAGCCCATTTAGCATCTGATATGCAGAAAAACCCAGAATCATATAGAAAAACCTTCCCCAAACTAGGAGGGAGCCAAAAGAACACAGAATGACTCAGACACAAGTCATTCTTAGTGAGTAGATTAGTTTATTAGAACTTACATGTGAGGCTCTCCTGGATGGCAGCAGAATAGCTTTAGAGATCTGCACTGCCTCCCATCCTTAAGCTAATTTTCTGGCTCTTTGCCCGCTGTGTGTGTGATGGGACTGTTTTCCTTGATGGGTTCTCAGATACACTACAAGATGTTTGGGTTATCAGGGACGTCTGCTGTTTGGCTGGGCATGATGGCTTTGGCTCATCAACTGGCCTTCAGAGTTCAGGCAGTGGACATACACCCTGAAGTAACCTGGTGGGGGGCCTGCCACACTGCACAGACAAGCATGGGGTAACCTGGTTGTTGGTCTTGCCCAGTACTAGCTGGGTGACATTAGGAACCTACTGTCTCTATCTGAGTCAACTTCCTTGTGTGTCTGTCGGTGATGGCAATACCTGCTTCCCAGGACTATTGTGAGTGTTAAATGAAGTAATGCACGTAAGGGGACAAATAGTATATACACAATAAATGGTGGCTGCCATGATATCAGCCTGCACAGACATCAGCCACGGGCAGAACAACCTAACACACAACTGACCAGACAAGGCACCGTCACTCAACAGCTCTATATCAATGCAAGCGCCCACAGTGGTTGATCACAAGCACTTGAAGCATAACCAGCGGTTTCTTTGTGTGGCCTGGCTGTTATTAATAACAGCCAATTTATTAATAATGCTGATGTTGGCCTCTGGGCTTTGGCAAACACTTTTGGTCAAAGCATGAATCGACTCGGCAACCATAATGAACTGTTCACATGCTGAGGCAGAAACCACTCGTCCCTTTATCAGTCTGTTCTTGACACAATGTACTTTACTATGACATTATCAAAAGCAGCCTCAACTTGGCTTTCTCATAGAAAGAACTCCCCACCCCCAAAAAAGGCAGTTTCTGTGACTGCAAAGAGAAGAGTATATTTTATGGGTGTTATGAAATGGATGAAAGAGGGTCAGGAAGACCTAAGCTTGGGACATGGTGTGGCAGACACCATTAGCTGAATCATCAGCAGTTATTCCATTTAATTTCCTGCAAAAAAATAAAAAACTAAAAAATGGACTTTGCAGGTAAGTGGGTGAGCATACAAAAACACTGCACCCTAGAGAATGAGTCATGATTGGCCAAGCCTATCTTGCAATCACCTTCCTTTTGATTAGTGATTGGTCTTGAAGTGAGCATGTGACACCTTGCTGGCCAATGAGAAATAGGAGGAGTCTGCTGGGGCCTTTCTGGGAAAGACACTTCATTCGCAATCAAGAGTGAGGCTCGGCTGGGCGCGGTGGCTCACGCCTGTAATCCCAGCACTTTGGGAGGCCGAGGAAGGCGGATCACGAGGTCAGGAGATCAAGACCATCTTTGCTAACACGGTGAAATCCCGTCTGTACTGAAAATACAAAAAATTAGCCGGGTGCGGTGGTGGGCTCCTGTAGTCTCAGCTACTCAGGAGGCCGAGGCAGGAGAATGGCATGAACCCGGGAGGCGGAGCTTGCAGTGAGCCGAGATTGCGCCACTGCAGTCCAGCCTGGGCGACAGAGCGAGACTCCATCTCAAAAAAAAAAAAAAAGAGTGAGGCTCAGTAAGGACCGCTTTTAGGCACCTACTTTTTGTCTTCTATCCAGTCATTTGCGGGACATTCCCAGTCCCACATTGCAAGCTCACAAAGAACAGGGATAATGTCTTAGTCACACTTTTACCCCTCCAGTTCCTGGTTCAGGTAAGATGTTTAAATATTGAATTATCACACGGGTATTTGATACATATTTCCTGTTTGAATAAAATTGCTCTAACAGCAATGGTTCTCAACCATGGGTGGTTCCCCACCTCCACCGCCCCGGGGACATTTGACAATGTCTGGAGACGTTTTTGTTTGTCATGAGTGGCTGGGTGTAGTGGGTGCTACTGGCATCTAGTAGGTAGAGGCCAGGGATGCAGCTCAACATCTTACAAGGCACAGAACAGCCCCACTCCAAAGAATGATCAAATCCAGAATGTCAATGTGCCAACGTTGAAAATCCCTGCTCCAGACAACCAAATAGGAATGCATTCTCTAGATTCCTTTTGGTAAGGCTGAAATAAATGTTTGAAATTTTTTTAAGGGTAAAATTGTAAGACCCTAGACCCAGGATCATCTTATCTCATTAACAAACATACATGAACTGTTCTCTGTCAGTAGGGAGAACCCTGTGTAGTTAGTCTATGCTTCCTCAACACACCAGCAGCATCTCATGGCAAGAAGCTCCAAGGTGATTTTTCAGTAAAGAGGTGGGTACAGCTGGGGCCTCCCAACCTCAGGGTCATGTTCTGTACTTACAGGTGCAGTGAGTCATGGTAGCCACACTTCAGGGCCATGTAGGGGAATATCTACTGAGGGAGATGGTGGGAACTAAAATCTTTCCCTTCGTTACTCAGAAGAATGACCTCCTAAACAACAAAGTGCAGGCTGTGAGGAACACGCCTTGTGTGGCCTTTGAGGCAAGGAGGGCCCAGAAGAACACATTGGGGTGACTGTCTCTGGCAAAGGCTATGTGGCAGGGCCTCCTGCAGGGTTGGGCAGTGATTTGGGGGCTGCCTGAAGAAGATCAGAAGATGGCTAGTCTGGTCATGCTGAACAGGATGGAGGTCCAGCCCCCGCCAGTGGACAGAGTCCTCCCTGGGGCCTGAGGATGACGGGTCTGGTTGCCTGCCCCTCCCAGGCTCTCACCCCACCCAGCTTGTATGGCAGCTTGTTTTCTTTTCACCCCCAGAAAAGCAGCCCTTGCTGTTTCTTCTGCCTGATTTCACAGTCTTGGGTGATTAGTAAGCCTCTACCCTGGCCTTTCTGGAAAATGCAAACCTGGCCTGTACAATACAAGCAGAATTCCTTATGGAAGCATGGTTTCTGTGCGTTGCCTCTCTCCTGCCCCACCAGTTGGCCAGTGCAAGTCTAGCTCACAAGCAAGGTGCTTCTACACATCATGAGCGTGGTGGGGCTGTCTCTTCTCACACATGTTGAATCCTCACTTTTAGTTCCAGGAGCACTTTAGCCAACAAAGATTGTCTCTGGATTACCATTTTCCTAGCTAAGTCCGGGACCTCCCTGGATGAAGATGAGATGAAGGAGAAAGAGGGTGCAGGGGTTCTCACCCTGCCCGAGCAGACAGGAAAACTCACACTTCCTCTAGAGAAGCCCCCAGGGGCTCCTGGGCTGTCTGGTGAGTTTCCATTTAGGATTTTAGAAACAGATGCTGGGCTTGGGTAAGAGTCTGCAATAGCCGAGGCCCATCTTAACAGCCTTCACCTATCCCTGTCTCCTCCCAGGTCTGGGGCCCCCTGCTTCCATGCTATAAGCGCTGCTCCTGTCTGAGACACAGGGGACCTAATAAATGCATGCAAACTGAGGCACCAATGACATCATGCTACCTTTTCAGGATTTAAAAAGCAGCAAGGGGCCTCTAAAAATGCTATCCTAGACTCTGCCATCAGAGTGGAAACAGTTTTGTTTTGGGTCTTGGGAAATGTTCCCTAATTATTCCATTCTCGGGGTTCTCTGTTCATCAAACCTCTAGCTTCCCTTCACACACCCTAACCTCCCACACACAAAATTGGGAACTCCAACATCTGTAGTGTCAGACAGGCTGAGGCCATCCCTGTACGTCTGGGGGTGGGGGGTGGGGGGAGCAGGGAAACAATTGTTAGGAGTATCTTTCCAACAATTCTGCCTCAGCTGCACGTGACACTGAGCAGTGCTTACCCCTGCAAGGAGGAAAGTGCATGAGGGAGAAACCTCCTCTTCATTTCCTGGGGCTCAGTGGCCACCAGCACCAGCAGCAGCTTTGACCACATGCTGGAGCCCATCATCTCCAGAAGAGCCAGTTAGTAAGATCTGTGGCTGTCATCCAAGCACTATGGACCAAAGATACACTTGCATGCATGCACATCCCACAGATGGCTAGCACTACAGGCAAAACAGCAGAATGGGAAGAAAGGGGTCATCTGAATGAATGACTTGGAAGAACCTCATGCAATTTAGCAGCTTTCTCTCTCCAGATATTACTCTGGATCACCCACAGAAAGGATAAGAAGGGGGCAAGTTCTCTGTAGCTACAAGGGGCTTAGTTGTATAGCTGATGGAGGGGAGGGTGTTTGAGTTCATGAAGGCCTGGGCTTTCAAAACCCTTTCCCTGGGAATATGGTCCTCTGGATATGCTATGATAAATGGTCATGCCAGTGATTTCCATCTATCCTCCTGCCTTTGGCACTAAACCCTGAAAGGTGGGCCTGACCCACGTAGGTTGTATCACAACCTCCCTCCACTCTGGCTTCCAGTGGGAGGCACCAGCACAGTGAGAGGGAGCAGAGGATGGATAAGGGAGAGAGCTCCAGATATTTATTTTCCCAGCTCCTTTTCTGTTGAGTTGCTCAAAGTTGGCTGGGTCAAGCCAGCAGATGACACAGCCTCTTTCAGATAGCCCTTGCTGTTCTGCTGCCCTCTTTGATTGGGGGTAACCACTTCCTGTCTTTGCCCCTCCAAGAAAGGGGTATGTACTAGTCCATTTGCCCTGCTACAAAGAAATACCTGAGGCTGGATCATTTATAAAGAAAAAGGTTTATGTGGCTCATAGTTCTGCAGGCTGTAGAGGAAACAATGCTGGCATCTGCTTCTGGCGAGGGGCTCAGGAAGATTGCAATCATGGTGGAAGGTGAAGGGGAGCTGGTCTGTCTCATGGCGAGAGAGGGAGCAAGAGAGAGGGGGAGGAGGTGCCACACTGTTTTAAACAACTAGATCTCTTGTGAACTCATAGAGTGAGAACTCACTTTACCACTGTAAAGACAGTGCCAAGCTACTCGTGAGGGATCACCCCCATGACCCAAATAACTCCCAGTAGACTCCACCTCCAACATTGGGGATCACATTTCAACATGAGATTTGGAGGAAACAAACATCCAAACTGTATCAGGGTAGTAACAGCACTATGCTCTTGCTGGTCCCCAGGCTTCTGCACTGTCTTTTGTGGTTTCTCTAAACCAGTCCACATCTTTGTCAATAGGTTTTTTCTTTTAAGCAAACATCCCTCAGTTTGAGTATGCCTATGCTGGGACTTAGATAGAGTGGACCTGGATAGAGTGGACCCAGATAGAGTGGACCTGGATGGAGTGGACCCGGATGGAGTGGACCCAGATGGAGTGGACCCAAATGGAGTGGATCTGGATGAAGTGGCTCTGGATGGAGTTCACCTGGATGGAGTGGACCTGGATACAGTGGACCTAGATGGAGCGGACCCAGATGGAGTGGACCCGGATGGAGTGGACCTGGATGGAGTGGGCCTGAATGGAGTGCACCTGGATGGAGTGGACCTGGATGGAGTGGATCTGGATGGAGTGGACTTGGATGAAGTGGATCTGGATGGATTGGACCTGGATGGAGTGGACTCGGATGGAGTGGACCCAGATAGAGTGGATCTGGATGGAGTGAATCCGGATGGAGTGCACCTGGATGGAGCGCACCTGGATGAAGTTCACTTGGATGGAGTGGACCTGGATGGAATTCACTTGGATGGAGTGGACCTGGATACAGTGGACCTGGATGGAGTGGACCTGGATACAGTGGACCTGGATGGAGTGGACCCGAATGGAGAGGACCTGGATGGAGTGGATCTGGATGGAGTGGATCTCGATGGAATGGACCTGGATGGAATAGACCTGGGTGGAATAGACCTGGATGGAGGAAATGAGCCTCTGGGATTCCAGCTGGGTCTATGGAGCCTGACGTGAACCATCACTGTGATTAAAATAACATGGTATTTTCACCCTTCTAGCTCATTTCCACCCCTCACCTGATACTGAACTAGCCAGCAAGACCTCTCATTCATTCTGGTTTTGTCTCAAGAATTAACAAGCCACACCTATTTCAGCAACTGCCCCAGTGCATATCCTCTTTAACAGGCAGAGGTAGAACTCAGACTTCTTCCACGTGAAGCAGGAATCCTCTGCCCCTTATTCTTCAGTTGTAGAGGAAGGGGAAAGATGTTAAAGAGGGAATGACAAAGCCATTAAAATATTATATTTTATTCCTGGGAGAATATCTTCCTAACAATTCTGTGTCCTTGAAGTTACCACTTCCCCAGAAAACATTGTCTCTCTGTCCTCACTGGGATAGAGGCTCCCTAAGAGCAGAGATGTTTGTGTTGTTCATTTCTATATCTCAAGTGCTTAGTACAGTACCTGGTGCACAGGGGGTGTGGGATGTGTGTGTGTGTGTGTGTGTGTGTGTGTGTATGAGAGAGAGAGGGGCGAGGAGAGAGAGAAGAGGAGCAGGAGGAGGAGGAGAGAAACAGACGGGTGGATGAATGGATAGATAGATGATATAGTTGGCCCTTGGATAATGCAGAGGTTAGGAGTGCTGACCCCCATGCAGTGGAAAACCCCAGCACAGCTTTTGACTCCCCCAAAACTTAACTTCTAATAGCCTACTGTTGACCCGAAGCCCTGCCAATAACACAAACAGTTGATTAACACACATCGTATGTTACATGTATTATATCCTGTATTCTTACGATAAATAAACTATTGAAAAGAAAACGTTATTAATACAATCATGAGAAAGAGAAGATACATTTACTATTGATTAAGTGGAAGTGGGGCATCATAAAGGTCTTCATCATAATTGTCTTCGGGTTTTGTGGGCTGAGAAGGAGGAAGAGCAGGGGTTGGTGTTGCTGTCTCGGGGGTGGCAGAGACAGAAGGAAATCCACGTAGAAGTGGACCTGCACAGTTCAAATCATGTCATTCAAGGGTCAACTGTGCATGTAATCAGACCTGTCCCTTAGGCTGAGGGGAGGTTTGAGGTATTTCAGAGCTCCAACATCTCACAAGATGTGAGAGTCAGAGCAAACCTGAGACACGGAAATCCAAAGGGACGGGGCCAGTGCTGCCAGGGAGACCAGCCTGCTCCATGTGGTCCCTGGTCAGTGATGGGGGTGGCCAGCCTGGGCTAAGAGATGTGAGAAAAGGGAGGTCACTGACCCTGTGCCCAGGCAGCCAGGTTGAGTCCCTTGGCTGGTTCTCAAACTCTGGGCGCATAGCAGACATCTTAGGGAGAGGCTCTTGTTTAAAATGTTGACTCCCATGATCCACCAGCAAAGAGTGAACTGGTCTAGGGTGGGCCCAGGACCTGCATTGAAACAAACATCCCTTTGTTGTTTAGAAGCAGGTGGTCCCTGGACCATATCTTGAGAAACGTGACCCTAGAGGACAGAGAAAACTGTTTTTCCAGGTGGTGTCGAGAAACGTGGCCCTAGAGGACAGAGAAAACTGTTTTTCCAGGTGGGGACCCCAGAAAAAGTGCTCTCCTCTAGGTAGTTGCAAAGAGCTAAGAGGGGTCTGCAGGTGAGCCCACCTGGGAAAACCACCCAGCCCCAAGGGCACCTGAAGATGGGCACTGTCACTCGGAGGTATAACCCCAGGTACAGCTGTGCAGAGCGATGGGCACGGATGGAAAGGAAGCAGAGTGGCTACGAGTTAAGGGAACGGGGCTCCCTGCTGTCCCAGGATCTCATCAATGCCTGGCTCATGGTCAGCCCCTGGTAAGAGTCTGTTAAATGACTGGGGCCCATGAGGAGGGATGACTGATGATTTAGTAAAACCCACATATTTTAATTTGTTTTAGAAATTCTCAGCCTTGACTGCCTCTTGAAACCTCCTGGGGAGTGTTAAAAATCTTGTTGCTTGAGTTCCAACCCTAGAAATTTCAATTTAATTGGTCTGGGGTATGGCCTGGACGTGGTTTTTGTTTTGTTTTGTTTTATTTGTTTTGAAAGCTCCCCAGTGTATCTTATGTGTAGTCAAACTGAGAACCACTGCTTTAGCTGTTGGTGAACTTGTATGTATGAAGTTGGACTGTATAAATTTGGCCTACAAAAAACGGCAATTTTGTATGGTTGAACTTGATACTGCCCTTGATGGGTTGGCTTTGCTTCTCTTTAATTCATTTCTGCGTTCAGTTGTTGAAGTAAAAACACCTGAAGCCAAACAAAGCCCAAGTGGTTCTGATTTGCAACGCTGAATGAGATATATCTGAAGATGAGCTGGTTCCAGCTCAGGCATGGCAGGGAAACCCTCCCTCCTGGGAGCAATGACCCTTGTCATTGGAAGCTTTGAGATGCTTGCTCTTCGCTGGGGCCAAAACACGAACCTATTCTGTGCCTGAGAGCAGACAAAAGGTGTCAGTATGAACCCAGTTTCCTAATTCACCTTCTAACGTAGGAAAGGCTTAACAGGATGTATGTGCAAAATGCTCTGAAATCCAAGACGGTAAGTGCTCTGCCAAACATTTTCACTTCTTCATTGACAACTGGAAATCTGGCCCCAGTGGGGTCCCATGCAAGACAAATAGGGGGAAGGGAAGGGGATGATGGAGAAGGGGAAGTCCCAAACTTAGTCATAAGGGAAACACTAAGCTTCATTCTTTTTCATCCCTTTCCTGTCTGTCTCTTGCTTGGAAAGATGCAGTGTGGGAGCTATCCATCCACAGGACTCTCACTTTTGACACTAACTGCAAAGTTCAAGGGAACACAGTACCTATCCTGAGGCTCCGTAATTCACTAGAAGGTCTCACAGAGTTCACTGAAAGCTGTTATCCTTATGGTTATGGTTTATTCCAAGAAAAGGATACGGAGTCAGCCAAGGGAAGAGGAGCATAGGGTGAAGCCCAAGAGAGTTCCCACTGTGGAGCTTCCATTAACCTCTCCCATGGAGCTGACAGTGACACTCTCCCAGCATGGGTGTGGGACAATATGCACAGACTGTTGCCAACCACGGAGGCTCTCCTGAGCCTTGATGTCTAGAGTCTTGAATGGGGCTCCATCACTTAAACTTGGTTGGCTGCCCACATGGCTGACTTCAGTCTCCAGCCCCTCCAGAAATCAACAAATACCACATGGCCCTAAGCCCCCACACTGTATCACATTTTTGGTGTTGCTCAAAACTTCCGGGCAAACAAAGACACACCATGCCATGAAATCTCAAGGGCTTAGAGATCATCTCCCAGGAGCCATTGGCAAAGGCCAGATCTCTGTTTGATCAAGGTTCAAGGTTTTACTACACAGAAGATGAGATTTCTCTCTCCCTTCAGGGGAGTCTCATCCAGTTCTCTTCACTGAGCCTCACTCATCTGGACATACTCAATTCCTCAGCCTATTTATCTTATTTAGATCAGATACCACCTCCAAACCCTAATCTAGGTAAGCCCTGGGTCTTTGGGGCCCACCGGTGATGTGGGCAGAGACTGACGAGAACTGCAATGTGTGCACTCTGCCAAAACCTTCCATGCAGATGTGATGTCCAGATGCCTTAAGTATAAGCCAACTCTAATTCACTTTTTTTTTTTAAATCTTGGAAATTTGTCACCTTCACTAAAGTGAAGTTACAACATTAGTCATATTAATTGAGGATATTCAATTCTGTAATAGGTGACAGGAAAATGAATGGGTTGTATAAAACTGAAAAGATGAAGTGCAGAGAACGAGTAAGCAAGTAGCTTGTAAGATGAGCAGAAGCCATAAAAGATGTCAAGTACAGATAATAAGTTAGTGACATGTAAGAGATGTGTGAGTTTTTAAAAAGAATGGAGTAGCAAGAGCAATTATAGATAGAAAAGGATGGAAAGGAAGGAAAGACCAGGTTATAAGGCAAGGGGTCATGCAACCTCTAAGCTGATGGTTTTGTCATTTTTTACTGGCCACCCACCGGTAACACTCAGTATGTCCCACTCGAGATCTCACATGCTCTGCCCAAGGAATACAGATAAGATCCATAACTGTTCATTGAACTAGTTGGCAAACTACAGGAGTACCCCTTTATCCACAAGAGATATGTTCCCAGGCCCCAGTGGATCCCTAAACCACAGATAGTACTGAACCTGGTCACCATCAGTCAAGATACGTGTGTGTTCATATCTTCCACCCACAAATTTAATATATTTTCCATCTTAACTGAGCTCTGTCATCATGCACTGTGGCCATAACTTTTGCAGTTTAAGCTGAAACAGCAAAACTAGCACACACTTCTTTTTCTTTCTTCACAATTTCATGGATAGAAGATTCATCTTTACCATAGGTCTTAGCAACCTCAGTCAATGATCTTTTTCTTATTAAGTCAAGAACTTTCACCTTTTCACTTATAGCAAACATTTTACGGCTTCTCTTTGGCATATCTGAACTGCCAGCATCACTACTCTTAAGCTTTGGGGCATTATGAAGTCAAATAAAGGTGATCTGAAGGCAAGTACTGCAATACCTCAGTGGATCTGATCATCGAGATGACTTCTAAGCATCTACAGGGTGGAGACGCTGGACAAAGGAAGGATTCACATCTCAGGTGGGATGGAGTGGAACAGTGCAAGATTTCATCACACTAATCAGAATGGTACATGATTGAAAACTTATATATTGTTTATTTCTGGAATTTTCCACCAATATTTCATTTCCATTCAATATTTTCAGACCATGGGTAAATGGAACTGCAAAAAGGAAAACCTCAGATAACGGGGGAACTACTGTGCTGCTGTGACCAGGTGTAATTTCTCCTGCATCTCTCCAATAAAAGAAGCAAGTGTTGATTGCAGGCACCTCTGCCTGCTGAGCCGCTGTTCAATATTCCTTGGGGGAGGTAGATGCAGACAGCAGAGAAATAGGATGCATGAACATCATGTAACTCCGGACTGAGGTGTGTGGTCTTCCACCCCACCTTCACACTATACTCAGTGTGGCTACCTGTGATGGTTAATACTGAGTGTCAACTTGATTGGACTGAAGGATGCAAAGTATTGATCTTGGGTGTGTCTGTGAAGGTGCTGCCAAAGAAGATTAACATTTGAGTCAGTGGACTGGAAAGGCAGACCCCCCCTCAATCTGGGTAGGCACCATCTAATCAGCTGCCCGCATGGCCAGGATATTAAGCAGGCAGAAGAATGTGAAAAGACTAGACTGGCTTAGCCTCCCAGCCTCCATCTTTCTCCTGTGTTGGATGCTTCCTGCCCTCAAACATCAGACTCCAAGTTCTTCAGCTTTGGAACTCAGACTGGCTTCCTTGCTCCTCAGCTTGCAGATGGCCTATTGTGGGACCTTGTGATTGTGTGAGTTAATACTATTTAATGTACTCCCCTTTATACGTATATATACACATATATATGTGTGTGTATATATATATATAATATACTCCCCTTTATACATATATATACATATATATACATATATATACATATATATACATATATATACATATATATATACATATATATACATATATATACATATATACATATATACATATATATACATATATACATATATATACATATATATACATATATATACATATATATACATATATATACGTATATATACGTATATATACATATATATACATATATATACATATAATATACTCCCCTTTATACATATATACGTATATATACATATATACTAATACACTACCTAACCCATCCCTATCCCCTTGCTTCTTCTTGTGTGTTTCACGTAGATTTAATAAACCATGAGATTTGAGCATCTTAATTGGGCCTCTGTGCTTTCTGTTTTGAGACCACCAGAATTGTTTTCAGGGTGATATACTTGGAGGCTACCACTGGATCGTGGTATTTCCTACAGGATGACAGCAAGAATTAAGTGTTACAATCTATTTTAAAAGCAAACTTGACATCCAACTACGGGATGAACCCAGCTATCGTGACCTTTAAGGAAGGGAAGAGGAAGGTGTGGGCAGGGCTCCCTGAGGCTCCCGCAGTAGCATTTGCTCCCTCACAGACCCGAAAGGAGACTGAACGTTCAGGCAAATGTTGAGCCAGAGACAACCCTCGGCCTTAGCAATTCCTAAGCAAAAGGAAGATTCAGAATGCCAGAATCTGACTACTTAGTTTGCTTATCCCAAACTATACTACCAGTATTTTACTTTTTAAATGAGACAGGGACACTGGGACCACTATACTTTGTCCTCAGAGGAAGTTTCACCTAAAAGGAGGTCAGGATCCAAGACTAAAGGTCCTCTCCCTTTACCTGGAATGATTAAAAGCAAAACAAATTATTATAAGAATCACTTCTCAGCGTTTCGGCTAAGATCAAGAGTAGTAAGTTATTAGAGGAGAAGAGGGACTTATCCTAAGAGACTTGACATGGCCTTCGAGGAAAAATAGGAGTGGGGTGGAGGGAATCTAGCCCTGGGGAAAGAAAAGTCAGAGGGAGCTGGGGGAGGGCTTGAGAACAGTGCTCCCCACCTGGTTTCACCTCTCCCCCTTCATCCCCTACTGTGCACTTCTTCTCTTTCCCTTAATAATTCTCCATAATTCTAAAATGATTCTAGGAGAGAGTTAAGAAAACAGATGTGGGTCGAAGGCTCTGGAAGAATTGCAAATGGCTAAAAAACATAAGATGTTCAACCTTGCCAGGCTCAGTGGCTCATGCCTCTAATCCCAGTACTTTGGGAGGCCGAGGCCGGCAGATCACCTGAGGTCAGGAGTTCAAGACCAGCCTGGCCAACATGGTGAAACCCCGTCTCTACTTAAAATACAAAAATTAGCCGGGTGTGGTGGCAGGCACCTGTAATCCCAGCTACTTGGGAGGCTGAGGCAGGAGAATTGCTTGAAACTGGGAAGGCAGAGGTTGCAGTGAGCCAAGATCACGCCATAGCACTCCAGCCTAGGGGACAAGAGTGAGACTTTGTCTCAAAAAAAAAAAAAAAAAAAAAAAAGACGTTCAGCCTCACAAGTAACTCCAGAAATAGGAATGAAAAACAATATGATTCCTTGAGAAAAACAACAGAGGGATATGGTTTTCACTCTTACCAGATAAGGTAACTTTAAGCCTGTAACTCGCTGGGTATGCCTCAAGATGTAAATGATTCTGATTTGGGGTTTTTTTAGTGATAGTGAAATAATATTATACCAACAAAAGCTGCAGGTATTTGGGAATTTAGTAAAAGCACGGTAGCTAGAATCTATTGAAATCATAACTCAAGGCAGTTTTGTGAGACGACAGTGCTTTCTCTTTGCCATTGGTCATTTGGAGATTTCATTTGGTGAAATTGAAGCCAACAACAGCATTGAATTTTATAGGAGAAAATTATCCAGTCCCTGTGTTGCTCAGACTCTCCCGCACTCTACTGGCCCATGCAGCCCTGAGCCTGAGTCGGAATAATAGAACTAATAAGCTGTCAAAACCTAGGTAACTTCCTTGTTGGCAGCTCTTCCTCCGTCCCTGTTCACAGAAAATTGGGATTTGGAGGTACAGCGAAGAGGCTGGGTTTCTTCTGAAAGGACAGCTTAGCATCATCTAAGAACAGGAATATAGGAATGTGCTAGATGAAATGTTCACGTGTCCCTTTCAGCCTTCATTTGTTGAAGGACAGATTTTATTCCGTATGCTGGAATGAATTTCCTAATCCCCTTTTTTCTCGACTTCCTCTAATTCCACTCAAAAAGAGGAAGTGGTTAAGAAATGAAGATCTTGTGTTGCAGAAACGCCATGAAGCATTGTTCTTATGCTTTGGTCTATCCACATCCTACCTCCCAAAGTGGCAGTTCTACAAGATATCAGGGTTCCAGGATGAGGGAGGGCCCCAGGGAATCAGGCCAATCCCTTGGAAAGTTTTGCAATAGTTCCGAATGGTGAAAAGGGGAAAATTACTGCATTGTGATCATTAAGGATTCTCCAACCATGTTCTGGGCAGAATTAGCACAGAAAGGTTTGGTAGGATTTCACTGGCCACCAGCATCATGACCATCAGGGCAGTTCATCAAAACATTTAAATCAAAGAGCAAGACGATGTGAAACAAATACTGGCAAAACCTCCCACCTTGGTGTTCTTTTATAAACTGGTCTAACTTGTTATAATGGTACATTTGACCTCAAGCCTTTGAAACTAACAAGCCGGGGTTTACGGCCAGCAGGGAGGACTGCAAATACAGGCCTTGCCTTAAAATTCCCGGTTGTGTCTGCCCAGGAGCTGTTGGCACCACATAGACGGGGCGGGCTGGGTGCCAGAGCGGCCTGCCTGTTCCCGGCTACAGATTATGATGTCTGTGCAGCTGCCTTTCATTCACAGCTTCCCTGAATGGTGCCAAAGTTAATTCCTCCAGGAATAGCCCCACCAGTCACAAGGAAGGGGGGTAATGCCCAGGATGCCCCCTTCATTCTCACTCCTGGTGCGGGCTTGCTGCCATCAACAGCCAAAGGGAGAAGTCAGGCAGCAGAAAAGCTTGGGAGGCCCTGGAAACCCCCTAAGCTTCTCCACAACAGTGCCGGTCTTATCTGTTGCAGCCACGGCGAGAGTCCCACATCATCCATGTGAGTACAGAGACATGAACCTGATGCCAAGGGCAGGATGATCACTCAGAAAGGCTCCTGCTAGGCTCCTGTGACTTGATAGTGTGTCTATGACCCACCTTCATGGGGACTTCAGTGCTAAAACTGGGAAAGGCCTGGGCAAACTGGGATGCGGTTGTCACCCTGCCTGGAGGACCCCATGCCCTGTATCTCTCTATAAAGCCTCAGGTGGGAACCCTGCAAGCCTGTATTCCACCATGGGAAGACCAGCATGCTGTGCATTGGCTCCAGGGAGCACCACGCAGTCCCCGGCACTTCCAACTCTATGTCCTTTGCAGGTGAAGCAGCTCTATTAGCAGGTGTCTGAAGAAGGTTGCAGGTGCGAGCAGGTAGAAGGAAAGCACACAGAAGCTGCGGGATGCACACACAAAATGGGTAAAAGGGATCCCTGGAGGTCTGGGCAGAGCACCAGGAGTGTCCTGGGGTGCTCTTACCCTCCTATTGGACAGATGAGTAAAGTGAGGTACAGGGACATTAAGTAACTTGCCCAACATTAAAGAGCTTTAGTTTGGATGCCTTGATTTGGAACTTCTGGCCACTAGAACTGTGAGAGAATAAAATGTGTTGTTCTAGGCCACCCTGCCAGTGGTACTTTATTACAGCAGCCACTGAAAACTCAGGCAGGAGGGATCTGTGGTGACGGACTTGGAGGCGTGGTTGCAAGGGTTGTTTCACTGAACAGACACAGCAGGGGCAGCTGCTGGGGTATTGAGGTCGAGGTCAAACACGGTCACTGCTGGAGCAATTCTGTAATCAGCCATGGTTAGCTGAAACCTCATTCTCTATGCAAACCCCAAATGGCTGTTTTCCCTTTTGAACCTCAAGAACACACGCTAGAAATCAGTGCTCCCTGTCAGCCAGCCTCTTATGGTGAGATTTCCAGGTCTGGTGGCTTATTGCACCAATAAGCTAATAAGGAGATTGGCAATGCCAAACACACATCAGGGAGCATCTGTCCTCCCACTGTGCACCCCTGTTCCAGGTCACTAGGCTTGAGAAGTCACCCAGAACACAGGAAACCCAGTGGCCTGCCAGACTTGCAGCCCAGGGAGAGGGAAACTGGGTGTCTTGGAAACTCCTCCCTGCTCCTTCAAGTTCACTCATAGCAGGGAAGCCAGGGCCCCTTGAGTCCCTAGAGTAGTCAAATTCACAGAGACAGAAAGTAGAACGGGAGTCGCCAAGGCCTGTGGGGAGAGGGAAGGTGAAGTTGTTTAATTGGCACAGTTTCCATTTTGGAAGATGGAAAAAAGGTCTGGAGATGGATGCTGGTGATGGCAGCGTAACACTGAGAATGGTTTTTTTGTTGTTGTTTTTATTGTATTGTATTGTATTGTATTGTATTGTATTGTATTGTATTGTATTGTATTGTATTGTATTGTATTGAGACAGAGCCTCACTCTGTCTCCCAGACTGGGGTGCAGTGACACAGTCTCGGCTCACTACAACCTCCGCCTCCCGGGTTCAAGCGATTCTCTTGCCTCAGTCTCCCAAGTAGCTGGCATTACAGGCACCCGCCACCACGCCTGGCTAATTTTTGTATTTTTAGTAGAGATGGGGTTTCTCCATGTTGGCCAGGCTGGTCTTGAACTCCTGACCTCAGGTGATGCACCTGCCTCGGCCTCCCAAAGTGTTGGGATTACAGGCGTGAGCCACCGCGCCTGGCCTGAATGTTCTTAACGCCACTGAGCTGTGTACTTCAACATCTTTAAAATGGTCAATTTTGTGTTATTTGTATTTTACCACAATTTTAAAAATAAAAAATTTTAAAAATGTTATCGCTGTGGAACCTGGGGAAGAGTACAGAGGAATTCTCTGTACTCCTTTTGCCACTTATATGTGAGTCTAAAATTATTTCAAAATAAAAAATTTTTTAAATGAACAAACCATATAAAAGGGTAACACATGCATTTCTAAAGGTATAGAAAAAAATTATAAGAGGATACACCAAATTTAGGTCATGGGATTTGGTGGTAACTTTTTTTGTTTTTTTTTTTCTGCTCTTCTGAGCTTGTTAACTAGCACAATTAGGGTGAAAAAAACTTTTAGGAAGTCGCTACTTTTCCAGTAACACATAAAAATGTGATTCTCTTTTTGACATTCAAGGACCACAACGAAGTCACAGCTTAAAATCTCCAACAATCTTTACAATGCCCAGCGTGTTATAGATGCAAATAAATTTTTGTTGAAGAAATTGTAATCACTATTCCTATTATAATCATGATAAGATGAAAACCAGACAGACCAGTGGCTAATGAAGGAAACAAAAGGCATCAGTCCCAGCCAATGTTATATCCTGGGCAGGAAAGAATGTCATCGCCATGAACAGACTGGTGGCCTTCACCACTGGCGATCAGGAAGCTTTTCTATAAAGTTCATCACAACGTCGGGGCTCTGGTATCTTTCATCAGATCCTCTGTCCCTTTCCACACTCCCATCCTCAAGCCAGCCCATCCCACAAATTGCAGAGAAAAGTTTTCTCTGGAGTCACTGTGGGAAAGTTTGAACAAAATTTCTCACCCCCCAGCTAGCTGGCTGTTTTGGATTGAATTGTTATCTCCCTTAAATCCATATGTTGAGGTGAGAATGAGACCTTATTGGAAGACGGGTTCTGTTATAGACCAAATATTTTTGTCCCCCCAAATTTATATGTTGAAACCCTAGCCCCCAAGGTGATGGCATTAGGAGGTAGAACCTTAGGGCTAAATTTGGTCATGAGAATGGAGGCTCCATATGAGATTAGTGCCCCTATTAGAAAAGGAAGACATTAGATCTCTCTCTTTCTCTGCTGTGTGAGGACACAGGGAGAGAGGAGAAAGGAATCTCACTGGAACTCAGCCATGCCAGTACCCTGACCTTGGACTTTGCAACCTCCAGAACTGCGAGAAATAGATGTCTGTCGTTTAAGCCACCCAGACTATGGCACTTTGTTATCACAGCCCAAGCAGAATAAGACAGGGTCTTGAGACAGGTAATCAAGTTAAGACGAAGTCATCAGGGTGGTCCCTAATTCAATATGCCTGGTGTTCTTTTTTATTTATTTATTTTTTGAGACAGAGTTTTGCTCTTGTTGCCCAGGCTGGAATGCAATGGTGCAATCTCAGCTCACCACAGCCTCTGCCTCCCAGGTTCAAGCGATTCTCCTGCCTCAGCCTCCCCAGTAGCTGGGATTACAGGCATGCGCCACCACACCCAGCTACTTTTGTATCTTTAGTAGAGACAGGTTTCTCCATGTTGGTCAGGCTGGTCTCGAACTCCCGACCTCAGGTGATCCACCCGCCTCGGCCTCACAAAGTGCTGGGATTACAGGCATGAGCCACCACACCTGGCCCCCTGGTGTTCTTATAAAAGGAGAAGTTTGGACACAGAGACAGACATACACGAGTGGGGCCCTCAGAGAAGACAGCAGATGCGCGGGAAGGAGCACCCTGAGCATGGCTAAAGCACAAAGTTGCAGGCAAAAAAGAGTAAAAGTTGAGCTTGGAGGGTGAGCAGGAGCCACGCTGCACTGGGCCCCATATTCTTGCTAAGGAGTGAGGACATTAGCTGAGAGTTATTCCAGAGGCACCAAAGATGTTAAGCTTTAATGTTTAATGTCAAATGTTAAGGATTGACATGGTCAAAATTTAATATTGGTTAAGGGCAGTGGCCGGTAGGACAAGGGATAGATTTGAGAAAGCCCATCAGATGGTTGCTGTGATAGGCTTGGCCAGAGGCAACAAAGGCCTGTGTGATGGCTATTGAAGAAGGGGAGAGGCTTCAGTGAGGATGGGACAGAGCAAACTCTTGAGGCTTGTTGAATGTGGGAACCGAGGGAGAAGACAACTTAGCACAATGGCCGGGATTCTGGCTTGGGGGCGTCTGGGAAATACAGATAGAGGCCATAGGCATGGGGGCAGATTTACAGGCAAAACAGGTGAAACAGGGCCGGGCGCGGTGGTTCACGCCTGTAATCCCAGCACTTTGGGAGGCCAAGGTGGGCGGATCACCTGAGGTCGGGAGTTCGAGACCAGCCTGACCAACATGGAGAAACCCCATCTCTACTAAAAATACAAAATTAGCTGGGCGTGGTGGCGCATGCCTGTAATCCCAGCTACTCGGGAGGCTGAGGCAGGAAAATCACTTGAACCTGGGAGGCGGAGGTTGTGGTGAGCCAAGATTGTGCCATTGCACTCCAGCCTGGGGAATAAGAGTGAAACTCCGTCTCAAAAACAAACAAACAAACAACAACAACAACAACAACAAACAGGTGAAAAGGGGTAAGTTCAGCTTTGCACGTGTTGACTTTGAGGTTCCTATGAGATACCTGGGAGACTTCCAACCAGAAATTGGACACTCACATCTGAAGTTCCAGGGGACATAGATGTTGATGACTTTGGCTTGGGAATAGGAGTTGAAATGCTTGAAATGCTATGAGTGAGAAGGCTGTGGATGGAAGACAGAGACAGCAACACTCAGAATACTTGAAAGAGGAAATCTCCAGGAATCGTTGGAAAGGTGGGAAGAGAATCACAGAGCTGGGATAATAGAGTGTTTCTAGAAGGAGCGTGTGTTAGTCTGCTCAGGCTGCCATAGCAAATACAAGACTGGGTGCCTTCCACGAGGCATTGATTTTCTCACAGTTCTGGAGGCTGGAAGTCCATGATCCAGAAATTGGCAGGTGTGGTTTCTCCTGAGGCCTCTCCTTGGCTTCCAGATGTTCACCTTCTTGCTGTGTCCTCATGTGGCCTTGCCTCTGTGCACGCATCCCTGGTCTGTCTCTCTCTCTCTCTCTCTCTTCCCACCCCCACCTCCTTAGAAGGGCATCAGTCCTATTGGATTAGGGCCCTGCCTTTATGATCTGATTTAACTTTCATTATCTCCTTAAAGATCCTGTCTCCAAATACAGTCACATGGGAGGTCAGCGCTTCAACACATGAATTGGGGTGGGTAGCAGGGGACACACAATTTCTACCATGACAGACAGAGAGAGCCCAGAGAAATAAATGAAAAATGTCCATTATATTTTGCCACAAGGGAGCTCCTGGTGAAGCTAGAGAGCAATTTCAATGAGGCAGTGGGAGAAGAATCCAGAATGTGGGGGAGCAAGATGCACTGAACAGTGCTTAAATATGGGAGCAGCAATTTCTATTTCGGTCAGTTTCGATTTCAGCATTTTCATTAAATTTGGGTAAGTTGGGATAAGAAGGGAAAGAGAGAAGAGACTCACGCTGCAACTGTGTGGGATTGATCTAGGGCAGTACTGGCATGGTTTACTGTCATTGATGGGGGCTCTGTGGAATAGAGTTTGATGGGGAATTTCTGGGGGTGTCTCCTAGCTGAGTGACATGTAGTCCTTCTAAGGGCAGCACAGACATTTCTAGCTCTGCACTGTGAGTATCTGTCCAACCAATGAAATGGATTTCTGTGTACCCAAGGAGGTGTCCCTTGAGGCCAGTGGAAATCAAAGACCAGTCTTAACAGGGACTTGCTACAACCTGCCTTGCAGGCAGATTTGTGCCAGAGGGTAAGGAAGTGCGGGTGCTCATGCCTGAGTAAAAATGATAGCAGTTTTAGGAACAAAGAGCCTCACATTTTGCATAAAGTAACACAGTGGGGCCAGCAAGACATTTGACATGTTAAAAAGGAATATGTGGAGAAAGAGCCAAGCACAGATGGCAAAGACAAGAGTTAGGGGTTGTCATGGAAGGTTTAAGGAAGGAAGGAGATGGCTCTGCCATGGAGCCTCGTCACTCACAAGGGCTGTGGAAGTGCTGAACCAGGCAGTGCGCTGAACAAGTAATTGTGAGCACGTTGGCCGGAGTGTTACATTCAGAGGGAAGAGAACTGGGACAGCAGGGAAATTTCTGTGAAAACTTGCCAACAATTTTGAATGATAAACTTACACTCAAAAGCCTTGGCATTTGCTCTGATTTTTCAAGGGAGGTTTGAAAAAACAAAAAGCACATGTTTTAGAGAAAAATAATGACCGATCGTAGAACATAGTGTTTCTATTATGGTCCAGAAGTAAAGCATCAACGTTCGCTGTAGAAAGCCTCAACATCCCTGAGACGTAAGAAAAATACTTATTTCAAAAGTGAAGAGAATGCTCATTTGCTCCTTTAACATCAGTGACATTGTTCATGCTCAATGCATCCCACAAAAGCAGAAAGCTGATCAGATTGTTTTAGGCATAAATACTAAAGTGACTGGAAAATGTTAAAGCCTTTTTTTTTTTAAGACGGAGTCTTGCTCTGTCACCCAGGCTGGAGTGCAGTGGTGCCATCCCGGCTCACTGCAACCTCCGCCTCCCAGGTTCAAGTGATTCTCCTGCCTCAGCCTCCTGAGTAGCTGGGACTACAGGCACCCGCCCCCACGTCCAGTTAATTTTTTTGTATTTTTAGTAGAGATGGGGTTTCACCGTGTTAGCCAGGATGGTCTCTATCTCCTGACCTTGTGATCCACCCGCCTCGGCCTCCCAAAGTGCTGGGATTACAGGCATGAGCCACCATGCCCGGCCAAGCCTTTTTTTAAAAGAAACTCTGGCTGTGTTTGCTTCTCAGCCTTGACAATTCTTTGGGCTCAATGCTTACTTTCTGTCACACAGTGTTGGTTTTTTTTTTGGGGGGGGGGTTTAATAATTAATTTTTATTTTTATTTCAATAGTTTTTGGGGTACAGGTGGTTTTTGGTTACATGGATAAGTTCTTTAGTGGTGATTTCTGAGGTTTTAGTGCACCCATCACCCAAGCAGTGTACACTGTATCCAATGTGTTGTCTTTGATCCCTCACCTGAGAGAGAAGGTTGGGAAGGGGGGTGAGGGATAAATGAGTCCATTATATAATTCTTATGTATTTGCATTTTCATAGCTTAGCCCCCACTTATAACTGAGAACATACAATATTTCGTTTTCCATTCCTAAGTTACTTCACTTAGTTAGAATAATGGCCTCCAGCTCCATCCAAGTTGCTGCAAAAGATATTATTTCATTCCTTTTTATGGCTGAGTAGTATTCCATGGTGTACATATACCACATTTTCTTTATCCACTCACTTGTTGATGGGCACTTAGGTTGGTTCCATATCTCTGCAATTGTGAATTGTGCTGCTATAAATATGTGTTTGTATGCCGTCACACAGTTTTTGATGAAAGATGTTATTTAATGCTCTTGATTACCAATCTATTTCACCAGATATGATTCCAATTGACTTTTGGTTGTTAATTCCACCCACAAAGAAATTGAATTTGCCACTATTGGTAACATTCAAAAGAATGTAATGAACGAGGGCTCCTTGGAGAAATGGCTGATTCTAGGGCTGGAGCAAGGGAAATACAACATGAGCTTGGAATATCTTGTAGTGCCAGGAGGTGAGGAAGTGCTCAAAAATCAAAGGGAAGGAAGCATGTCAAAAAGAAACAGGAATCAGCCTGAAAGAGCTCCCAATGGCCAAAGCCGCAACAGTTTGAGCAACAACATAAATAATGCTGTATTGGATTATAACCCAAACTATAAAATAAATATCTATGACTCCATACTGATATAAATAAATGATCAAGTAAATAAAATAATGGGGGAAAAGAGACACATCTTCCTTAAAGAAGAATTTGAAATAATACATGTAAATATTCACCCCTCTAGGGGGTGGCACTCAATCCCTCCCACACCTTAAGGGTAGGCTAGACTTAGTGACTTACTTCCAAAGACTAGAGAAAGGGAGAAATAGAAGCTTTGCAATTGAGAAACCTGGGAAACTCCACCTTAAATGAGTGATGGTTAAGGTAAACTCTTCCTTAACTGAGGTCAATACCATAAGTAATATCATCTGGCTATCATGTACTCCCTGATATGATGTGATGAAAAGGACACTTCGCCTCTATGGCATTCTTAACAAAAATCCATAACCCAAGTTTATTCATGATGAAAGCAACAGGCAAACCCAGACGGGGGAACCTTCAATAGGATACTGGGCTAGTTCTCCTCAAGACTCTCAAGGTCATGAAAAGCAAGAAAAGACTGACCAATTGCTTCAAACCACAGGAGACTGTAAAGACATAACAACTAAATGCAATTGAGTACCCTGAGTTGGATCCTGGAACAGAAAGAGGACATTAAGGAAAAAACTAGCGACACCCAAGTAAAGTCTGGAGTTTAGTTAATAGTAGTAACCCAATGCCACTTCCTTCATTTTGACAAATGTAATGGATTATATAAGATGCTAACAATGGGAGAAACTGGATGAGGGGTATTTGGGGACTCTCTATACTATCTTTGTAACTTTTCTGTGAATCTTCAATTATTGCAAAATAAAAAGTTGATTTTTGTTAAAAAAAAAAAAAACATGATGAATTCCGTGGGCAAAACGGAATTCCACAAAACCATTTTGAAAAATGGTAGTGACACTAGAACATGTGTTCAGTCTCTCAAGGGGCCAAAATCAATTCTGATTTTGTTTTGTTTTGTTCTGTTTTTTGTTTTTTATTTTCAGTGAGGAATCTGTCCCTTGGTGGTGGGGGGCAGTGGGGGCAACTTGTCCATAGCTGCTTAATGCAGATCAAGGTTGAGAACCAGACCCCTTGACTCTATCCAATAGTACAATCGCACAGCCACCACCATGCAATAGCTAATGCTTCTGTAGCACCCACTTTGTACAGCTTGTCCTAAGTGTCTTGCATATATTAACTCTTTAATCATAGCATTGATCCTATGTCTTAGTCAATTTTCTGTTGCTGTAACTGGATACCTGAGACTGGGCAATTTATAAAAAAATTTATTTCTTACAGTTCTGGAGGCTGGGAAGTCCAAGGCCGAAGGGCTGCAACTAGTGAGAGTCTTCTGCTGGTGGGCACTTTCTGTAGAGTCCTGAGGTGGTGCAGGGCATCACATGGCAAGGGGCTCACAAGAGACAGCCAACTTGCTCTCCTACAACTAACCCATTCCAGTGATAAATCACTAATCTATTAACCCATTAACTGGGGAATGGGTTAATTCCTTCATGAGGGTAGAGCCCTCATGACTCAATCACCTCTTAAAGGACTCCCACCCCAACACTGTCACATTGGGGATTAAGTTTTAATATGAGTTTCAAAAGGGACAAAAATTCAAGCAATACCACCTTATTACCTCAAATCCCTGTTTTGTGGATGGTTCCTGATTTGATGTGTATTTCACTGCACCATGCTAAACGTCAAGCATAGAAAGAGAGTGGGCTTCATCCTCCCCTCTGGAGTTGGTACTGGTGGCCCTTGATAGCCCTTCATCTTTGGGGCACTTGACTTAGCAAGAAGCAAACAAGAGGTACAACTGGTAAGATTTGTAAATGGACTAGATGCAGGAGAGTGTGGTTCAGGATGATGCTCAGGTTGGCGCTTGGGCAAAGTGGAGTCTGTGATGCCCTTCATCATACAAGAGGGAGCACAGGAAGACCTGGTCTTGGGGAATGAGCTCATTGGCTCTGGACATAACGAATTGAATGTGGATCTCCTCTGGGTTTGATAAACCTGCCTGATGCTCCAGGGAATATTCTGTTCTAGAGATACAGTTTTGGGGTCAACAACTCATGTTGACAATCTATGTGCTTTTTGAAGACTCACAGGTTATGTCAAGACTCCATAAACCCCTGGCACAGCATTCCCACAATCAAGAGCCCCCACCCCGACCCCCAAGTCATCCTAGTTGTCTCTCTGATTCCTTTGTGAAAATCTATGTTAGGAGATCACCGGATCATCAGCTTGGCCCCAGGATCTGTGTTCCTTGGAGTGGGCCTGTCAATCACTCCACATGATCAGATGTGGATTCCTTTCCTCCCTTTCGTAAGGGTCCCAAAGTTTCCACCCAAAAGGTCACATCCTACCATCTTCTACTCTGGATGTCCCAAGACGTCACAGAGTTGAATCCCCCATTGTGGCCCCATGTCAGGTCCTGATTCATCAGGCGTTAAGCCCCGGTGACAGCAAAAGAGGGCCCTTAACTAGTATACTGGGTTGAATAGTGTCTCCTCCAAAATTCATGTCTGCTGGGACCTCAGAAGGTAAGCTTATTTGAAAATAGAGTTATTGCAAGTGTAATTAGTTAAGGTGAGTTCATACTGGGTTGGGGTGGATCCCTAACTAGATCCAGTGACTTGTGTCCTTAAAGAAGGACATGTGAAGACACACACAGGGAATAACACCATGTAAAGATGGCGGCAGAGAATGGAGGAATGCTCCTATGGCCAAAGAATGCCAAGGATTGCTGGGAGCCACCAGAAACAGGAAGATGCAAGGAAAGTTCCTCCCCTACTGCCTTCAGAGAGAGAGTGGCCCTGCTGACACCTTGATTTCAGACTTCTTGTCTCTAGAATTGTGGGAGAATACATTCCTGTTGTAAGACATCAAGTTTGTGATAATTTGTTATAATAGCCCTAGGAAACAAATGCAGCCAGGCAGACATGAGTGAGAAGACATCCCACCACTCCTGTAAGACACTGAATACATAAATGGACGACGGCCAGATCACACACAGCAATAGAACTCAGGCCCTCAGCCTCTGCAATAACCGATCCATGAAGCCAAACCTCTGCAGCTGTGGGCCCAGAGTGGTCAGGACTTGGTCAACGACTGCCAGCTTTCCTACTTTTGCCCTGATTTTCATCTCAGAAAAAAAGTCAAATATTTCGCCAAAACCAAAATCACATAAAATGTCTGATATGGTTTGGGTCTGTGTCCTAGCCTAAATCTCATGTCAAATTATAAGCTCCAGTGTTAGAAGCGGGGCCCAGTGGGAGGTGGTTGGATCATGGGGGAGGGTTTCCCCTTTGGTGCTGTTCTCATGATAGTGAGTGAATTATCACTAGATCTGGCTGTTTAAAAGTGTGTAGCAGCTCTCCCATTGCTCTCTTCCTCCTACTCCAGTCATGAAAGACAAGCCTGCTTCCTCTTCACCTTCCACCATGATTGTCAGTTTCCCGAGGCTTCCCCAGAAGCTGAGCAGATGCCAGAATCATGCTTCCTGGACAGCCTGTGGAACCACGAGCCACTTAAACCTCTTTTCTTTATAAATTACCCAGTCTCAGGTAGTTCTTTATAGCAGTGTGAGAATGAACTAATACAATGTCCTACTGCTAATTAGGCCACCTCCAGTTTCCCTGTGCCAACAACCTCCAGTCAGATCCTAGTTGAAGCCTTCCCTTTTCCCCCAATGACACTTTCCCACTCCTCTGCCTGCCTTTGAGTCTCTGCCCCATGCAAGTGATGGTGGCCAACTCCCTTGCTACAGCAAGCTCTGAATAAACAGCCTGTTTGTTCTCCGTGAAGGGGCTTCATTATTTCCACACCTGGGTTTGTGGGTATATCAGTTTACCAGGGTTGCCATAACAAAACACCACAGACTGAGTGGCTTAAACAACAGAAATGTATTTTCTCACAGTTCTGGAGACCAGTAGTCCAAGATTAAGGTGTTGACAGGTTCGGTTTCTCCAGAGGCCTCTCTCTTTGGCTGGCAGACGGCTGCCTTCTCACAGTGTCCTCACATGGTCTTTCCTCTGTGTGCCTGAATCCCTGGTGTGTCTTTTTGTGTGTCCCAATTTCCCCTTCTTATAAGGACACCAGTCACACTGGATTAGGGCCCACCTTAATCACTTAATCACCTCTTTAAAAGCCCTAGCTCCAAATGCAGACACATTCTGAAGTACTGGGGGACAGGCTTCCACATGAATTTGGGGGGCATAATTCAGCCCATAGCAGTGGAGAAGTGAGCAGGTTAGCTGGGGTGAGACATAGCTGTGTGAACATCATCTTGATTAGCTACCCATCTCCTGTGAAAATGCCTAATTAACCAACTATAGCTTTGAGATGGTTTTGCACAACACAGCTGGAAGCTTGGGCTGACAAGGCATGAAAGTGAGGCTAACACAGTACTTCAGTCAGGATTTACTTTGACTTTACAGAGCAGTTTGGGCCTCAGTACACTGGCCTCATAAACAGCTGTGTGGGTGGAGAGAGTGGCAGGGTACCTGTTCTGGCTTATTTGATAGTCACCTTATCTCCTTGCCAAATCCCTGTAAGGTCACCAAAAGAAAACAATCAAATAGACACACATGCGTTTGACAACAGGGGCAATGGCCTCACCGTGCAACCGGGGTTTGTGATTCCTTGCTTTCAGGGTGGTGAGTGAGTGGATCCATGGTAGGAGGAGGCAATGCTGTAAAGGCTATTTGTACCCAAAGTTAGAGCTCTATTTGTTTTCCAGGCCCTCTATTTTTTTGTTTATTGTGTATTTGAGAGTTTACACTGTGGATTAAGGAAGTATTTTCCTTTCCTTGAACTGCCCTCCCAGAAATCCACTAATCTGGTTCATCTAACTCCCCTTAACATTTATTATCAACTCAATTCATCCATCCATCCATCCATTCATTTGCCCACCCATCCATCCATTCATCACCTACCCATTCATCCATCATCTACCCATTCATCCCACCAACCATCTATCATCTACTCATCTATCCTTCCATCCAGCCATCTAACCATCTATCCATTCACCTACCCATCCATCCATTCATTGTCTATCCATCCTGCCATTCATCTATTCACCATCTACCCATCCATCTATACATGCATCTACCCATTCACCCATTCACCATCCATCCATCCATCCATCATCTACTCATTCATCCACGTGGTTGGATCACTGGGTATAGTTAAAAAGATATGTAAGACAGTGTCCCAGAGCCCTGGGAGAAACAGTAATGTAACAATTATTACACGTAATCATTGCTGCTAGGAGTACTCAGAGGAGGGCAAGACAAACCAAGCTTAGGAAGGTGAAAAGAGCACTCACATACACCCTCTTCATTCAAACACTCCTCACAAATCAATTTCCTTCTTCCTACTATGGCCATCACCATGTCCACCCTTTCTGTTGTGCAAAATTTTGCAAAAGGGACTGAGTAGACCTCAGACATCATGACACCCCAAGCACCCCAGATCCTCTTTTAATTCTGGGTTCTTTGTCCAGGTTCCTGGGAGGAGAACTGAGCTTGAAGGCAGAGGCTGTAACTGACAAGTTGTGAGTTCTTCAATGCATCATTTCTCCATTCTGGTCTCAATTGCATCACCTGCTTATTAAAATGATTCCCTGAATGCTTAGAGGACAATAAGGATTGTACTGACAAAATTCAACTGATTTTGTATCTGGGATACATAATATATTAGTTTTAGGTAAAAATGCTTTGTTTTGTTTTGTTTTGTTTTAAAAGTAGTAGTGAGGCTGGGTGGGTTAGCTCACACCTATAATCCCAACACTTTGGGAGGCTGTGGGCAGATCACCTGAGGTCAGGAGCCTGGCCAACATGGTGAAACCCTATCTCTACTAAAAATACAAAAATTAGCTGGGCATGGTGGTGCACACCTGTAGTCCCAGCTACTTGAGAGGCTGAGGCACAAGAATCGCTTGAACCTGGGAAGTGGAGGTTGCAGTGAGCCAAGATCGCGCCACTGCACTCCAGCCTGGGTGACAGAGGGATACTCTGTCTCAAAAAAAAAAAAAAAAAAGTAGCAGTGAGTTGTGAAAAGGATGCTCCAACAAGTTGCATTGTGCTTAGCCTGAGAATCTGAAAATCCAAAATTTCTTCATTCAAACTTCTGGAGATCTAAGCCCAAGGCTGGGTGACCACCATTGTTCCTGTGATTCTCTGAGTTGGCCTAATGCTTTGAACGTGAGAATGGCTCAGATAATTCAAGGGGCTCTGGGTGGTAAGGACTCTGAATGGCTCTTTGAAATTCTCTGACTCAGATGACATGATTCATCTTTCACTGGCGGGGACACTCGTCCATCCCAATGGCCCGCACGTCACCCAGTTGTGAGTAATGGTAATGATCTGTCTACAAGCATCATCCAGCTTCACATCTGCTCCAGATTTAGACTTGTTTCCTGAGACTTTGAGTAAGCTCTGTCTTTTTATAAGCAATTAAGAGCCCATTTTTGAGAGGCTATTCACAAAAGAGAAAAGGGAAACAGCTTGAATGGAAAACAGCTTGGGGACTAGGGCCATGTTCCATTCTGCACAGATGAAGACAGGATTGAATCTAAAGGTGGGGAACAAATAGTAATGACAGACTCGAGACCAGGATGGCTCTCCTGTAGCACTGCCATTCCTGTGGCTGGCAACCAACCCTGGAAATCTACAAAAAGCAACGAAGGAAGGAGTGGCAAAGAAAAGAGCCAGGGTCTCTCCCCACCTCCAAGTTCCCTTAGATTGAATCATTTTGCAAAACTCTTAACAAATTTGTTACCATTAGCCACAGGCCCTTCTGAGAGCCCACTGGCCCAGATGTCACAAAAGGAGCCCTCTCTGTCTTTCAAGTGGTGAGTTCCTAACATGAAAGTTGTGGTGTGTGATTGCAGAAGTCCTGATTGTGTCAACTGGGCATGATGGCTCACGCCTGTATTCCCAGCAATTTGGGAGGCTGAGGCAGGAGGATTGCTTGAGCCCAGGAGTTGGAAACCAGCCTGGGCAATATAGTGAGACCCCATCTCTACAAAAAACTTAAAAAATTAGCCTAGCATGGTGGCATGTGCCTGTAGTCCCAACTACTTGGGAGGCTGAAGTGAGAGGATCACTTGAGCCCAGGAGGTCGAGGCTGCAGTGAGCCATGATTGTACCACTGTACTCCAGCATAAGTAACAGAGTGAGACTCTGTCTCAAAAAACAAACAAAAACTAAAAACAAAAACAATCTATAAAACCCACAAAACTAATCTATAAAATAGAGAAAATATGACACTTCACGGAGTTTTTGTGAAGATTAAATCAGGGGTTAGCAAAATAACTACCTGAGGGCCAAAATCTGCTATGGCCTGTTTTTGTAGGTCCACCAGATAAGAACAGTTTTCATATTTTCAAAGGGTTATAGCAAAAACAAAAACTAAACTAAACTTAAAAACAATGCAGAGTAATACGCAACAGACTAATATGCAACAGTCATCTCCTAAGCCTAAAATATTTATTTTCTGGTCCTTAACAGAAAAAGTTTGCAGACCTCTGGATTAAAGGAAGAAAGAAACTTGAAAATAATTGGCACACTGAGCTTAAAGCACAAGAAACACTTAGAAAAGGTGGAATTTCAGGCTGGGCACAGAGGCTCACGCCTGTAATCCTAGCACTTTGAGAGACCAAGGCAGGCGGATTGCCTGAGCTCAGGAGTTCAAGACCAGCCTAGGCAACATGGTGAAACCCCGTCTCTACTAAAATACAAAAAATTAGCTGGGTGTGGCGGCGGATGCCTGTAGTTCCAGCTACTCAGGAGATTGAAGCAGAATTGCTTGAACCCAGGAGGCAGAGGTTGCAGTGAGCCGAGATCGCGCCACTGCACTCCAGCCTGGGTGACAGAGTGAGACTCTGCTTCGAAAAGGAAAGAAAAGAAAAGGAGAGGAGAGGAGAGGGTGGAATTTCACTCCAAAAAAGAGAAATTTTCTGGGAGTGATTTAGTCAGAAAAGGATAAATGGAAATTTGGCATATGGGGCAAAACATATGAGATTCCTAGAAGATGTAAATTTTACTATCTGACCTTTTCCCCGTGTTAGTCGGCCTGGGCTACTGTAATGAAATACCTCACCGGGATCTAAGCAACAGACATTTATATCCTCCCAGTTCTGGAGGATGGAAGTCTGAGATCAAGGTTTTAGCAGAGCTGGTTCGTCTTGAAGCTTCACTCCTGAGGCTGCCTTCTCTGTGTCCTCACCTGGTCTTTCCTCCGTCTGGTGTCCCATTGTGTATCCATATCTCACATTTTTTTTTGTTTTTGTTTTTTTGTTTTTTTTGAGATGGAGTCTCGCACTGTCGCCCAGGCTGGAGTGCCAGTGGCGCGATCTTGGCTCACTGCAACCTCTGCCTCCCAGCTTCAAGCGATTCTCCTGCCTCAGCCTCCCAAGTAGCTGGGATTACAGGCACCTGCCACCACGCCCAGCTAATTTTTTGTATTTTTAGTAGAGACGGGGTTCCACTATGTTGGCCAGGCTGGTCTCAAACACCTGACCTCATGATCCGCCCACCTCAGCCTCTCAAAGTGCTGGGATTACAGGCATGAGCCACCACGCCCAGCCCAGACCTCACATTTTTATAAGGGCACTTGTCAGATTTGATTAGGTTCCTCCCTAAAGGCTTCATTTTAACTTACTCACCTCTTTAAATGCCCTATCTCTAAGTAGTCACATTCTGAGGTACTGGGGCTGAGGGTTTCAACATATGAATTTGTGGAGGAAAGAATTCAGCCCAAAACACTCTCCTTAAATATTAACATTTACCAATGCTAATTCTTTTATTTTAAAAAAGTAACTCTTTACTAAGAGGTGCTATAATTGTGTGACAATGGGAAAAGGCTAGTCCAGTTTTGGGGTACCTTTAAATGGTAGGCATCTCGGCCAGGCACGGTGGCTCATGCCTGTAATCCTGGAACTTTGGGAGTCCAAGGCGGGCATATCACTTGAGGTCAGGAGTCCAAGACCGGCCTGGCCAACACGGTGAAACCCTCGTCTCTACTAAAAATACAAACATTAGCTGGGCATGGTGGCATGTGCCTATAGTCTCAGCTACTCAGGAGGCTGAGGCACAAGAATCGCTTGAACCCAGGAGGTGGAGGTTGCAGTGAACCGAGATTGCGCCACTGCATTCCAGCCTGGGTGACAGAGGGAGACTCCATCTCAAAACAAAAGCAAAAACAAAAACAAAGAACAAATAAATGGCAGGCAGCTGTACCTTCCCTAAGATGGGAGAAACATTAGCTGCATCCCAAGTAGCCCTATGCTCCTGTATTTCCCAGCCTCTTGCTCACAGACAAGGCAGTGTGACCAGTTCCAGTCAATGGGCTGTGGGAGAAGTGATGAGTCCCCTCATAGAATGTTTAAGGGCTGGTGGAAAACTCTCCAGCCGTGCCTTCCTGTGCTGGAGCAGCCAAAGACGTTTCATTTTGAGGGGACACAGCCACAAGTTGGATGTAGCCTGGATCCCTGAGTCACCATATGGAAGACAGCCGTTTTGTGGTCAGCCCAGCCTCATAAAAATATTTTAAGAAATAAACCTTTATTGGGCAAGTCACAGAGATTTGGAATTAATTTGTGATCATAGCAAAGCCTAATCTTCTAGCATACTGGTTGCCAGAGGAGGTGAGCACTGAACACTGATGAAGGAGTCAGGGGAAGGCATTCTCATCTCAGATCTGCCAAGAACTTCACTGCCCTACTTTCGGCAAGAAGACTTGTTCCCAATATAGGCTTGCAATTTGCCCTTTCCAGCTGGCTATGGTAACAAGACTAGAAAGAACACATTTTTAAAAAAAATTATAGAGTTTAAATGTAAACCAAAGCCTTTGCTTTCAAAATTGCTAATAGCCCATCTTCCAAGTAGGAAATACAAAGAGCTGAGGCCCTGAAGTCAGACCCATTTATTTTTTTCACCTGTAAATGATACAGCTTCCTGTGCCATCTTTAAGTTTTAAACCACTCAACTCCAATTGATCCTCAAGTTTGCTCCACATAAAGCTATTCTATCCTTCCAAAATTGGTTGCCCCAAATGCCTCATTATTGGAACACCACCAGCTCAGATGTGGATACATGTGGAGGGGGACTGCAAATCCTGAAATGCTCCTCACCTTCTCTTCCAAAGCCTCCTCAGCTTTCTCCCCCAACCTCAGTCCCTTAGTGCCCACAGACGTCAACTCCTAGAGATAACTGTGTGTCACAAAAACATGTCCACAGAGAAGAAGTACAAATATATATCCTATTTGTCTTTGCAACCAGATGTCTGGAAAGCTCCCTTAACAGAAAAGCTGCCACAAATAATATACTCATTTACTACTCAGGAAATGCACTCCCTTCATTGAAAAGTGATGACATGAAATTGAACCAACTCCCAGTACCGCTCTGAATTATTCTTACTGTGCCTGTAGCTCACAGAAGACCCCACAAAGAAAATAAATACACTAACCAACAGGCTTCCAGACTCCCCCAAAAGATAGCAGTTTTGCATTCTTTCTGAATTTGCTTCAGTGTATGATATGGCTCTATAGGAAATGTTTTATTGATTTAATCTAGTAAAACCCAATAGCCTCTTAATACCTAAAGTAGATAACAAGGCTATCCAGGGGTTTGCTGCTTACTTGGGAAGTCAACTGAGAAAGACAGAGTTCCCAAAGAAAGCTGTCTTTCCCCAGCTTCAAGAGTGGATGGGACAAACAGCATAAGGTTCAGGAAGCTGCACAGTTTTGAAAAGGACTTAAAAATGCAAGACCTAGTCCCTGCAGGAACTTCAGAAATACCTGTTGTGATGACGGCTTGATCTGTTGTTGACATCCCCCTCTGACCATGGCAGCCACTCTCTGATTTCTCTGTGTTCTTTGAGGGAGAAACTCTGCTCCAGACCAGCTCAAATGCCAGCTCATCTGGGGACTCTGGGGTGTCCTTAAACCATCTGGGTCCCTAGTTTTCCCTTCTTCAGAAAGGCTGGGGCTGAGCCAGAGAATCTTAGGTCCTTTTCTATTCTAAAGTGTTGGGATTCTTACAAGAAAACATTGTCATCAAAACTAGATACTTGTTCTTTTCCCCGGAATCCGACTACTGGGGCTTTGCACAGTGAACAGTGAGCTTCTCCACTTTCTAGCTATGTCACCCTCTAAGGCTTCGTCCCCTCACTTCCCAGGGGAAACAAGGTGGTATATATGAAAAACGTTTTGTGAACAGTTATGAAGGAAGCAGTAACTGGGACAATTTCAAGAGGTCATCTAGATCCCACCCTCCCATTCCATCCCATCATCCCTCTTCCCCTATCCATGACCAAGGCCTCCTACAAGGACAAAATCTAGAAGTCACGTTCATAACTGCCATTCTTTGTGTGCCATTTTCAGAGTCTCCAAGGAAGATCCTAATATCCCCAAATGAAAAAGGTTGATTCTTCTTGAACTGCCACCTGCAGTGTGTATGTCAGAAAGACTTTTGTAGGCACACCTATTGCAGGTAAAATAAGGCAGGGAAACTGGCCCAGAAAATGCCCCCCAATGCAATTCCCGCTTGTTTCCAGTCAGATGCTAGGTCAAGAGCTTTACATAAGGCCAGGCACAGTGGCTCACGCCTGTAATCTCAGCACTTTGGGAGGCCAAGGTGGGCAGATCGTTGGAGCCCAGGAGTTTGAGATCAGCCTGAGCAACATGGCGAAACCCCATTTCTACAAAATACAAAAAAAATTAGCTAGGCATTGTGGTGCACAACTGTAGTCCCAGCTACTTGGGAGGCTGAGATGGGAGGATCACTTGAATCTGGAGAGGTTGAGGCTGCAGTGAACTGTGATTGTGCCACTGCACTCCAGCCTGGGTGACAGAGCAAGACCCTGTCTCAAAAAAAGAAAAAGAACTTCACATAAAAGATGGTACCTGTACTATTATTTGCAACGTACTTAGTTGTTTTAAGATTTATCAGCAAATAAAGAAGCAGTCGTAGTGAGGGAAAAGTGTATTTCACAGTCATTACAAAAGTACATATATCTAATAATGGTGACATAAATATAGTCCTTACTTATGACCAAATCATACAATTAAAATGGACATTTCCTCCTAGACTTCACACAATGACAGTCCAGTCAATTTCTGTCAGTAACTACAGGGTGACTGGAATCACAGGCACAGACTGAGGAAGACAGTCACGGTCGAACAGACAACATGCTTCGGACTTACCAAAGGGAGAGTCGAGCTTTCCATATAAATATAATAAAATAATAAAGAATCTAACATTTCTCCTTTCACTCGGTTTCATAGATTTGTCAGGTGCTCACACACACACACACACACAAATACAGCTGATCCCCTTTCATCACTCCCCCTCACCTCTCACTGGGTTTAGAATAAACCTGAGTTCAGAGTCCAGGTCGCCAATGGCAACGCGGTCAGTTAGCGGCACATGTGCAGCTGTTCTTGAAGCCTGCCAGGAATAAGAAGCACGTTCTCCACAAGCTAACGGCAAGGCGGAAGTACCCCTGCTCTCAAGGAAAATGCATCAGGGGTTCCAGCAAGTTCCCAATGCGCAGGTATACACCCTGCAAGCCTGCAAAGTGGAGCCGTTGCAGCTGGAAACCGTCTTTAGAAAAGGTACACTTCATGTCGAATGGAGAGATGGTCTTAGATGATTATTTTCTTCTCTCTGCTTATAAAGCTCTATTTTCTTTTTTTGGAGACAGGGTCTCACTTTGCCACCTAAGCTGGAGTGCAGTAGCATGATCTTGGCTCACTGCAGCCTCGACCTCCTAGGTTCAAGTGATCCTCCCACCTCAGTCCCCGAAGTAGCTGGGACTACAGGCACGTACCACCACACCCAGCTATTTTTTTTTGTATTTTTCGGTAGAGACGGGCTTTCACCATGTTGCCCAGGCTGCTCTCGAACTCCTGAGCTCAAGCGATCCACCTGCCTCGGCCTCCCAAAGTGCTGGGATTACAGGTGTGAGCCACCACACCTGGCCTAAAAGCTCTGTTTTCAATGGTAAGTTCTGGAACCCAGTCTGAAGCTATACAAAAAATAACACCAATGGCCAAGGGGTCTGACCTCATCCTAGAATGCCCTAGAGCCGTGGTGATCCCCTAGGGAAGAAACAGGCAGCTCCAGGTCTCACCAAGGTCAGCCAAATATCCATTCTGTCCCGCTCTGTCAGAGATGTGAGGGACTGAAGGATGTCACCACTGGTGAATGAGAGAATGATTCAGAACTGCCTCTCTGCCTTCTGGCAAGGCTGCCTGCCAGGGAAATAAAGGCTGGCTTTGCAATTCTAGATTTGTGTTTTGGGATCCTTGGACTGAGATGACTATCTGAGGTGGCCACAGAGGTGGTCTCTGGTCACACCTGCACCGGTCAAAAGTTGAAGACTCCAGGCCATTCTGTAACTGGTCTCCTACACTAACCCCTATCCAACCTGTGCTGATGGGTCTTCTTTTTCTGATTCTTCTCACCAATGACTGCACCCTGTCAAGTGCCAGCTGGATACAGTCAGACAACACGGCTGTCCACAAAACACACACAGGGGCACAGACACAATACTGGAGACACATCTTTGGTTCGATCCTTGGAGAAAGGTGTGAAAACACAACGTGGACTGAACCCTGTTTGAGGAGCTTGGCTTTCCTCGAAGAAGAAACTGGCCTGTATCTGAACAGGTTCTCTGCCAGGCAAGCCTGCTCCCAGCTCCCAGCAAACTCGCCGAGCTCTGAGCCGCACCAGTTCTGTGGGCAGCTTGAAATCAGCATCGCACAGAGATAATGCTGCCTTCTCGCCATCTGAGTTATGCTCTGAATTGTCACAATCATCTTTTCCCTCTTTCTACAGAACCAGCTGTAACCGTGTTCTATGCCTTCCAGAAGGATCAGGGCTATGCCTTAAACAACAGGATGAACACAGGGCCACCGAGACTTGCCCTGCCTGTGGGCCACAGCACTCAGCAAATCACCACAGTCAGCTTTTTTGCTCTCCACACTGAACCCTCCTGTGAAAACATGAGTTTGGTGGAATTGCTTCTCATCTCTCCATCCAAGTTTTAAAAAATTATGTTATTTCAATTTACCGACATCACATTTAAAAAAAATCTTTGGAAAAGATAATTCAATCATTAGCATGTTTCAACAACAACAACAACAAAAATCTATCAAAATCTTGCTTGGGAAATGAGTGTCTCCTTCAGTCTTTCTCTTCTGTTGGGGTCCCCACTGTTTGGTTTGATCTTGGTCCGAAGCTCCTCTCCATCTTCCTCTGAGGATCCTGGGCCTGCCCCCGGCTCCTGCTGGCCTTCAGGTAATCCCTGCTATGAAAGGCAGGGCTGCTACACTCCGCAGAGGAAACGTGGCCTGGATGAATGACTGTGATATTGTTCTCTCCCTGTAACTGTGGCCAACTGCTGTGAGAGGCACACATGTAGCACAGCGTGAAGAAAGATCTGGTAACAGTCCATAATCTGAGTGCCCCAGAAGGCTCATGCCCTGTTTTCCCCCCAAGCCTGGGGGAAGTGGGAAGTGGAAGGGGTTGGTGAGTACTTGGGAGGAAGGAAGATCTGAATGATAGGAATTGGCTGCCCCTGGAGCCAACCCTCCTAGCGATTCCAGCATCTCTGGGGGTCCCTAAGCGAGGTTGGGTTGTGCAGGCTTTGGGTCTGTGGATTCAGCTACAGGTGGGACTAAGGATGCTCCACGCGAGGCCTTGGAGTGCTCACACCCTGACAGATGTGTGGAGCTCTGTTCAGTTGCTGTTTTCTAGAGATACCCCAAACCCCGCTGGCCCAAGTTAGCACTGGGTCTTGACCCCATCGGCCATGTCAAAGGCAAGGTTCACAGGGGCTAGGGGCTGCAGTGGGGGCAGGCTGGCCTCCAGGGGCCTATCTGCAGATGGCTGCAGACTCTGATGGCGCTTCCTTAACATCTGTCCGATGCCCATCATAGGGAACCGGCCTCGGCTTTTCACACAATTGGGGCTCCCCAGAGGCTGCATGGGGCCATTGCTGGGAACCGGAGGTGGGCAACACAGGCCCTCCTCTTTTGGGGGGCTGTTCTTATCTTCGTGAGCAAAAGAGACCAGAGTTGGATGCAAAGGAGTATGGAGAGGCGACATGCTTCCGGATGGCAGACCCGGGGACAGCGTCCTCTCGCTGGAATTTCTGCGAGCCAAGCTGACCGGGGAGTTCAGAATCCTGTAGTGATGAGAGGGAGACAGCACTTCTACGTGGTCGTCGCGATCCACAGACTCGAAGGAGCGCACCATGTCCAGCATCAGGGGGTCTTCCTTGTGGGGGATGCCAGTGCTTCCGGGCCCTGGCTGATGGGGCTCCGGTTTCTTCACAATCCTCGGGGTCCTGGGCGGTGGCACGGGGATGAACTCCATGGAAGAAGAAGCCACACAATTGGAATCTGAGGTTTTGCGGAAAATATTGCGGCAGCCAAAGGAATCTGCACACCAAGAAAGCATAAACAATCATGAGGACGTCCGGACAGTGCTCACGGCCCTTCTCCTGCCTGCTGTGACCTCCAGCTTAACTGAGACAGTTCCCGCCAAGGTCAGAAGAAACCAACCGGCAAACAGCCTTGGCTACTTTGCAAAAGTCACCAGCAGCATGTCACTCTCCCCACAGAGGTCGGGCAGTCTTCCTAGGATGGAGGGACAGAGGGCTGGCGACAGGACGTCTCCTGGATTCCAATTTGCCTCATGGCCCCAGCCTAACATCGTCCCTGCTTTTGGTTGCTTAAAATTCTGGACCCTAGGCAGCGGTGGCTCACGCCTGTGATCCCAGCACTTTGGGAGGCCAAGGTGGGAGGACTGCTTGAGCCCAGGAATTCAAGACCAGCGTGAGCAATATGGCAAGACCCCGTCTCTAAAAAAATTTTAAAAAATTAGCAGGGTGTGGTGGCATGCACCTGTGGTCCTAACTACTTGGGAGGCTGAGGTGGGAGGATCACCTGAGCCTGGGAAGTGGAGGCTGCAGTGAGCCGTGATGGCACTACTGCACTGCAGCCTGGGTGACAGAGTGAGACTCTGTCTCAAAAAAAGAAAAAAAAGAAAAAAAAATTCTGGACCTTGCCAAAGGATCTTGGAATAAAAAAGGTACATGCACTCAACAGCACATCCATAAAACTCCCAGAAGCACACCAAGGTCCCTTGACTGAATTCCTGCCAATCTGGTCCTTGGACAGCCCACAGTGGAAGACATGTTTCCCTTGTGACATTTAAAAAATTTATTTATTGTGGTAAAAAACACGTAGCAGAAATGTTATCATCTTAACCATTTTTAAGTGTACAGTTCAGCAATAATAAGTATATTCACACTGTTGTAGAATCAATCTCCAGAACTGTCTTCCTGTTGCAAATCTAACACCCCATATACATCCCCATTCTCTGAAACCCCCAGCAACCACCATTTTACTGCCTGTCTCTATGAATCTAACCACTCTAGGGACCTCATATAAGTGGAATCACACAGTATCCGCCTTTAGGGACTGGCGTAATTCACTTAGCATAATGTCCTCCAGGTTCATCTGTGTTGGAGCATGTGCCAGGATTTCCTTCCCTTTTAAGGCTCCCTCGTGACTTTTGATCTGGATGGAACCTCATCCAATTCTGAACGGGGGAAGAATATCATCCATCCATACAGTTAAGGCAACCTGCCAGATCCCCATGGTTTCTGTCTCTGGTTGGCATAGACTAGAATCCAGGTTTGGAAACTGGGCCAGAAAAGAAAGGGGAAACCCCCTACAGATTTGGGGATGAGGGAAATAAAGCCAAGTTCATGCGGAATAAGCTCTGTCTTAGCTTCTTTCTTCTCCCATAACGTTTTATAGGCTCTGTGGAGGCCCAGCTGCAGGAGCAAGCTCCTGCCCACTGGGATCGATTTTGGGAGTGGCTGAGGGCACTGGGAAGCCTCCCTGCCTTGCAGAAATAAACACACAGGCACCGAAATGAAAGGCCGGCGCAGGCACCTGAGATGCATCAGCAGAAAGAAGTAAAACTTCATTAATGGCCAAGGTCTCCAGTGTTCCAGCTGCCACATGGACACTGCTGCCCCTCCCCGATCCACTGCATGCTCTGCCCCAGGGAAAGCAGGTTGCTTTGGGCAAAGTGGGTACAGTGGCTTCTCTCCGGGAGCAGCATGGGAGATAGAAGGACAGGAGGCAGGTTCAAGTCCCGCTCAGGGACTAACTGCCCGCTACACCTGAGTGTATCTCAGACAGCCACGGCCCTCTCTGAACCTGGTCTTTCATATTTTAGGAGATTGAACTCCAAGAAGTGTCTCATCCCCCTCAGTAATAAGAACCTCTCCTCTACTTCATGGCTCTGCTTCAGGACGCCCTCAGCTCCTGTGTCCCCTCTTGGCGTTTCTACCATGTGTTAAGCCTGTGCCCAGTAAGGTCTGCCTTTTGCATCTTTTAGCACTCGTCCCAGAGGAGGGAAACATATTTGTCAGTTATCTGTGATGGGCTGGATTCTGACTCAGGTGAGGGAGCTTATATATGCATCTCATCTCATCTACCCAACAGCTCCAACAGGTGGGAGGCCTTACAAATAATCCAGTGAAGATCCTCAGCACTAAAGGAACTTGGACCTCTGCAGGCAGTAGAGCTGGGATTTGAACTCAGGGAGATACCCGGTCTCTGCTCTGCACCCCATCTCTACTCCCACAATTCCTTACAGCCTCATCTCTGCCCCTGCAGTACCACACACCCTGATCTCTGCTCCTGCAATACTGTGCCTCCCAACCTCTGTTCTGACAATATCATCCACCCCAATTTCTGTTTCCGTAATACTTTGCACCCCATCTCTGTTTTCTCAAATTCTTCCTGCACAGATGGCTAATGCCACACAGCTTGGTCCTGGACTGTGCTCAGGCAACCTCAGGTCCATTAATCCTGCTTTTCTGTGGGCACAGGAATCATCTCTGCTCTAGGGCCCATTCGACCATCCCCTGTGAGGGCTACACAGCGGACACACAGCCCAACACGAGTGGCCTGAGAGAGTCCCCAGAGCTGACCCACCTTTGTCGGGGAAGCTGGACTTGGAGGCCTTCCGGTCCTTCAGGAGGGCTTTGGTGTTCTGAATCTGTGTCATAAGCGAGCCTGAGGGCTGTTTGTGCGAGGGCAGGTTCTTGTCCAACTTCTTGGAGAATGGTCGATGAAGAAAATCCCCTCTTTTTTCTTGTTCTTTGGGCTTTTTATCCTACAAATCAGAAGCAAACATATGCACTTAGACACATACTAGAAGACACAATGGGATTCCTCTTTGAAAAGTCATCCAAACTGATTAGAGAAACTCCACCTTTTCAATACTCTATGCTCTCAACTGTGTGTTGAATGAGGGAGGAGCTGTGGCCCAGCCAATGCTCCAGGAAGCCCATCTCCCTCTGCCTGGGCAGCGAGAGGCCTTCAATGGACCCCAGTTCCCTTTCACTGTGCTCTTCCAAGGCATTCCAGCAAGGGCAGGGCATTCCTAGGAGGTCAATTCTTCTGGAACAAGCCCAACAAACCAAGGTGAAGCAGAGCAGGACTTCTGGAAACCCACTGTCTACATTTAAAGATTGTGCCTGCAATAACGGCTTTGCAAAGGCAACTGGAAACATAACTGCTTCCACCTTCACATCAGGTTCTATTTGGGGCAGTCAAGCCAAGGAGGTGCCAACACAACATATACAACAAATCCAGAGAGCCCTGAGCGGTCCTGATGGGCTTCCAGCCCTTTCTACCCTAATCGTGTGAGCACTTACTTGCGTACTTAGTACTCGTGTGTATGAACGTGTGTATGAAGCTTTTTTTTTTTTTTTTTTTTTTTGAGGCAGGGTCTTGTGCTATCACCCAGGCTGGGGTGCAGTGGTGTCATCATATCTCACTGCAACCTCGAGCTCCTGGGCTCAAGTGATCCTCCCACCTCAGCCTCCTGAGTAGCTGGGACTACAGGTGTGCATCACCATGCCCAGCTATTTTTTAAAAAAAGATTTCTTGTAGAGATGGGGTCTCGTTATGTTATCCAGGCTGGTTTTGAACTCCTGCCTCAAGCAACCCTCCTGTCTCTGCTTCCCAAAATGCTGGGACTATAGATGTGAGCCAAAACGCTTGGCAGTGGCCATTCTTTTGGTTTAAATCTTGCCTTCGTTGTACTAGAATATAATCCATCTGATAGGAATGAATTTGACTATTTTATGTATCTTCAAGTCCACAGCCTCTGGCATAAAGCCAGATGCTTACAGAAAGCTTAATAAATAGTTATTAAAATGTTTTTTAAAAGGGCTGGTAGAAACTGAACTGAACTAAAATTAACTCAGTTCAAGCTTCTGGGAAGGGTGATGTCACTAAGAAGCAGCAGCAGTTCTTTTTCCAGCCCTAAAGCCTGTGTTTGGTGTTTACTATTAAAGCAACTCCACCTCTGACCTCACCGTGGGTGAGGAGGAAAAAAAGACTCTTCTTTTTCACATTTTTGCCCTCAACTTTAAGAGCATTTGCAAACCAAGAGAGCTCGTCTATTTTTTCATTCATGTTGTTGAGAAGCTTCTCAGGGAAATATCTCTCTACACTTTTGCAGCCCTTTCTAATAAGGATGTTCAAAGTCTGCAGATAAGAGTTCATGATGTCCAGTTTTTGAGTGGGAAAGACGACAGGGTAGATGTGGGAAGTGGGGATGCTGAGCCTCGTGGCAAGTGCCACTGTGAGGGGCTACAGCTCTCTAGGGCCCTGGCCTGTAGCTGATGTGGCTCCTCCCTAACAAAGGGGTGACATGGGAAGACAGGAGAGGCAAAGCTTCCTCAAACTCCCTCCTCAGCACCTTCACAGCTGCCACCAGCCTTTTTTGAGAATATGCAGGGTGCCAGACACTGCACTGAGGGCATGACCCACCACAAGGCAAATTCTGCTACCTCCTTTACATGTGAAGAAACAGCCTGCAGTGCTTATGTCATCCACCCATGAGCCCGGTGGAAACGCGGATTTTCCCGGCCCTGAAGTTGATGTTGTCAACCCTTGACTTGACACCACACTCTCAGAGCCTGCAGCAGGGTCAGGCGGTTCCAGAGATGGAAAGGCCCAGAGGCAGGAGCATGCCACAGTCCTAGGCTCCTGCAGTGGGATCTGAATGTTCCAGAGAAGGTTATGTGCTCCAGGACGTTATCTGGGATGCCATGAAGGGGAACGTGTCCTCCAGGTCACCTTGGTTGAAGCCAGCAAAGGACAATCACTATTTTCCACGGCTTTCCTCTCCCTTTGTGTGCATGACACACCAACAGGCCACCTTCTCCAAGGCAAAGGAGAACAAGCTTTTGCACACACGCTTACACACACAGAGACACACACCCATCCAGCAGCAAAGGCAATGTTACCGGCTTTCCTGAAAAATCTGGCACAATCTCCTTTTACTTGGTTCCCTTTCTCTACTTTTATGCTAAAGTCACCAGCTCTACCTGCTAACACCTTCTACAGGAAAAAGTAATCAAATGCACCTTTGTCATACATTTCCAAACAATATTTGGTAGAAAAGACAACACGGCAGTTCCTTCTGTTTTAGGATTGCTTTTTAAATCGATCAGCAAACATTTTTTTCAGGCTGCTCTGTGGCCCACAGCCTTGAGAGCTGCCGGTGGCTGTCTAGGTTTATTTTCATTCCTTTCTAACCCTCCTTGGGTTCTCAAAAGCTTAACAATCAAGATGCAAAACTTCTGCGGACCAGTATCGCCACCCAGTTAGGGTCTATGGGTACCTAGTGGTGTGTAATGCGTGGGGGTTTGCTGTGCAAAGAGACCAAGGTTGGCCTGTAAGACCAAATTTCTCCCGTCACTGACAAGGGGGCTATTTGGCAATGAGCAGAAAGCTGCTATGGGGGCAGAAAAAAGGAAAAATGCACCCCCAGACAGAAAATTCCAGGAAACCCTGCCAAGACCACCCTTATTAAACTTCATCCCAACATCCTGCACCCTGGTATGTCCTCCAAGAACCCCTAGCATATCCTTCTCCAGCTGAAAAGAATCAGTGATTTCATAGTAACTGGTGTCTAAGGAGAAATCAAGAAATTCACCCCACCTGCTCCCTGTCGGGGACAAACCTCAGAGTCAGTCCACGCAGAAGGGTCAACCGCCCAGAGAAAGCATGTTTATTTACAACTAGCCAATCTCCCTGCCCTCCAAGCACATGTTACCAAATGCAGCCAATCACCCAATTAGACTTTTTCATTTGCATGGCCTGTTTTCTCCAAAAGAAATTTCCTAGGGAGCAGGATGCTAAATTGCCTTACATAACAGAAACAGATCTTCAGAGGGACTATCACCTCCCCCTTCCACATGCAAGCTCCTCACACGGCAAGGCTGCCGCCTGCAGAGACTCCTGGCTTCCCTCCGATGCGCTCCAGCACCCACATAGACTTGAGGGTGGGCGATGGAATTCAAGCTCTCGGTTCGAAGCCCGCCCTCTCGCACCTTCATGGCACAGTTCCAAATCCCCCAAGGCAGATCAGAGAAAAGACCACATGAGGCCCCAGAGGCAAGCCATACACTAAACACCTTCTTGTTCTCTATCAACTATTTCCACCCACTGCGGATGTGCACGGACATTTGCAAAGTGGGACATTTTGAAAACGCAGCCCCATGAACAATCATTTACCCAGGATCCTTAATGTTGTATATTGTCCTGTGGAGGAGACGGAGATGCCTACAGGAGGGGGAAACCCATCCTTAGCCTCTGAGGTCTGAGCTCCAGAGAGCTGGTTCCCTTCAGAGTCTTCCCTGATGGCTGTGCAACTGGGGGTATGATGGCCAATGAAGAATGACCCCAGGCTTCTGTGTTCCAAAGACCCATAGCGCCCCCTTCTTTCCCGGCATGGCTGCCACAGGTGCTCCACCTGAGGATCCCAGCCATGGTCACAGCTCGGCAGTCCGGAAGTCTGGAGTCCATTCCTCGCTCTCTCCATAATGTGTTGGGTAACCTTGGGCAATTCACTTCTCCTCGAGGGAGGTGTTTTCCCACGTGTAACCAAAAGTGTGGATCCTTCCCAGCTCTGGGAGGATAACAATGAACACACATCACACTTGCTTTATCGCCTGAACAGCAAATGCATCCATTTAACAGGGACGGATGCTTGCTTTGCATCCTCATCACCCCAGGCCGGAGGATGGATGGCTGCCTGGGAAATCTGCCTGTTTCCACATGTGGCAGAGGAGCCCTGGGAGCTGAGGTAAGTTTTCTTTGAGTAACTCTATCAAGTCCAGTTCGACATGGGCTTTTCTGGAGCTTTCCTTCCCTCTGATGATTAATAAGCCTCACCAGGCTGTTTGGTCTGTCAGAACCAAGTGCTGACTGCTGCCACCTGGGATGGCCCAGGGCCCAGATGTCGTTGGCTGGTTGGTTTTGGTTCCTTGTCACCCATCACATAAGAAGAAACCTGGTTTTGCTGCAGAAAAACCTACAAGTGAGTGGATAAAAAGAGGGCTTTGGGCCGGGCGCAGTGGCTCATGCTTGTAATCCCAGCACTTTGGGAGGCCGAGGCAGGCAGATCACTTGAGGTCAGGAGTTTGAGACCAGCCTGGCCAAGATGGTGAAATCCTGTCTCTACTAAAAATACAAAAATTAGCCTGGCATGGTGGAGAGCGTCTGTAGTCCCAGGTACTTGAGAGGTTGAGACAGGAGAATCATTTGAGCTTGGAAGGCAGAGTTTATAGTTAGCCAAGATCACACCCACTGCACTCCAGCCTGGGTGACACAGCAAGACTCCACCTCAAAAAAAAAAGGTGGGGTTTTGTTCATAAATTAGGCCATTGAGCCAGGAAGCTCTAGATAGCTGCAAACTCCATTTCTCATACAGGTGGTAACAGAAATGCACAGGCAGGTGTAGAGTTGTAACAAGACAATAAAAAACAGCCAATTCCGCATAGCAAGAACCAATGTGATCTAAAGGGATTCTGATAAACTCACTCACAACAGGATTCTGCATGTTTTAATTCTGGATAAGGATGGGGCTGGCAGAGCCTGCTGCCCTGGGCAGAGACTGACCAACCCTTAGGATCATATGTGATGGTTAATTTCATATGTCAACTTGCCTAGGCCATGGTACCCAGTTGTTTGGCCAAACACCAGTCTAGATGGTTCTGTGAAGGTGGTTTTAAAGATGTGATTAACAGGCCAGGCACAGTGGCTCACACCTATAATCCTAGCACTTTGGGAGGCTGAGGCAGGTGGATGGCTTGAGGTCAGGAGTTCAAGATCAGCCTGGTCAACATGGTGAAACTCTATCTCTACTAAAAATACAAAAGCTAGCCAGGCGTGATGGCGGGCACCTGTAATCCCAGCTACTCGGGAGGCTGAGGCCGGAGAATTGCTTGAACCTGGCAGGTGGAGGTTGCAGTGAGCCAAGATCACAACATTGCACTCCAGCCTGGGCGACAGAGCGAGACTCAATAAATAAATAAATAAATAAATAAATAAATAAATAAATAAAGTGATTAACATTTAAATTAGTAGACTTCAAGTAGATTATCCTCCATAATGTGGGTGGGTCTCATCCAATCAGTCAACGGCTTTAAAAAAAAAAAAAGAATGAGGTCTTCTGGCAAAAGAAATTCTGCCTCTAGATGGCCTTCAGACTTGAAGCTGCAACATCAATTCAACCAACCTGCTGGTCTGCCCTGCAGATTTCAGACTTCCAGCCAACCCCCACAAAACTGTGTGAGCCAACTCCTTAAAATAAATCTCAGTCTCAATCTCTCTCTCTCTCCATACTCTATTGGTTCTGTTTCTCTGGAGAACCCTGACTAACATAATAATCCCCCAAGTTCTTACCTGCACGGCATGGAATTCAAGATCTCGTGTCCAGGTGTCCAGAGAGGCCTGTGAAAAGGAACATCCTTCAACAATTCGAGAATCTGCACCTGCTATTTATTCCCTAAATGCTTCCCCTACGGCCCTGCAGCTCTGGTTGAGAATTATTCGTTTCGGTTTTCATAGACAGAAAGCAAATCCTGAAATTGCCATGGAAGTAGACAGCAGATGTCCTAACTCGTGTGCTGAATAGATTTTCTAGGTAAACTTTTTATTAAAATCTAAGATGCCGTATGGAGGAGTGCTCTAATGATAAGTCAGCAGCTCAATGTTTTCTCAAACAGCAAAGACACCCACAGAAATGGCACTTGGATCAAAAAACAGAACACAGCCAGCATCTGGAAGGTCCTCCCTGCCATCCCCATGTCCTCTGCCAGGCATTCTGTCCCCCAAAGTAACCAGGCTTTTTTTTTTTTTTTTTTTTGAGACCGAGTCTCGCTCTGTCACACAGGTTAGAGTGCAGTAGCACGACCTTGGCTCACTGCAACCTCTGCTTCCCAGGTTCAAGCGATTCTCCTGCCTCAGCCACCTGAGTAGCTGGGATTACAGGCGTGCACCACCACACCCAGCTAATTTTTGCATTTTTAGTAGAGACGGGGTTTCACCATGTTGGCCAGGCTGGCCTTGAACTCCTGACCTCAAGTGATCCACCCATCTTGGCCTCCCAAAGTTCTGGGATTACAGGCATGAGCACTGAGCCCGGCCAAGTAACTACACTTCTGATTTCTAATAGCACAGATTGCTGGATCTGATTCTGAACTATATTTTTTAAAGTTATATAGATTTTGAAATAAGACACAAAGTGAATATTTTAATATTTGCCTTTAAATGTTTCATCCCTGTGTGGGTTGAACTGTATTCTCCTAAAATTCATAGGTTAAAGTCTAACCCCAGGACCTCAGAATTTCACCTTATTTGGAGAGAGAATCTTTACAGAGGTAATCAAGTTTAAATGAGGCTATTAGGTTGAGCCCTAATGCAGTATGACTGGTGTCCTTTAAAAATGTGGAAATTTGGGCCAGGCATGGTGACTCACATCTGTAATCCCAGCCCCTTGGGAGTCTGAGATGAGCAAATGCCTTAAGCTCAGGAGTTCAAGACCAGCCGGGCAACATGTTGAAACCCCCTCTCTACAAAAAATTAGCCAGGCATAATGGTGCATGCCTGTAGTCCCAGCTACTAGAGAGGCTGAGGTGGGAGGATCACCTGAGCCAGGGAGGTCAAGGCTGAAATGAAATATGATTGTGTCACTGCACTCCAGCTTGGTCTGGAAACCGAGAAAGAAAAAGGAAGGAGGGGAGGGGAGGGGAGAGGAGGAGGAAGCGAGGGGAGAGGAGAGGGAAGGCAGAAAAAGAGAGAGAGAGAAAGGAGGGAGGGAGGGAAGGAAAAAGGGAAGAAAGAAGAAAGAGAGGAAGAAAGAAAGAAAAAGAAAAGAATAAAGCAAAAAGAAAAAGAAAAGAAAGAGAAAGAAAGAAAAGAGAGAAAAGAGAGAAAAATGAGGGAGGGAGGAGAGAAAAGAACAGGGAAATTGGGACACAGATACACACACAGGAGAACACTGTGTGAAGATGAAGGCAGAGATCATAGTGATGCATCCGTAAGCCCTGAACCTGGCCTCCAGAACTGTGAAAAGTTAAATTTCTACCCATTTTGTGGTGCTTGTTAGAGCAGCCAAGCAGACGAATCCAGTTCCCTGCCACCCTCTCCGTCAGTTTTCTTCCAAAACGCCAACATTACTTTGTCATTGCAGAGGAGACCTCCTAGCTGGATTTGACATTTTCCTATAAATTAACATTATTTTTCAAAAGACTTTAATAAAACTGGCCCTGGGCTCTCTAATGGCTTTGATAAGCCAATTTAAAATGATAACCTCCCCACCTCGACCCCCAAAGTCCTGGGGGGTTCTCTTTTTCAGAAAAAGGAGTCCGTCGGGCACACACGATAGGTGTCCTCCTCAGATGAGAAATGCACCCCACTTTTATAGATACAGTCTCTGCCTTTGACAGGAAAAAGAGGTAGAGAAAATGGTAAAGTTGTAAAATCACTGCACGGTTACCCCAAGAGGGAAGTTTTTGCAACTTAATTCAGCTCCTTTGTCTCCTAGGAGAAAACGAACTGGAATCAAAAGGAACAAAGAGGCCACTGCTTGCACTCAGTGCCCGGGACACGGGTTGATGACAGCCCTAGGGGACACGAGCCCTGGGCCACACCCTGGTTTGCTCACAATCTGAAACCTCTCCACCACTCCCTCTCCCCATCCAGCTCCACCCCCTGCCATGTGGTGCGGAGGACGACTGGAAGGTCCTCTGGCTCCGAATGGACTTTCCCTGTGAGGCCTGGGCCCTTCCCTTTCCTGAACTAGCCCCACTCCACTTTCTAGGTTCCTCGGGAGACAAGTTGGATCATCTGGTAATAGCTGTCATTTAATTAGAGAAGTATCACTGCAGTTTAGAGGAAACAAATGGATCATAGAAAATTGAATGCTGTTTGCCCATTAGGGTTCCTATTTAAATCCTAACCATTAAATATTTCAACAAATGTTTAAAACGCTCACCATGTGTCTTCAGGACAGAGGAAATAACACAGAAAAGGAATCGAGATGAAAGAAGGGCCCCTTTCCCACTATAGTTCTGGCCCCTTCCGACACACACTCGCAGTGGGGCAGGTGTCAGGTCAGCGTGGACCAGGGCATCGGCAAGTTGGCTTAGGGGCCACCTAGGGTACACACATTGGGCTCTCCATGCACCTAAGTTTGCATTGTTATTTGAGGTCCTCATGAGTGACATGCAAAGCACGAGGCAGGAAGTCTAACAGTGAATTCTGCATCCCCTGGACTCTGGCTGGGGTGACCACCCTCAGTGCAGGTGACCATAAGAGGTCCCTCCCTGCCGTAAGGCACGGCCATTTGGTGATGATAACGTCATATGTGTGCTAGGCTGCAGGTATCCCCCTGCCTTTAATCCAGCCAGGTATCCCACCTGGAATGTTCTACCTATTCCGGTTGCTTATCCCAGACCTATCCATTTTCTGAGACTCTGATCAGGGCCCACTTGATCTTTTCATTTGTTTATTGAGCAAATATTTATTGAGCACCTACATGCCAGGCATCGTGTGGCCTCTGGGAATATTGTGAGGAGCAAAAGGGACTCAGAGCCCACTCTTCTGGAACTCACAGCCCAGAGGGAGAGATGTTAATCAAACAACCCCAAAACAAATAAACAGCTGCAAATGGGACAGGCCCCAGGATGTAGAACGTGGTAGGCAGATAGGATCGATAGGATAAGACTGGATGGCAGAGGTCAGGGAACAGCAGGTGCCCATGGGGAGGTGATCTTGCTCTGGGATCTGAAGACACTTAGGTTCAGCAAAGAGGAGCAGGGAAAACACTCTGGAAGAGGGAGCAGCATGTGCACAGCCCCCACAGGCAGAGAGAGCACAGCAAGCCCGAAGGCTGTGGACTGAGCACAGGGAGGGATGCAGCGCTGTGTGTGTGGGCCATGTGGCTAGGAGACAAGGCAGGAGAAGCAAGCTGGGGCTGAACCACACAGGGCGACCATGCACGGAGTCTGCCTGGCAAATGAAGGAAACCTCCGAAGGTCTCAAGCAGGAAAGTGACATGATGCGGTGCGAGGGTGAAAAGCTCGCTCTGACGGCCAGGCAGGAGAGAGTGGCGGGCCACCATCCCGGAAGCAAGAGAGTCGGTTAGGAGGGCATAGCAGAAGTCCAGGACAGAGGTGATGTGGCTGGGACCAGGTGTGGGGATGGAGACAGAGAGAGTGCAGGGGTTGGAGGGGTTTAGCGGTCAAATTGGCAGAATGTGGTGATGGGTTGGCTCTGGGGGTAAGGGGAGGGTCAAAGTCAAGGACTCTTGGGTTTCTTCCTTGCACTGCTGGGGAGGATGGGGCTGCTACTGTGGTGGAGGGCGGAGGGCGGCGGGGGGAGAGTCTGGTTCAGAGCGTGCTAGATTCAAGACCCCTTCATTCATGCAAGAGGGGGTTAACATTTAGTAAGCAACTGGCCAGAGGGGTCTAGAGTTCAGGGGGCATCTGGGTCCCCACCACCTGGCTCTCTGGCTTTAAGCCTGAAAGCCACACCTGGGCTTGTGGCTTAGCTTCTGTGGCCACAGCCCACCTTCCAAAGGGCTTGTCTCCATCCTCATCTTCCCCGAGCCCCACAGCCTGTCTTGAGGAAGGGGGCATCCAGCCTGGGGTCAAGGCTAAGGCCCACCATTCCTGCCTGGCCTTGAGCATCCTTCTATCGAGGTCATGTTCTCTCCCTTCACTGCAGTGTCACTGACGGAGAGGCAGATGCTCACTGACTTCCCTTCCCCTCTCCCACCCCCCAAATCCATGCAACCTCTCTTCTGCCTTTGGCACTTCACGAAGCTGTTCTTTCTAACATCCTCAGGACAACTAGCTGCCCAGTAGACAATGCTGACCATTTCACATGTGACCTTTCCTCTGTTCCCACGGGCCCCACTGCAGCATCACTGCCTTCTGGCTGCCCCGCCCCCTGCCGGCTGCCCACTGCCGGCCACCTCCAGCCCTGTCTTTGCCAGTTTCTCCTCTCTCTCTGCCCCAGGGTCTGTCTGAAATGGAGACCTGTGCCATTGCCCACCTCTATGCCGGGGGCAAGTCCCTCTCCTGAGCTCCCATCACATTCGCACAGAGTCCTGCAGCTGGGCACTCCCTGTCATCAGTGTCTCTGGACACCTGCTTCACTGGCTGCCTAGGAGCCCAGTGTGGGCCCCAGTAACCACCATGCTCCACTGCAGCCCTGCGTGCAAGACAAGCCCAGAGAAGAATCTTCCAGAGCGATGTGCACCGCTCATGGGATCAGGATGAAAACTTTACGTTGGAAAAGGAAAGAGGGGAGAGGCCAGGCTCAGTGACCTCACTGGGGCATAGACAAAGGGTCCCTTTTTGATCCCTTCTCAAATGAAGGAACTTCTGGGTGGGTGACTTGATTTGTCCCCACCCAAATCTCCCCTTGAATTGTAATAATCCCCATGTGTCAAGGGCGGGGACAGGTGGAGATCACTGAATCATGAGAGAGGTTTCCCCCATACTGTTCTCATGGTAGTAAGTCTCACAAGATCTGATGGTTTTATTAAGGGGAGTTCCCCTACACAAGCTCTCTTGCCTGCCACCATGTAAGACGTGACTTTGCTCCTCATTTACCTTCTGCCATGATTGTGAGGCCTCCCCAGCCATGTGAAACTGTGAGTCCATCAAACCTCTTTCCTTTATAAAGTACCCAGTCTCGGGTATGTCTTCATTAGCAGCGTGAGAACAGACTAATAGACCTGGGTGTCCCAGGAGAGAGGTTCCTGTGGCAAGGACACTCAGGGGACATAAACAGGCTCCAGAGGGAAAAGGGAAGGTGGTTCCCAGGAAAATCACTGAGAGAAAGAAAAGCTCACTTGGCAAAAAGTGAATGAGGGGCCCTGAGGCTGCACCCCACTCCTGGCCCCCTCCCTGGATCTGGAATTCACAGACACAGTTTCCTAACAAACATGGATGTGGGATGTTTGCTACAGGAGCCTAGTTTTTATTCTGAAATCAGAGTTGTGTTCTTTTTCTCTAGGTACGTCCCAGGTTACATCAGGTCACCAGGGACAGCTGGCCAGGAAAGCCTGCCTGATCCCAAACTTTTGCGTTCCTCATCTCACTTTCTTCTGATGCCACGTGTTACACTCAGCTCTATTTTTAAGCATCTCATTTTTTTCTAGCATTTGCATTTTTTTCCTTTTATTTTTAGTTGACGCATAATCATTATACATCTTTTTTATGGGACAGAGAATGATATTTCCATCTATGTATTCAATATGTAATGATCAAATCAGGGTGATCAGCATATTTATTACCTCAAATATTTATCATTTCTTTTTATTGGGAACATTCAAAATTCTCTTTTAGCTTTTTGAATATACATAATAAGTTACTGTTAACTATAGTCACCCTACAGTGCCACAGAACACCGGAACTTATTCCTTCTGTCTAGCCGTAATTTCATGTTCGTTAAGCAACCTCTCTCTACCCTCCCTTCCCCCTGCCATTCCAAGCCTCTAATAACCACAGTTTTACTCTGTACTTCTATGAGATCAATTTTTGCTAGTTTCACTCACATATGAGTGAAACACTGAAACATCTCATTTTCATTTTGGGAGATCCTGACAGTGGTTTTCAACTTTGGCTGCTCATTGGAACATCCAGGGAGCTTTAAAAACTCCTGATACCCGAGTCTCACCTCCCAAGATTCAATGGAATGGGTCCCAGGTGCGGCCTGGGCATCCAGATGTTTAAACGCTCCCCGTGACTTTAACATGCAGCCACAGCTGAGAACCATGGTTTAGACACCGCAAAGCTGGTTCCGCTGTAAACCATTTCTCAAGGGCTCAGTTATGAGCGTAAGTATGTGTCTTTTGCTACTTCAGTGTCCCACAGTAATTGGTTTCTTTTCCAATTACTGCAAATGGAAATCCACCCTTCCTAAGAGACCCTGAGGTTTGCTTCAGGGGTCACTCACCTCATAGGACTCCTTGGGGGCCCTGTACTTTTCTATCTGGTAGAGCCGGGTCTTGTAGCAGAGGCTGTCCTGGATGTCAGATTTCTACCAGAGGAGAAAAGAAAAAGCACAGCTCAACTCTCAGAAATAGAAATGCCCATTAAGCAGTCATTAATTTTTAAACCAGCGCTTGGCTGAGAGAATGCTGGAAATGTTTGGCAGTCCAGTAAATTGCAACATCAAGTCTCACCCCAGGAAGGCCTGCAGGCAGGTTGCAGTGTGGGGAGAGCCCTGGGCGCAGAGTCAGGTCACCTACTTTGTGTTACTATCGCTGCCAGTAAAGGGCCAGGTGACCCTGAGTAGATCACTGCCCCCTGCAGGGCCTCAGTTCTTTTATCTGTGCAGTAAGACTACTCAAAAACACGAACAGAGAAACCAAGAAAATGAGCTGGAAAGAATAACTTATTTTATTGAACCACTGCATAGAACATAGATCTTGCTTGTTTGCTTTATTTTAAAACAGCACACGGCTGGGTGCAGTGGCTCATACCTGTAATCCCACCACTTTGGGAGGCCGAGGCGGGTGGATCACCTGAGGTCAGGAGTTCGAGACCAGCCTGGCCAACGTGGCGAAACCCTGTCTCTAGTAAAAATACAAAAATAGCCAATCATGGTGGCACACGCCTGTAGTCCCAGCTACTCAGGTGGCTGAGGAAGGAGAATCACTTGAATCCGGGAGGTGGAGGCTGCAGTGAGCCAAGATCGTGCCATTGCACTCCAGCCTGGGTGACAGAGTGAGACTCTGTCTCTCAAAAAAATAAAAATAAAAATAAACAAAAAACAGTGCACACACACACACACACAAACACACATGTACACACTGCTCCCCACTACCACCACCCAAATGAAAGCCATAACAATTCATAACATAGCTCAAAGAAGATAAACAGCTGCACCTAAGCTGAGGAAGGTGCAATCCTGTCTGGAAATGGGTGAAATAAAAACATGGATTAATTAATTAATCAACCAACAAATAGTTAATAAATGCCCTTACAGGCTCTCTATCTTAAAATACGAACTTCGTGGTTTTAAAAAGAGGAAACCAAAAGAGAAGGGAAGAGATGACAATTAAGAGATAACATTTTACTTTTTAGTTCACTAGATTGGGCTTCAAAATTATACACGGGGTGTAAATAATTGGTTGATAAAATTAATAACCGGGACAATGCATACAGTACAATTAAATTAGCCATGTGCAGAAATTACTGAGCAGTTGAGTTGTCTGTAGGGATTAATTCACTCCAGTTAAAAACAGCCACTCGCCTAGAGTATGGATTCTCAGACTAGGTATGCCCTATGATTTAAGCATTAAATGTGAAACAGACATCATAAAACTCACAACTGGTCTGAGAATCCACACTCTAGGCAAGCAGGTGTTTCTAACTAGAGTGAATTAATCCCCATAGACAACTTGTTCAGGAATAAGACAAAGAAGCCCACTCTTACTACTTCTATTCAACATAGTACTGCACGTCCTAGCCAGAGCACTTAGGCAAGAGAAAGAAATCAAAGGCACCCTCAGGAAGAATAGCTAAGGAACGCTGGGATTAATGCCTAGGTGATGGGTTGATCTGTGCAGCAAACCACCATGGCACATGTTTACTTATGTAACAAACCTGCACATCCTAAACATGTACCCCAGAACTTAAAATAAAAGTTGAAGAAAAAATAAAAATAAAAATATTTGGGAAATTGTTAAACTAAATAAATAAGTAAATAAATAAATAAATAAAAGGGATCAAAATTGGAAAGGAAGTTCAATTGTCCCTGTTTGTAGATACACGATCTTATATATAGAAAACCCTAAAGACTACCAAAAAACTGTTTGAACTACTAAATGAATTTAGTAAAGTTGCAGAATGCAAAATCAATATACAAAAATCAATAGTGTTTTCATACACTAACAACAAACTATTCAAAAATGAAATCAAGAAAGCAATGCCACTTACAATAGCCATAAAAAAATCAAATGCTTAGGAATAAATGTAACCAAGGAAGTGAAAGATCTGTACACTGAAAACTATAAGACACTGATGAAAGAAATTGAAGAAGACACAAGTAAATGAAAAGATTCCATGTTCACAGATTGGAAGAATTAATATGATTAAAATGTCCATACTATACTAAGCAATCTACGGATTCAATGGAATCCCTGTCAAAATTCCAATGACGTTTTTCACAGAAACAGAAAAAAAAAAAAATCCTAACATTTGTATGGAACCACAAAAGACCCTGAATAGCCAAAGTCATTTTGAACAATAAAATCAAAGTTGATGCATCACACCACCTGACTTCAAAACACATCACAAAGCTATAGAAACCAAAACAGCATGATACTGGCATAAAAACAGAGACACATAGACCAATGGAATAGAAAAGAGAGTCCAAAAATGAATCCATGCACTTACGGTCAATTACTTTTTGACAAAGCTGCCAAGAACACAGAATGGGGAAAGGAGATCCTCTTAAATAAATGGTGTTGGAAAACTGGACATCCACAGAGAATGAAATCAGACCCTGTCTCACACCATCTGCAAAGTCAACTCAAAATGAGTTAAAGACTTAGGCCCGGGCCACAGTGGCTCATGCCTGTAATCCCAGCACTTTGGGAGGCCAAGGCAGGTGGATCACCTGAGGTTGGGAGTTCAAGATCAGCCTGACCAACATGGAGAAACCCCATCTCTACTAAAAATACAAAATTACCTGGGCATGGTGGCGCATGCCTATAATCACAGCTACTTGGGAGGCTAAGGCAGGAGAATCGCTTGAACCTGGGAGACGGAGGTTGCGATGAATGGAGATCTCGCCATTGCACTCCAGCCTGGACAACAAGAATGAAACTCCATCTCAAAAAGAAAAAAAGACTTAGGCCCAGGCCGGGCATGGTGGCTCACGCCTGTAATCCCAGCACTTTGGGTGGTAGAGGTGGGCAGATCACGAGGTCAAGAGATCAAGACCATCCTGGCCAACTTGGTGAAACCCCATCTCTACTAAACATACAAAAATTAGCCACGTGACAAAAATTAGCCACGTGTGGTGGCAGGCAGGCGTCTGTAATCCCAGCTACTCAGGAGGCTGAGGCAGGAGAATCGCTTGAAGCTGGGAGGCGGAGGTTGCAGTGAGCCAAGATCGCGCCACTGCACTCCAGCCTGGTGACAGAGCGAGACTCCATCTCAAAAAAAAAAAAAAAAGAAGAAGACAGGCCTGGTGCGGTGGCTCACGCCTATAATCCCAGCACTTTGGGAGGCCGATGCGGGCAGACCACAGGGTCAGGAGTTTGAGACCAGCCTGGCCAACATAGTGAAACCCCGTCTCTACTAAAAATACAAAAATTTGCTGGGCATGGTGGTGCACACCTGTAGTCCCAGCTACTTGAGAGGCTGAGGCACAAGAATCGCTTGAACCCAGGAGGTGGAGGTCACGGTGAGCTGAGATCACACCACTGCACTCCAGCTTGGGTGACAGAGTGAGACTTCATCTCAAAAAATAAATAAATAAACAAACAAACAAGATCCAAAACTATAAATCTACTAGAAGACAACCTACAGAAAAGGCTTCATTACATTGGTCTGGACAATGATTTTTTGGACATGACTCCCAAAGCACAGGCAACAAAAGCACAAATAGACAAATGTAATTACATCAAATTCAAAAGCTCTGCACAACAAAGGAAATAATCGACAGAGTAAAGAGATCTATGGAATGGGATAAAATATTTGTAAACCATACATCTGACAAAGAACATATAAAGAATGCAGCTGGGCGTGGTGGCTTATGCCTGTAATCCCAGCACTTTGGGAGGCCAAGGTGGGCAGATCACGAGGTCAGGAGATTGAGACCATCCTGGCTAACACGGTGAAACCCTGTCTCTACTAAAAATACAAAAAATTAGCCAGGTGAGGTGGCAGGTGCCTGTAGTCCCAGCTACTTGGGAGGCTGAGACTGGAGAATAGCGTGAACCCAGGAGGCGGAGCTTGCAGTGAGCTGAGATCACGCCAGCCTGGGTGACAGAGCAAGACTCCATCTCAAAAAAAAAAAAAAAAAAAAAAAAAAAAGAATGCAAACAACTCAATAGCCAGAAAACAACCCAATTAAAAAGTGCACATAGGATCTGAAGACATTTCTCAAAAGAAGACATAGAAATGGCCAATAGGGGCCGGGCGCGGTGGCTCACACCTGTAATCCCAGCACTTTGGGAGGCCGAGGCAGGCAGATCACAAGGTCAAGAGATTGAGACCATCCTGGCCAACATGGTGAAACCCCGTCTCTACTAAAAATACAAAAATTAGCTGGGCATGGTGGTGTGCACCTGTAGTCCCAGCTACTCAGGAGACTGAGGCAGGAGAATTGCTTGAATCCAGGAGGCAGAGGTTGCAGTAAGCAGAGGTTGCAGTGAGCCGAGATCACGCCACTGCACTCCAGCCTGGTGACATAGCGAGACTCCCTCTCAAAAAAAAAAAAAGAAATGGCCAATAGGTATGCTCAACATCACCAATCATAAGGGAAATGCAAATTAAAGCTACAATGAGATACTGCCTCACATCTGTAAGAACAGCTTTTATCATAAAGATGGAAGATACCACATGTTGGAGAGGATGTGGAGAAGAAAGAACCTTTGCACACTGTCGGTGGGAATGTAAATTAGTACAACCATTATGGAAATCAGTATGGATCCTCAAAAAATTAAAAGTAGAACTACCATGTGATCCAGCAATTCCACTTCTGGGTCTATATTCAAAGGAGATGAAATCAGTATGTTGAAGACACATATGCACCCCCACCCCATGTTCAATGCAGCATTATTTACAATAGCCAGGAAATGGCTATTGTGTCCATCAACGGATGAATGAATAAAGAAAGTGTGTGGTACCTATATATAATGGAATACTATTCAACCTTTAAAAAGACAGAAATTCTGTCATTTTTGACAATATGGATGAACCTAGAGGACATTATGCTAAGTGAAATAAGCCAGGCACAGAAAGACAAATAGTGTACAATCTCACTTATACATGGAATCTAAAAAGTGTAGGTCACAGAAGTAGAGAGTAGAATGATGGTTACCAGAGGCTGAAGGGGATGAGGGAAAGTGGGCAGAAGAGATATTGGTCAAAAGATACAAAATTTCAGTTAAACAGGAGGAAAAAAATTTAAGACATGATTGAACAATGTGGTGACTATAGTTAATAACAGTGTATTTATTCTTGTAAATTGCTAAGAGAGTAGATTTTCAATGGTCTCACCACAAATAAATGATAAATTTGTGTGGTTACACATATATTATTTAGCTTGATTTAGCCATTCCACAATGTATATATATTTCAAAGCATCATGTTGTACAGGATAAATATATACCATTTTTTTGGTCAATTAAATAAATTTAATTGAAAACAACCCCCAAACCTTTTCCAGTTAGAATGACACCAGCTGAGTTTCCAGAGAATGTTCTCAGATGACAAAGCCACACTCTGCTTTGCAACACTTGCAGCCTGGATGCTGGGCAAAGCAGACAGGCAGAAATGCAGCAGCTGGCAACACACCCAGGCACCTCAGGACACAGTCTAAGAGCTTCAGGCCAGGTGCAGTGGCTCATGCCTATAATCCCAGCGCTTTGGGAGGCCTAGGCGGGCGGACTGCTTGAGCCCAGGAGTTAGAGACCAGCCTGGGCAACATGGCGAAAGCCCGTCTCTACAAAAAATACAATTAGCCTCGACTTCCCAGGCTCAAGCGATCCTCCTGCCTCAGCCTCCTGAGTAGCTGGGACTATAGCAGGATGGCTTGAGCCCAGGAAGTCGAGGCTCCAGTGATCCATGATTGTGCCACTGCACTCCAGCCTGGGCGACAGAGTGAGACTCTTTTTGTTGTGTTTTGTTTTGGTTTGGTTTTAAAAGACAAAAAAGCTTCAGATAAAATGTCTCTCTTGCTTGGCATGAGCTATGTATTTGTTTAAGAAGAGCGTGAATCACAAAAGCTTGTATCTCTAAATGTGGAAGTAAACATAGGACAGTTTTTTAAAACCTAACACCCCTCCATCTTACTTGGTCAGCACCTGAAGAACTAGTTCCACCAAAAGAAAAATGTTTGGAACTGTTAACTTACTTGGGAAAGTAGCAATGTCATTCTCTAATAAGCAAAATCATGAACTTTATAATATAGTCAGTTTCATGAAAACACATTTGAATAACTAAGTTTTGAACAGTATTCATCACCTGAAAAAGATTACCAGTGCATTAACCCTCTTTTCTTCCTTTTATCTGAAGACTATTTAAATTCTTAACTTTCATCCTCTATAGCATGGTGGTGTCCAAATGCTATGACCCTAATCCCTTATGTGTGACAAACTTGTAAGCAGGCACCTGCAACATATGCATATTTATAAATTATAAGCATGTAACATTGTACGAATATATCATGTACGCTATAAGATATATAATAAATAGAAATTTTAAAGTATGAGAAAGAAGTTTGGGGAATATAGTCTTTTTGCAAAAGAGAAATGGGGTCGGGCATGGTGGCTCACAGCTGTATTCCTAGCACTTTGGGAGGCCAAGGTGGGCAGACTGCTTGAGCTCAGGAATTCAAGACCAGCCTGGGCAACATGGCAAAACCCCATCTCTACCAAAAATACAAAAATTAGTTGGTCATGGTGGTGCGTACCTGTAGTCCCAGCTACTCAGGACACTGAGGTGGGAGAATCACTTGAACCCAGGAAGCAGATGTTGCAGTGAGCCGAGATCATGCCACTGCACTCTAGCCTGGGTGACAGAGTGAGACCTCATCTCAAAAGAAAAAAAAAAAAAAGAGGGCCAGGTGCTTTGGCTCACGCCTATAATCCCAGCACTTTGGGAGGCTGAGGTAGGAGGATCGCTTGAAGTCAGGAGTTTGAGACCAGCCTGGCCAATATGGCAAAACTCCATCTCTACTAAAAATACAAAAATTAGACAAGCGTGGTGGCACGTGCCTGTGGTCCCAGCTACTCAGGAGGCTGAGGCAGGAGAATCACTTGAACCTGGGAGGCAGAAGTTGCAGTGAGCCGAGATCGTCCCACTGCACTCCAGCCTAGGCGACAGAGAAAGACTCCGTCTCCAAAAAAAAAAAAAAAAAAAAAAAAGTCTCAAAAAACAATTAAAACAAGAGAAATGAGAGAGAAACAGCTTCAAGTCCAGTATGTCTTTTATGTTCCTTGTGATGAGAGAACAGAGAACTGCTGTGTGATACAAGAGATTTTCTGAATCTCTCCTCATCATATAATAAAATAAAATAAATAGTATACTATATGTTGAAAGTCCTGTCTTTCTGGATTTGACATCTCTTCTCCAGTAGCTTTCTATGAGCAAGGCAGCCACAGTGACACCATCTGTGAAATCTAACTCAAAGCGTTGACTCTGTCCCCATCAGAGAGGTGCCACCCCATCATACAGACCACGTTTTTTCCCCCATAAAACATTGTTAAATCTCTTTATTGTTGAGAGTACTTCTTCTCATGTAGATCTTTCCTTTGGTGGTTCACAAAAAAACAAAAACAAAAACAAAGGAGTTCTGTGGATAATTTCCTGCGGAAGCACAATGGAAGCACAATCTAGCCAATATTCTGAGCTAAATCAGCTTAGAAACATCTGTACTTTCATCCAAATGTTTAACCAACCTCCCGTGGAGCATCTTCATCTGTTCAGCAATGTTTTCTAGACGGCTCCCAAATCCATTTGCTAACAAAAGACACACACTGACTACCTTGTCCTCCGGGTATTAATTTGGTCATCTCCACCATGCCAGCGAGAATATCATTTCCCCAACTGCAGGTAGATTTTCATCTTTAGCTCTCATATAGAAACCTCAAAAAGGTTTCTAAGCCTATTGTCTAGTGAAATTTGGTGACATATTGGGCTATCACGTGACTTCAATAGCACATGTTCTGGATGGTAAATGTCTTCCTAACAGTGACAACTCCACGCCATCAGATGTCAAGGTGCAACAGGCCCAGGGTGAAGGTGGTCCCTCGTGAAAGTGAACACTCAGTCAAATTTCAGATAGGCTTCCTGGCAATTCTGAATTTCTTTGGCTGACTCCCTGTTAGAGCTGGTCAGCACCCACCATTCTGAGTAAAAGCATGAGCTGCTGTATGCAGACTCCATATTGTCTTGGATCCAATTTGCAGAATTCTTTTTAAGCCATTGTCCATTTGGAGAGAGACAATTTAAGGCACATAAATTCTCTTACTCAGGCACACAGAAACTGCTTGTGGCAAAAATGATGAAGGGGACAGGGTGTCAGGGTCCCACCATCCACCCCACGCTGTGGAAACCCCAAAGGTACCTCGCGGGTGACACCAGACACTTGGACTTTCTGACACTCAGACTGAGGGAAGGTGCCAGAGTCAGGCCAGGCAAGTCCAATTTTGTTCTTATTTTCTGGAGAAGTTAAACCTAAATAGTGGCTTTCTCATATATAATACCATAGTTCAGAGACAAATGCCCGGGAGGCACTGCTACCCGAGTTTTAGGACCAGAGAACCCTCCAATGCCTCCAACATGGGGAACCCAAAGACCTAAGAGGCAGCAGAACAAAAAAAAAAAAGACAACAGAGATGCTGTTGAAGGAAAAAGAGGCTTGAACCCCTCCCAATTCTGCCCAGGGCTTAACTCGGTGGGAGAGTATTTGAAAAACATTGCAGATAAAAGGCACTCCCTGAGAAGCAGGTTTAGCTACGACTTTATCCCACATTCAGAAAACTCAGCCTCACATTAGATTAAATTAGCAGCTTGGATCAAGTGTCAGCAACTGAGAAGCACTTTGGGTGTAGGAGCTCTTTTTTCCACAGACAGCAGAGACGATCGCCTCTAGGGTCGCACTTACCCCTGACAAATAGCGCTCCAGTTTCTTGTTTAAGAGGAAGTAGATGGCCAGGATGTGGCAGGCGCGGTTGGAGAGCACAGTGTTGATCACGTCGCTGTTCTTGTAACCCAGCTTCTCGGTCATGTGCAGCACGACGCTCGGGCTCAGATCTTCCAGAGAAATCCTGCGAGGTGCAGAGAGAGAGGACCAGTCACCCCTGCACTTCACGGAGAGCCCCACACAGACCCCCTGGGCACAATCAGCTTCATTCATTCACTCATTCATTCACTGACTTGAGTTTTTATTTTGAAAATGTTCTCGTATTCAGAAAAGCGGAGGGAATAGTACAATCACTTTATGTATACCATCATCTAGATATACCAGTGATCACTTTGCCATCCTTGCATTTTTTTTTTGCTGAAGTATTTTAAATTACAAACATCATGACATTTTACCCCTTAACCCTTGAGTGTGCACCTTCAAAAACCAAAGATGTCCCCCACAGAACCGCAATACCATCAACATACCCAATAAAATTTTAATAATCACTTAATAGCATCTAATACCCAGATTATACTCAAATCTCCCAACTGTCCCCCAGATTTCCTTATGATCACACATTCTTTCCTTAAAATGTATTGGTTGTCATGGACAGAAGCCACTCTGACTCTGGATTTTGGGGTGGAAAAGGAAGGTATTCAGGAACTAGCCAGATCATGTTTAGGGGAACAGAAAGAGTTCATAAGTTCATACATGGGGGGTTCAGGGCTCAGCGGCAAAGTGGGGTCCTCTCAGAGGAAGAGAGTTAAAGCTACTTCACAAGGGGACTGTGAAGATAAACTCCTTGGGATAAAATGGCAAAGAAATACCGGGCTTCATTCATCTACGCATTCATTTGTTCACCCTCCCAGTGGGGAAGAGAGGATGTAAATTCACTTAGTCATCCTGATAGTCCTATGAGTAGGTACTATCATGACCCCAACTTTACAGATAACAAAACCAAAGCCCACAGCAATGCAGTACCTTGCCCAGGGTCACACAGGCAGGAAGTGACAGCCCTAGAATTAAGAACCGGCAGCCGGGTTCAGTGTCTAGATGCTCACTGCTTCCCAAATAAACAGACACATCCATCATCATCATCATCATCATCATCATCACCACCACCATCACCATCATCCAATGGCTATGGAGACTGAGAAATCAGGGGGAGGGCTCTAAGGGAGTGTATGTGTTGGTAGTGGGGCTGTGTCAAAAGAACATTCTAAATCCCTTAAGAGTGATACAAAGAATGATGGCATTCTGAACAAACTATCGCAAGGACAGAAAACCAAACACCGCATCTTCTCACTCATAGGTGGGAATTGAACAATAAGAACACTTGGACACAGGGTGGGGAACATCACACACCAGGGCCTGTGGTGGGGAAGGGGGAGAGATAGTATTAGGAGATATACCTAATGCAAATGACGAGTTAATGGGTGCAGCAAACCAACATGGCACATGTATATATATGTAACAAACCTGCACGTTGTGCACATGTACCCTAGAACTTAAAAGTATAATAAAAAAATTAAAAAGTATAATAAAAGTATAATAAATAAATAAAAAGAGTGATACAAAGAGGGCAATCGGAGCAGAAGGCAAGTTATCTGGCTGGAGAGCCACTAGCCTCCATGTCAAGGGGTCTGAAGACATTTGGATAGAACCTCAGAACCATAATGCCCAGAGAGGTAGCCCCATAATTGTAAAGAAGAGGAGACTTTGCAAGTTCTTCTGTAAGAAGAGAACTTGCCCACTGCACACGGCCGGTTGGCAGGGGCACCGAGAGCAGAACGAGGTCTCCTGACCATTGCCTGCCACCGGTCGGTGTAACCTACATCAGTTCTCCCTCCACTACTTTTGCCTAAGTGCTGTCCCAAAAGACAAACAAATGAAAACACACCCAACAAACAATGAGATCAGCCTTCCTCATTCCTGTTTGTCACAAAATTACACATTCCAGATAACATGTGGGAGAGGGATTGGCACGATTACTGGCTTAAAAAGTGTATTAATAACAAGTTTGTTTATTAAAATAACTACTTGAGGTCTACCAAAACAATGCAGAGGGAACAGTGGTTTGGAAATACCTGGGAATCCCAAGAGCAGTGCACCCGCCGAGGGTATGGGGTGTTCTGGAAGAAAAGTCAGCAGCATGGAAAGGAGAGGTGTGCACAGGGGCAGACACCCCATCTCTGCCTTTTATGTCCAGTATCTTCAAAAACGAGCTCTGCCAAAATGTAAATGGTCAACTGACTCTGGACTGAGAGGAATAGTTTAAATGTTTTCCTATAAACCATGCATAAACCTGATGCTTTCAAGTATCACTTAACCAATCTGTATATGGCTTCATGTTTGGATGACACAGAGAATGGTACAATGTTCCAGAATACTAGATATAATTTGAATTGAGCAAATTCACATGCAATCCATTTTGATACCATGGATCTAATTTGGTCTAATTCTGTCCTGTATTGCCTGCGACCTCCTCCCCTCCCACCAGTTCCAAAGCTAACTGGAGGGGTGGAGAGACTGTCCAGGCCCCTGCAGGGAGACAGAAAGAGGCAGCAAGCTTGGCTCTGTACAAAAGTCTGAAACCCAGCACTTTAGGAGACTGAGGCACAGAGAGTGCTTGGAGCCAGGAGTTTAAGACCAGCCTGGGCAACACAGAAAAACCCCCATCTCTACAACAAAAATAGAAACACTTAGCTGGCGATGGTAGCACATGCCTGTAGTCCCTCTACTATAGAAGCTGAGGCGTGAAGGTTACTCGAGCCCAGGAGTTCTAGGTCACAGTGAGCTGTGATTGCGCCACTGAACTCTAGCCTGGGCTATGAAGGAAGACTTGTCTCAAAAAAAAAAAAAAAAAGTCTGCACCTGGATCAGGAGGGGAGCTGGCACCTAGCAAACATCTGTTGACTGACTGGCATAAACATTTATTTATAAAAAATTTACTTCCAAAGACATTTCCCTCTTTGCTTTTAGAGATCAACTTGGAGGCTGAAATGACTTCACAGGAGAAGGCTTTATAGAAGAGTGATGTAAAATACGAGACCTTTATTTTCCTAACTTTCTCAAAAGAAAAATATTGACAACACTTAAAATACATCTGGGGCTAGGTATGTTGGGAAACTATAAAACATACTTTATAAAGAAAATATCCCTTTCTCTGTTTGTATGTTCTCACTCCCTTTATCTACATGCCAGTAAAACCAGAAAAATAAATATAAAAAATACATTTTTTTTGTCTTAAAGATAAATGTTTTTCAAAATAAACACTGTAAATAACATGTACCTCCCCCAACAGCCTAGAATTCTGGTTCCAGGCCAGGCACGGTGGTGGCTCACGCCTATAATCCCAGCACTTTGGGAGGCTGCAGCAGGCGGATCACTTGAGGCCAGGAGTTTATGACCAGCCTGGGCAACATGGTGAAACCTCATCTCTACTAAAAATACAAAAACTAGCCGGGCGTGGTGGCACTAATCCCAGCTACTCAGGAGGCTGAGGCAGGAGAATCGCTTGATCCCAGGAGGCGGAGGTTGCAGTGAGCCGAGATTGCACCACTGCACTCCAGCCTGGGCGACAGATCAAGACTCTGTCTCAAAATAAATAAATAATAAATAAATAAAAATAAAGAAAAAGAATTCTGGTTCCACGCTTAAAAACCAAACACTGATTTGCCTCTAGTGTAAAATCAGCAATGGGCCTTATACACACAGAAGACACTGAGTGCTGTTTTCCTGAGCATGTGAGATCTCAGCCAGTTTTACAATCCACTTAACCAGTTTCATGTGCAGCCATTATGCTTCTGACCAAGTCCAAATGCAAAAACCATTACAATAATCTGGCAACAACAGGATAGGAGTTGCCTATCCTGTTTTATAAGTTTTAATCTATCAAAGCCTGTCTGCAAACTGTGGGAAAGCTACAAAATGAGATGTCGCCTCGTAATTCTTTGTGAATGAAGATGCAGCCAACAAGGAGGGGAAATACTGTCTAACACCAACTCCACTTCCTTCAACAGTTGCCGCATTGAGTGGATTGATTATGCTCATTTAGGCGGTGATTACATGAGCTTAATGACTCATGTGGCCACCAGCAAGGCCCCCTCCTTTAACAGAAAGCATACCTGCGTGCTGCTCTCCATCATGAGTATGGATAATGAGGCAAGGTCCTTTCAGCTTTGCTCCCTGCCTCGCTTTGGAGTAGTATTTCTGGTGTCTGTTTCAGATCCTGGCCCACATCGAGCTGTTATTGGAAAACAGCAATCTATTTCCAGGTTCCCTTGGTAACCTAAGTCACCTAGACTTTGTTTAAATTACCTCCCATGAGCCAAATGCTAGAATTCTAGATGGCAACGGAGTGAAACCACCTCCTCTCTGGGCACGGTGAGTGTAAATTTGGCACTGAAGTGTGGATGCAGACTCCCACGCCCCTTTAAAGTTTTTCTAGAGCTTCCATCCCAAGCAGAGCCCTGCCTGGCCATCTTCTTTGAAGGACTCAGCACTTCTGCTTTCATAAGGCTTGGTGGGTGTTTCTAGACCTTCCTAGGCATTGAACCTATGACCACACAGGACACCCCTTTCTCTGCCCTTTCAGTCTCCTATCTGCCCCTCTGGGTCAGTGGTTCTCTTGTCTTCATCCAAGCCTGGTCAAATGTGCAAGCCACCCTAGGTCTGAAGGAAGAAGGAAGGTGGGTCCCAGTCTTGGAAGGTACTGAACCCACGTGGTTTCCTTGTTTGCTCAAAAACAGCCAAAATAAGGGCCCTCATTCCCTCGCTCAGGTTAGTTAGAAATAGGACAAATGAGTAGAAAAAAATATACAAGGAAATGTTTTTGGCCGGGCACAGTGGCTCAAGCCTGTAATCTCAGCACCTTGAGAGGCAGGAGGATCACTTGAGCCCAGGAGTTTGAGACCAGCCTGGGCAACATGGCAAAACCCTGTCTCTGAAGAAAAATAGAAAATGTGCCTGACATGGTGGCTCATGCCTGTGGTCACAGCTACTCAGGAGGCTGAGGTGGGAGACTCCCTTGAGCTCAGGAGGTGGAGGCTGTAGCGAGCCATGACCATGCCACTACACTCTAGCCTGGGTGACAGAGTAAGGTTTTGTCTCAAAAAAAAAAAAAAGAAAAAAGAGAAATGTTTTTTAATCTGTAGTTAGCGCACCAGCATGGAGAAGCGTGGGCTGCACAGGGAGCCCATCAGTGCTCCTATGCTGTGGGTTCCTGTCTGCAAGCTTTGCTTAAAGAACCCTCCTCATGGAAACTGATAAAGTGAAGCCTTCACGGAAAGTTCATAGGGACACCCGGCCTAAAACGAATGACTCCTATGCCTTTCCTTCCTGCCTCCCACATTTTAAGGCAGGGGTCTTAGGGCTGAAATAAACATCAAGAACAAGGCAGAAGAAGGCATCTAAGGGTGGTTTGGAAAGGGAGGGGCGATCCCATGTTTCTGTTTGATGTTGGCAGGTGGGCTCGTGAGCTGATCACACACACGCAAACACACTCACAACACAAGGACTGGCCGGGCACGTTGGCTCACACATGAAATCCCAGCACTTTGGGAGGCCAAGGCAGGCGGATCACTTGAGGTCAGGAGTTCAAGACCAGCCTGGGCAAGAGGTGAAACCCCGTCTCTACTAAAAATACAAAATTAGCCTGGTGTGGTGGCACGTTCCTGTAATCCCAGCTCCTCAGGAGGCTGAGGCATAAGAATCGCTTGAAACCAGGAGGCAGAGGTTGCAGTGATCTGAGATTACGCCACTGCACTCCAGCCTGGGTGACAGAGCCAGACTATGTATTAAAAAAACAAAACAAAGACATACACACACACACACACACACACACACACACACAAATTTACACACAACACATACACACACACAGACACAACACCCATGCACATGGAGACCCAAGCAGACATAGACACTCACTCTCTCTCTCTCACACACACACACACACACACACACACACACACACACACTCGGGCCACAGCTAGTCTCAAAGGTCCCTCTGTGTGAACTAGAAAAAGGCAACCCCTGGGAAGATACAGACCCTCAAAGCCTGGATATCAGCCTCCACTCACCTCTCCTCCAGGTGCCCCTGCAGGGCACACGGCATAACAGCACATGGTGGCCCTGTCTACGCTTCCTCTTGTGGATGTGTGGGTGTGGGTGTTAGGGGGAAGGGGAGATAGCCAAGAGAGAGCGCGGCTTTTCCTTCAATCACGGACAGCTTTCTGTCCGGAACTGCTCAGGGCTAGTAGGACAGGCCCCGTCTCTCCCGAGGAGTTCCTCTGGGTGCACGAAATTACCTGTTGGGATAGGTGACATTACAGGGCACTTTGCCCGTGTAATTCTCATTAAGCCAGCGATTCGCCAGTGCCTGCTGAATATTTGGCCTCTTCACAGGATCCGGTTCCAGGAGAGAGCGCAGGAAACTGATGGCACCTGGGAGACATTTGGGAAAGAATGCACGCATGTTACAGGCTGAACGCAGACACCAGTGAAAGCCACCATCACAGGGGACTCGCCACCTTGCCTGCCCATCCCGAGTCACTGCTGGGGTGATCTCTTCTCTAGGTCTCTGGGCAGGGTTCCGATTCAATGAATCGTGGAGCTTGGTTTCAGCCCCACCTCCCTTCAGACAGGAGGGGTGTGGAAAATCCCATTTCCCCCTCTCTCTCTTTAAAAAATACACACCACATAGCCAAAGAATTTAATTTCTCTGTCCAAGGGGAGCAACTGGTACATGATACAGCAAGAACCAGTTTGGGTCTCCCCATTCCGTGTTTCCCAAGACAACCTGTGGTCTTTTCTTGTTGCTCATAGGTGAGCCAAAGAGATGCACTATTGACAGGCTTGTAGGAATGAAAGAAAATAAACAGAAAATGCCTGCTCGCAAGGTAGGTTTTTGAGCACTCAGGGAGAAGCCAGAAGTGTACAGGCATCCTAAGTTAGACCTCTCAACTGGGCACCACAGGACACTCAGAGTCTCAAGGGGCCAGAGAGGTCCTGCTTTCTGATCCTTTCCTTTAAAGCCATTCTGCACCGCCGCCCACCTCCCCGCCTCAGCCTCCCAAAGTGCTGGGATTATAGGCCTGAGCCACCACGCCTGGCCAAAAATAATGTTTTAAATGCCCTGGGTTTCCTTTCATTTCACAAATATTTACAGAGCACTTGTCCATTCAAGCACTGGAGATAAGAAGCTAATTCATCTCTAAGCAGAACATTTGCATCCTTTAAGATTATAACAACGGAAACAACTGTATGAGAGGTAAAAATGCGTTTATAATGCACACGAAGCCTTTTATTTTGTATTTATTTTATTCATTATTTTTTATATTTTGGAGACAGAGTCTCACACTGTCGCCCAGGCTGGAGTGCAGTTGTGCCATCATGGCTCACTGCAGCCTTGATCTCTCTGGCTCAGGTGACCTTCCCACCTCAGCCTTCCAAGTAGGTGAGACTACAGGCATGCACCGTCACACCTGGATACTTTTTTTATTTTTTTGGTAGAGATGGGGTTTTGCCATGTTGCCCAGGCTGGTCTCAAACCCCTGAGCTCAAGCGATCCTCCTGCCTCAGCCTCCCAAAGTGTTGGGATTAAGTGTGTAAGCCACCACACCCAACCCATGAAGGCCCTTCTAAGGCTGCAAAATTGTTCAGCAGAAGAATATACAGCATACCCACATGTGGGCAAAGAATGGCAGGGATGACTTCAAAATGCAGACGGTCTGTCTTGCTTGAGTTGTGGGACTGTGATCTTTTCTTATGCTATAGCCCTTATTTTACAAAGTATTGCGGTAATGTTTTTGCAATATGAAGAATTCTTTTACGTAGCTTTGTACTTGATTTCCAACATACCAAATAATAGATCCCAGAAAATAATAATGTGCTTGGTCCCCCGATTTTTCTATCCTTCTCTTCAAAGTTATTTTTTCAGTTTTCTAAAGTAATCTTCTTTGCAAGGAGAAGCCATAAAATGTCCTACTTTCTCAAAAGCTTTAAGTTGTCATTTGAACATTGTTCTTGAGGAAATGCTGAGCCTTTTGTCAACTCATTTTCTGCAGGGTAAAAATGAGGCCATCAAAAAAGGGGCCAGTTGTGATGCCAGAATCAACTCAAGAGAAACAATCTTTGCTAGGTCATGCAGCCAGGTCAACCTCCATGGTCAACCCACCACCAGGGTGGGTTCCCATACTGTTGAAGAGGTTACCAGGTCATCTCCCTTTCAATAGTGGGTAGTCTCTACTGGGTATCTACCCAAAGGAAAATAGGTCATTACATGAAAAAGACACTTGCACACATGTTTATAGCAGCACAATTCACAATTGCAAAAATATGGAACCAGCCCAAATTCCCATCAATTAACAAGTGGATAAAGAAAATGTGACATATATATATACATGTCATATATATAAACACCAAGGAATACTACTCAGTCATAAAAAGGAGCAAACTAATGGCATTCACAGCAACCTGGATGGAGTTGGAGACCATTATTCTAAGTGAAGTAACCCAGGAATGGAAAAACCAAACATTGTGTATTCTCACTCGTAAGTGGGAGCTAAGCTATGAAGGTGCAAAGGCATAAGAATGATACAATAGACTTTGGGGACTTGGAGGGAAGGGTAGGAGAGGGGCAGGGGATAATAGACTACACATTGGGTACAGTGTACACTGCTCAGGCGATGGATGCACCCAAATCTCAGAAATCGCCACTAAGGAACTTATCCATGTAACCAAACACCACCTGTTCCTCAAATACGTACTGAAATTTTGAAAAAAGGAAATATTGCCAGGAGCAGTGGCTCACAACTGTAATCCCAGCACTTTGGGAGGACGAGGTGAGTGGATCACCTGAGGTCAGGAGTTCAAGACCAGCCTGATCAACATGGCGAAACCCCGTCTCTACTAAAAATACAAAAATTAGCCGGGTGTGGTGGTGCATGCCTGTAATCCCAGCTACTCGGGAGGCGGAGGTGGTAGAATTGCTTGAACTCAGGAGGCAGAGTTTGCAGTGAGCTGAGATCACGCCATTGCACTCCAGCCTGGGTAAGAGAGAGAGAATCCGTCTCAAAATTAAAAAAAAAAAAAAAAAAAGAAAAACAAAGAACAGTGAGGTGGGTAGAAATGCATGTGTAGAGGCCATGAGGTACATTTACCACTGTAAGTGTTATCGCTGGATACTCAGCTAAAACTTTCCAGCAACGTACTTTAAAAAAAATTTTTTTTTAACTTTTACTTTAGGTTCGGGGGTACATGTGCAGGTTTGTTATATAGGTAAACTCATGTCATGGGAGTTTGTTGTACAGATTATTTCATCACCCAGGTACTAATCCTGGTACCCAATAGGTTTTTTTTTTTTTTGCTCCTCTCTCTCCTTCCACCCTCCACCCTCAAGTGGGCCCCAGTGTCTATTGTTCCCCTCTTTGTGTCCATGAGTTCTCATTACTTAGCTCCCACTTCTAAGTGAGAACATGCGGTATTTGGTTTTCTGTTCCCGTGTTAGTTTGCTAAGGATGATGGCCTCCAGCTCCATCCATGTTCTATAATAACCCGAAAATCAAACAGATCTCTGCTTTTCAGAATGTCTATCTCCCTTCCTTTAACAACCCTGCATTGGAAGAGTCATTTAGATCTTAACTGGGGGCATCTATTGGTCAGATAAAAAAGATGAGGGCTTAATGAATTGGAGCGGGTGGGCTGTTGAGTTAATGTTTTCTGAGACATTGCTGTTGCTTACCCTCAAAGGACTTGGGCAACAACCCAGGGTTGCCTCAAAAGACTTGGGCAACAGGCCAGGCTTTTTCAAAGTATGATGAACCAGAAGTGCTAAGGACAAACTAGATGTGCATTTTTGTTCTATTTTCATAACCGAGCGCTCTGCATCTTCAAAAACTGCTGATGAGCACAAGTAATTTTAGTTCAAATCTCCGCTGACGAATTTTCTTCCTTTGGACGTCACAGACATTGCATTACTATCCAAAAAGGACTTTGAGAAGTCCTTAGAGCTCTTTGAAGTTTGTTTTAGGGTCCTGAAAACCCCTGCCTTATGGGCAAAAGAGATTAAAATATTCCTCACCATCCTGGAAAGCCATGCCAGGCATGGCCACAGGCCACACGCCACCCTCCACCCCTCTGAGATAACACTTAGGTTCTCCACTGAAGCCTGGAAAAATAGTACCACCCTGCTCAACGTAACACACAGAACACCTTCCTCCATCGCAAACCCCACTTTCTTTCATGAACCATCAGCTTTCCAAAGTCTGGACTGGCTTGTGTGAGCACCTGAACACTGTACCAAGTGAAAGGGCTGCAGGTCTGTCATCAGACTTTTCACATTAGTGTAGCCTGATAGATGCAAATAGAGACCCCTCCCCACTTGAAGCTCCCTCCTCATCACTTCCCAAGCTAAAAAATTATTTGATAATCTGATCATTGTGCCTTCTTGGACATCGTAATTAGCACTGACTCAACCCTCATAAAAGCTAACGCTTCTCCTCCAGTTTGACTTTGGAGAATTCACAGCACAAAACCATCATAACCTGAAGTGACTGCTTGGAATGTATTATAAATGCTAGTGTTGAGGTGTAGTGATGAAAAGGTAACAGTCTGAAAAACTGCTCAGCCATAAAAGGCATTCGCTACTCTGTGACATACAAGTGCCAACAAGCAAAAAGAAAGTGTGTAGAAGAGAGACTTAGAAAGGCCCTCGAAGCTTAAGTTTGCAAACGGCATGACAGAGATGAATGAAGGGCAGTTCTTTGGAAGCATGTTCTGTGGATTCACAAGGGCAATAATGCTGTTTTCAACTCAAGTTTGGTAAAAATTCTTCCAACTTAATCTTTAAAAAGAGCCGAAGAATTAATAGATATGATCATTACATATATGAGTGACAGGGCCAGGTGCAGTACCCCAGCAGTTTGAGAGTCCGACGCAGGAGGATTGCTTGAGCCCAGGAGTTCAAGACCAGCTTGAGCAACATAGGGAGACCCTCTCTCTATAAAAAATATACCCCCCACCAAAAAAAATTAGCTGGGCATGGTGGCATGCGCCTGCAGTCCCAGCTACTTGGGAGGCTGAGGCGGGAAGACTGCTTGGTTTCGGAGGCCGAGGCTGCAGTGAGCCATGATTGTGCCACTGCACTCCAGCCAGGATGACACAGTGAAACCTTGTCTTAAACAAAAACAAAAACAAATATGAATGACAGAGTCATCCAATTAATAAAGATGTGCATTAGTGAGACACAATAAAACTGGCATATTTTCTATTTGGATTGACATTACTCAAAACATAAGGTCATAGAGACAATAGATAATACCTCCAACTTTTTGTAGGGGGGGTGCGTCTTATACTAAATAAAATCAGAGAAGAGTGAAATAACACAGCATGGTAGGAAAATCTAGGTTTTCAGTCAAGCAGACTTAATCTCTCTGAGACTCAATTTCCTCACTGGTAAACAGGGACTTACCTTGCAGGATTGTATAAAAACAACACCACATGAAAAACACCTACAAAGGATTATTCAATAAGTGGCAGCTACTCATGTTACTGGTAAACTAGTATTTTTGGATATAAGCAGGGCCAGGCTGGTTGGAAGGGAGAGGAGATAAACTTAGCGGGGTGCAAAGGATTGAAAAAATGGGAGGCTGTCAGAAGGGCAGCAGCTGATCCTCAAACCTGAAGACATTCACTCTATGAACCAGATAAGATGCCCTGGGCTGCCTCAGCAGCTGGTGCACTGCTCTGGGCCCTACTGGGTCAGGACAATTCCCAATCCTGAGTAATCAAAATAATCTATGGGCCACCTTTCCAGGTCACACAGACACATTAACACCAGAGTCAGCAACCTAGATTCCCTGAGTGTCTATCATGTGCAAACACCTCACTTGACACCTGGCTCAAAGGATTTCAATCCTAGTTGAAAAAAGATATTTCTATATCCCAATAGTTATTTTAAAAAGGAGGAGATGGGGAGAGCATCAGATTCCCTAATTAGAAAATCAGATATAGAAATGCAATTCATGCTTGACAAGTGAAGACAACAAAGTCCTGTAGGAATGTGAAGATCTTTAACAAGCACACACAGAGCTTAAGGCCAAGGCAAAGCTGTCTGCTCAATGCAGGAGCTATGCGAGGTTGGACAGCAATTCCAGTGATGCTGAAATTGCTGGGAACATTTTTAATATGTCTCCTTTGGGACTAACTTTGGACCATTTTTTAACATCTTCAGAACTGCAACTCCTGCTTCTTTAAGGTTAAATTTAATTTTCACAAAAAACACTTAGAGCCCAGCCTGCTAAGACTGCGTGATGTTATTGAAAGTAAAAACAAGGTATGGTTCTGAAGCAATGAGATTGATTTTCTTGTGTTACTAACCTACCTGCGCTTGTCTGCTCCTTTTCCCACAGCTGTGTGGGGCTCATGCTAATGCTAATCAACAAATATTTCTGGCTTTTCACTTTCAACGCACATGGTAAGGTTGCACTGCCCCATTCTCTTTAGTTGGGTGAAGCCGCATGCCATGTTTTAGAAAGCTTCCACTTACAACTGGAAGATTGGTGGAAGATTTAATTGCTGGCGAAAGAACTTCTCTTTCTCTTTCCCTTTCTCCCTCTGCATGAACCAGAAATGTTGGAAGTGGTGGCTGCTCCATCAGCCTTGGGCCCTTGGCTGGGCAGAACCTTTCAATGTTTGATCCAGCTCTCAACTGAGATGTAGCATGACTGAGAAATAAACCTTTGTGGTCCTGAGCCACTAAGACTTGGGGGCTGATTGTTACTGCAGCATAACCTGGTCTATTCTGACTAATACAATGAAATGGCAGCAGATCAGCAGTTCTCCAGCTCCTCAGGCTGTCATCGGGTTCAAAGAGAGCACTGTCTGCCTTTCCCCACTGTGGGGGTACATTCATCCTCCTTTTGTCCTTTGTTATGGGTCACTTGAATAAAACAGGCTCTGAACCCTCAAAGAAACTTTGGAATCACTCTGAGAGATGGCAATATTTATGACTATATAACCCCTACAGAGACTGCTTTGAAAGACTGCATCTATTTGGAAACATCACATCTTATTTGTACTGCAATGAGATATTATTAGACCCCTATCAGAACAACTAAAATAAAAAATAATAATAGCATCAAATGCTGGCAAGGATGCAGAGATCATGCACATATTGCTAGTGGGAATGCAAAATGGTCCAGCCACTCTGAAAAAGAGGCTTGGCAGTTTCTTACAAAACTAAATACGTGCTTACTACCCAACCCAGCAATTTCACTCTTAGGCATTTGTCCCAGAGAAATGAAACCATATTCTCAGAAAAACTTAAACATGAATGTTTACAGCATCTTTATTCATGATAGCCCCAAACTGGAAACAACTCAACGGTCCTTCAGTGGGTAAATGGTGAAACAAACTGCGGTATATCCACACCAGGAGATACTACTCACCAATAAAAAAAAAACAGCTCAGATTATCTCAAGGGAATTATGCTGAGTGGGAAAAAAAGTGATTTACATATAGCATTTTTGAAATGACAAAATTATAGATGATACAGGGTAGTGGCTGACAGGGCTTAGGGAGAGCAGGAGGAAGGAAGGTAGCTGTGGCTACAGAGGAGCAGCACGAGGGATCCTTGTGAGGGAACTGTCTTGCATCTTGACTGTGGTGGCTGTCACACAAATTACTCATGTGAAAAAACTCTATAGAACTAATATACAGCAACACACAAGATTGTACATAAAACTTGTGAAATCTGAACAAGGTCAATGGGTTTTATCAATGTTAATTTCCCAGTGGTGATATTATACCACAGTTATACAATATATTACTATTGGGGGAAACTGGGTGATATGGTTTGGCTGTGTCCCAACCCAAATCTCACCTTGAATTGTAATAATCCCCACATGTCAAGGGCGGGGCCAGGTGGAGATAATTGAATCATGGAGGCAGTTCATGCTGTTCTCATGGTAGTGAATAAGTCTCACGAGATCTGATGGTTTTATAAATAGGATTTCCCCTGCACAAGCGCTCTTCCCTGCCACCATCTAAGATGTCCCTTTGCTCTTCCTTCATATTCCACCATGATTATGAGGCCTCCCCAGCCATGTGGAACTGTGAGTCTATTAAACCTCTTTCCTTTATAAATTACCCAGTCTCGGGTATGTCTTTATTAGCAGCATGAGAATGGACTAGTACACCAGATGAAGGCTGTTTGGATCTCTTTGTATTATTTCTAGCAATTGTGTGTGCATCTACAATTACATCACAATGAAAAGTTTTTAAAATAATCTTATTTGTTAAAAAAAAAAAAACCTTTTTACTCTCTATCCCCTTGTCCCAATTTATTTTACTTTCTTTAGAGCACTTAACATTACCAAATACCACACATGTTTATTACCCATTTATTTATTTTTAGCTTCCCCTGCTGATATATAAGCTTTATAAGGGTAGAGACTGGTTTGTTCTCTGTCTTGCTTAATCTAGAACACACCTAGCACATAATTGGTGCACAACACATATTCACGGAATAAGCTAATGAGTATGAAATATGGAATGAATGAATGAATGGGCACACCTCAGAGTGCTCTGCCGCACTTTCAACATTTCTGAAAGCTCTAAAACTTAAATATGACAATTGGTTTGACATTTTGCACATTTTCTAACTCCAAGAGTTATGACTCTCAGTGCAGAAATATTTCTTGTATAATGACAGAGCTGTAACTCATCTTCCCAAGGACTTAATGCCTCCTTTGCTTTCAAGCCTCCAGAGAGTCTCCCCTCCCTTGAGGTGACAGTATGGGCTGAATTAGATAATTGCATACAAGAACGTGTCTCCACTTGGATTCCACTTGCCAAGATAAATTCAGGGGCAGCTTCATGCATGCTTTTAAACTCAGAAGAAAAATGCATAACAGTAGTAAAATAAAATGCTATATTTTAACTATCGCTAAGTATCATAAGTTGCAGTTAAATAACTGCTTTCTTCTTTGGTCAAAAGCCTTATCTTAGTGAAGCTGAGTTTATTCTAAGGAGCCAATTAAATGCTCATCAAAGCCAAGCCAAGGCCAGGACTTGAATTGTGAACCAAACAAAAGAACAAATTGTACTGATTTACTGGATCTGAAACCAAACCTTAATACAAACTGTTTACTGAAATGTGAACCAGCTAAAGCTTGAGAGAACTTTTCAAACACACCTGATGATTCAGTCCAATCAAGTAACTTAACCTCTATATATTTAAAAGCTTTTGAACGGGCTCAAAACCTCAACTCACAAAACAAATCACAGCCCCAACTTGAATGCAACAAACATTTCTTGACAGTAATTGCAGAAAGAAGCCATATTGGAAATGCGACCATAAACCCTCTTTTCCAAGTCAGCATCATAAGATGGTGAGTTTTAAAACAATCAAGCCTGCAATCATTTTTTAAATGGAGAATATCAGATCCTTTGGATCTACGTGTTTTGTGCAGAAGGAGGAAGGAGAAGTTAGGGGTTCAGATAGAACAGAACAGGAAAGGATACAGGTGAAAGGCATGAGTGGCCATTGAGAGACGGGAAACCCAACCACCCCTTGACACTTCTATTTAACACTAGAAAGAAACTTATAACCATGGGATAGACATAACACCATTACTGCAAAACAAATACTGTTTCACAGGTAGACCCGAACTGGTCACGACAGCAGTCCTGAACCGTGATCTAGAGCAGCTGGTGCATTACCTGTGGAGAGCTGAGTGGGGAGGGGGTTCATTTCTTTGTCTACCATCTTCTGGTACAAAGCCCTCAGGCTGAAAGGCTCCACCGTGAAAGGCAGCGTCCCGGTCAACATGGCATACATGTTCACACCTCTGAAAAGAGAGACATACACATGAAAGCGGAGTCAGGTCCCCTGGGGAGGGGAAGACTGGGGACACGGGCTTCACCGAAGCGTGGGAGCTGCTGCTTCCATGCCAACCTCAACAGGCCCTCTTCAAAGTCATCTTTGTAGAATGCTCAGTGTCATGTTGAAAGAGTTGGGTGAGGTCGGACATGGTGGCTCATGCCTGTAATCCCAGCACTTTGGGAGGTGGATCATCTGAGGTCAGGAGTTCGAGACCAGCCTGTGTAGCACCTCCATCCTCAATCTCTGCCTCATCAGCCTGGACCACTATCTCGCTGCTGTGCTACAAGCTGTGCATGAAGCCCCCGCACACCCTGGCACCCATCTCTACTAAAAATACAAAAATTAGCCAGGCGTGGTGGCGGGCGCCTGTAATCCCAGCTACTGGGGAGGCTGAGGCAGGAGAATCACTTGAACCCAGGAGGCGGAGGTTGCACTGAGCCAAGATCACGCCATTGCACTCCAGCCTGAGCGTCAAGAGTGAAATTCCGTCTCAAAAAAAAAGAAAGAAAGAAAGAAAGAAAGTCTTGGGTGAGAGCACTTGAATGTGAAGACCCGGAAGGGGACCACAGAGAAAAGCAGGAGTTTCAAGAGCATCAGGAGCCACCTCCTGAGGAGGGGAACCATGGCCCTCTGCTCTCTCCGAATGTTATGGCAGGAAGAAGTCAACAACAAGGAGGCCCAGACCAAGCAATGTAAGAAACACCTGGGAGACATCAGGGACTTCAATTAAGAGTAGTACTGCCATTATGTGGTTTTCCAAGGATGGCTTACAAGGTGGTACCTGGAAAAGGCTGACCAAACAATACAGGAAAAGCCCCCTACAGTGGAAGCTCCAGTCACAGCCAAACTGTGAGCCAGGTTACCACTCAGCCCTCAGAAACGAAGCCTCATAACAAAACCTGGCGTTTTGCTCTACTCTTAAATTTTGCCTTGGCTTGTAACTACAGAAATTTCTGGGGAGGTCCCCTTCCTTCCTGCCCTGATTTTTTTATTGTTTATTGTGAGATTCTGCCACCTGGCCCCAACCCAACATCTCAGATGTGGTTGAAATACCTTCTGAGTAAGCTTAACTGCACCTATCCAAAGCCAATCTACAGAATAGAAACATCTTCTTAGAGGATCTTTATTTTCCTGATGTGTAAATCTAATATCATTTTGATGAGATTTCCTGATGAGGATGAAATGCCTGCCTACCAAGAGGTCTCAAGTGTTCAAAAGCGCCCAAGGGAATATACTTTAAAAACAGGCACTAAGATTTCTAGTCAAAACAAATCCAATGAGACTGATTGAAATTAAGACCCTCGAGGCCCAATTCCACAGAGGCACCTCTGAATTATGGCATTTCAGATAATGACAGGTACTGGAGCCCACCGCTCCCACTAGAAATCATTCGCAAATTTCAGACATATAGTAAGACCTGGTTCCCACTCACAGTGGAGTTAGTTCCAAACTCACAGTGGAGTTAGGGGGACAGATGCATAAACATCCATTCCACAAATACTTGCTGGATGGCTCTCTGCCCCAGGCAAGACTATAGGTGCTGGGTACTGGGGACCAGAGAAAGACCTGCCCTCTTGGGTTTTGAGTGGGGAAGAAGACAGGCAAGCAACGTGCAAACAAATAGATGAGCACAGTCCTTTCAAGCGGTGATGAGTGCAAAAGGAATAAGAAAATGCTGAATTGCACCACTTTTGACCACAAGAGGAGTGCAATGAAGGGAGACTGAGAACTTAGAAACAGGTACATGAAGAGGGAACATGCCACACAGGTAGTGACTGCATGTGTGTGAGCTCATGTGTCTTTGGCTGGCTGGTTGTATGGATGGAGAGATAAAAAGTGCATAAACAAAGAAATGGAAACAAGAATGAACAAGGCACACATAGAGCTATTTGGGTGGCATTTCCCTGTGTGTGTTTAGTGGAAAACGTACCCCAGGGGAGGAATAGGGGTTCGGCAGATACAAGTGGTATGACCAAATAATTCAGGGAGTAGTTATATTGTATAAGTGGATTAAAGGGGCTCAGAATGGAAAGTAGGAAACTATGGCAGGAAATCAGCAGGTTGCTGTTAAAATCGGAATCGGAATGATGGCACGCAACAGAAAGGGAAAGGCAAAGACGCAGTGGAGACATTTGAAGGGCACGTGCCAGGTGGCAAACTCAGAATGCAGGACCAATGGTGGTAACAGAATGGTACTGAGGAGGCTGAGGAGGAGAGACAGGTTAGGGGTGCAGGGAAGGAGTATCAGGGCTAGTGATATATTTGAGAACGTACTATGCGATGCTGCACTTTGAGTATGTTTGAGGTAGAGCTAAACACTCTTGCTTCGAAAAATTCTTGGAGATCGGTAAGAAGGAATGCTAAAAGGGTCCCAAAATTGTAGAGTTTTGCATACAAAGAGGACTTGGACACATCGCTTTTATGGATGGAAACCTTCTGGCACATCCCACAAAGTTGTTGCTGGGGACCACTGAACAGCCTCTGAGACAAGCTGTTCCCAATGCTTCTGAGCCAGCCTGTTCCATCCAGGGCGATTCTATGCAAAAATAAAGCTTTCCAAGGCTAAGCCAATGTCTACATCTTCTATTCATTGGTTGTGGAACAAGACCAGTTGCTCTTCCATGATCAGCACTTCACATCTTTGAAAACTGGAACCAGGATCTTCCCACCTTTCTGGGTCTTCCCCAGGCTGGGACCTCAGGTCTTTTGCCTGTGCTTTATTTGACATGATTGAGAGTCTCCTCAACAACCCAGTCCTCTGCCCTGAATATACACCAGCAGGTTCATGCAGTTAATGAGCTTCAATGTTTCCATGCTACATAGCAAAGACCTCATATTTCAACAGAGTTGGAGTGAATTGAGTTAAGGGGAGGAAAAAACAAAACCAAGATTCTGTCCCTGCTCACCACCTCTGAGTGCCTAATCTTGGCTCTAACATTCACACCTAAAGCTGAAGAGCCTGCTACTTATACAATATCATTTTTTTCCGCAGTAAGTGCTTCATAATGCCTAACTCATTCAGTGTTTCTCAAACTGAGGTACACAGACACATCCTCACGGGTGCAACAGTTCTAATTTTTATTTTCTTTTTGGTAATTGACTAAAACATTTCACAAAGCATAACCAGAGGCATTGGATGACCACCATATAACTAAGAACACCTTCCACCACACACACCCAATTTCAGTGTCTGCCTTGGTATTTCTTTTTCTTTTTTGAGACGGAGTCTCGCTCCATCGCCCAGGCTGGAGTAGAGTGGCGCGATCTCGGCTCACTGCAAGCTCTGCCTCCCGGGTTCACGCCATTCTCCTGCCTCAGCCTCCCGAGTAGCTGGGACTACAGGCGCCTGCCACCAGGCCTGGCTATTTTTTTTTTTTTTTTCGTAGAGACGGGGTTTCACTGTGTTAGCCAGGATGGTCTCGATCTCCTGACCTCGTGATCCACCCGTCTCGGTCTCCCAAAGTGCTGGGATTACAGGCGTGAGCACCGCGCCCGGCCCTGCTTTGGTATTTCTTTATCAATGCACTATTTTTGCCAAAAAAAAAAAAATCACTTTTATTGTCATAGCCTAATGAGAAGGAAGCAGAGGTGGACTTAATGTGTCAGTGATGCATCTGTGCTTCTGTCAGTGGAAAGTCTCCTGGTGACTGGAATAGCGTGTGGTTCGTCCTCAGACCAGTGGCATCAGCACTACCTGAGAACTTGTTGAAAATGCACATTCAGCCAGGCGCAATGGCTCACACCTGTAATTCCAGCAATTTGGGAGGCTGAGGCGGGTGGCTCTCTTGAGCTCAGGAGTTCGAGATCAGCCTGGGCGGGCAACATGGTGAGACCCCATTTCTACAAAAAATACCAAAATTAGCCAGGCATGGTGGCATGCGCCTGTAAGTCCCAACTACTTGGGGGGCTGAGGTGTGAGGATCACTTGAGCCCAGGAGGTTGGGGCTGCAGTGAGATGTAAGTGTGCCACTGCACTCCAGCTTGGGCAACAGAGCAAGACCCTGACTCTTAAAAAAAAAGAAAAGAAAAAGAAAGAAAACGCACATTCCTGGATGCCACTGCACATCTCCGGAATCAGAAACTCTGCAGTGTTTTTGCAAGCCCTCCAGGTGCTTCTGATGCGTACTCAAAAAATTGGAAAGCCCTGGAAGAATGAAAAGTTTTAGGGGAGGTGTGGCATCACAAGATGGGCCTGACAAGCTCAAAGAACCTGTGCCCAGCAGTGAGAACTGCACTCATGCTGTGTACAGCCATTCCCTTCCCACAAAACATTAGCCATTGCATTAACGTTGCTAATTTGAATATTCTGGGGTTCTTTTACTCTTGGTTCTATTTAACCTGTAAATGAGTTTTGGTTTTTCAGTTGTACAGGGCCATAAATAAAAGGAGTTTGATTTGGGGCTCATGTACTTATAACTAACATTTAAATAAAAATAACTCACGTCAACACACACAGTTATCGAGAACGTTCTTCCTTTAAAAACACAGTGTATAATACTCAAATGTGCAGACCACTGCTCTACGACCTTTTATATTCCCTTTAATCTTTACGGCACACCTAGCTTCCTGTCCCAGGTGGGGGTGTCGTATAGTGCAGATGCCTCTAGGAAGTAGGACATCATGATAATGGGAGGACAACCCCACTAAAGGGGTTTGGAGACCATATGAGGCCAGAGGAGCAACTCTAAAGCCTTTATGAATGTTTCTTTCTTGAAGGAGACCCTGAGACACCAAACTGCTTGCCTTCTTGTCACCAACTGGCTTCAACAGACGCCAAAAATCTCCTCAAGTCACTGCATATTACACTGGTCTTTGCCTCTCTCCATCATCTGGCTGGGACCACAGATAAGATTAACAGATGCTTGTCTTCAAGATGGCGCCAGAGCCATCCAGGTGGCAGGTCTGGTCAGGGTTGAGCAAGCAGTTTTTGTAGTAACTTTAATTGATGACTTTACAAACTGATTCCAGAATTCCATTTCTTTTGGAGGAATTTATCATCAATGAAAAAAAAAATTGTCACAAATCCTTAAAGAGGACCCACCTCTCTCATCCTAGGGTCTCTCATCCATAAGATGTGGATAATAATAGTACCTACCTCTCAGATCGTATGAGGCTCACATCAACTAAGCCACAGAAAGACCTGAATTCTGTAGTTGGAATAAATTAAGCTTGATAAATTGTGATCTATTGTTTCATCAAAAAACCTTTCTTAAAATAAGAGGGAAAAAGCTACAGTTTTATTTGTACTGTATTGCCAAATAAGAGTGGAAACCTGGCCGGGCACAGTGGCTCACGCCTGTAATCCCAGCATTTCAGGAGGCTGAGGTGGGCGGATCACCAGAGGTCAGAAGTTCGACACCAGCCTGACCAACATGGAGAAACCCCATCTCTACTAAAAATACATAATGAGCTGGGCTTGGCGGTGCATGCCTATATTCCCAGCTACTTTGGAGGCTGAGGCAGGAGAATCTCTTGAACCCGGGAGTTGGAGGTTGTGGTAAGCAGAGATTGCGCCATTGCCTGGGCAACAAGAGCGAAACTCCATCCCAAAAAAAAAAAAAAAAGAATGGAAACCTATGTGAACAGTCAAACACTCCTAGCTAGGAGATTTTAAAAAGGGAAACCAGATTAAGCATCTTAATTCCTCTCCCCCGGAGTTTCCATACATGTTTAATATCTGGATAAAGAGAAACCTAGTCCATCTGACATTTCAGAAGTATGTGAGGATACCAAGGGAAAAATGTGGAATGCAGTTTATAAACCTCTGTAATCCCATAGAATTAGTAGGAGTTTCAAAACATGTTCAGAATTTCCTGATGGGTCTTTTGAAATATGGCCCAGGGGCTTTCTGGATTCTCCGTGGCAGACATGGGATTCCCAAGAATCAAAGACAGTCTTAACAAATGAGAGGGATGAGAGACTGGGACAAGAGAGGGCAACAATCAAATACGACCAGGGGTTTTTCCAGCAGAATGAAATAAGGATGAGCTATCGCAGGACAGAAGAAAACCCAAAGATACTAGGCAGCATAGAATACTCTGATCTCAAAAGAGGAAGAAAGGCAGACACTGGGTGGGGGGTGGGGGCGGCAGCTGAAAGAAGAGGAAAAGGGCCCTTACTTATGAAATACAAACGGGAAAGCTTGGAGTTAAGTCAAAAGCCAAATGGCCATCCTGATATTTAGTCTGGTACACAAAAAAAAATACTCCCTGGAGGAAAAGTTGTGGTATCACCTGCCATCCCAAAGAGGAAAGACATGGAGTCACTGCTCCCTGGAGAAGTCGCTGGCAATTTTAACAAGATGCAAGGGACAAAGCAATGGACAGAGCCACCCCGGCAGGTGGAGGGAAGGTCTGATTACTCGTTCTTAAGGGGCATGTGGACAGGAGCCTCGGAAACTGCCCAGTTTACACAGAGTGCAGCCAAGAGGACCTTCGGGAGATGCACCTTGCTTCTGTGTGGCTCTCCAAGAAAGGAAATGCCTTGGAAAAATTAAAAATAACTTCCACCTGAAAGCAATATCTTTCCATCTTTCAGTATCAACTTTTAATAATATAACTTCCAATTTAAGGCCTTGAAAGTAGACTAGGAAAAAAAAAAAAGAAAGTAGACTAGGAACCAATTCATCCATTTGGAAAATCTCAGATCTCACCACTGTTCCATTAAATGGTCTATGTTTAGCAAGAAATTATTTTCTTGCGGATTTCAAAATGGTTGTTTCTTTTCCTTTCCTTCCTTCCTTTACTCTATGTTAAATATACATGCTAGCTATAAAAAAAAAATCTCGTACTTTATAACTGAATAATCTCAGAAGCTAAGGGAAACCTCTCTCTCAAAAGTCAAAAGGCCTAAGGTTCCCCAAAGGAGTCATAGCTTTACTCTTCCCACTGCCTCCTGCTAGCCTTCATTTTGAGAGGGTCTCAACACAGAGAAAACACTAATACCATCCTTCTGTATTTGACCCCTGCCAGTAGCTGATGATATCTGGTAGTACTTTTACAAAACACTGAGTCTGAGGCCTAGAACAAATTCTCTCACTCTCCCTCCTGAACACCCAGTTCTATATGGAGACAGGAGAGCTATTTGGAGACATGGTGCCTCTTGGCCGAGTTGTCCACCCACAGGTACAGCACTGGAGACAGGGATTTTTTTTTCCACTATGTGAAAACAGATTCACTGAGCTAGGAAGGTGGACTGAGTGTGTTGTGTGTGACTCTCCAGGAGGCACCAGGCCCTCACGCAAATACTTCACCCATCCATCCCAGGGACCCCCATGAGAGCAAAGGACAGCTTTAGTCCAACAACGTTGCATTCTCAATCTTCTCGGTATAGAACTCTCAATTTCTGTTTTCCTTACCAGTAGGGATTCACTGAAGGTTGCACATGAGTATTGTAATATTCTGAAGATAAAGTTAATTTTGATTCTTTTCAATTAAAAAGCACATCTGCATTAAAGTTGTTATAAATTAGCATATATGTCACTCTGAGGAAAAGTCAATTCACAGTAATAAAAGTTCAATGCACCAGAATGAATATTTTTGGTTTTTGTGTCTGAAACCTCAAAGTTCATTGGAGACACACACATCTATATGTTATTTTTATATATATATATATATTTATACATATAATCTGGGGTAAAGGAAAGAAGTGAATTATTTTACAGCTATTCTTTACGGTCTTGAAAATAACCACCATTGAAAATAATGGAAAACCCCCAAGAAATACAAACCCCCAAGAAAGCGCGCCATTTCCCATTTCCATTGTTAATTATGGCTTCACTAGCGGAGGGTCCTGGGGGCCCTATTTGTAGGGAAGAGCTTTCTTTCCCAAGGTTTCTTTCAATGACAGGCTGATTTTCTTCCTAAATCTATCTCAGAAGTTGTGGATAAAGTCTCTGCCATCCATCAGGTCCAAAGCCTCCAGGGAGGGGAGTTTGCTTTTTTGGAAGTGAACTCTTCATTCTGTTTTTGTTTCTGAGCCATAAAGAGAGAAGCCATTTTATAATAACAGTGTCTAACCCAGCAAGAAAATCGGTTCCATTTTCACTCTCATTTTAAACAGCCTTCTACATTAAATTCAATTTTGGTTTTCCATTTCCACTTCTGCCAGCAAAGTCATGGGCACCAAACAGAAACCTAACTTGTATCTCAGACACAAAATCAGACCCCAAGTTTAGACAGATAGAAAGTTTGCTCAGACCCCAAAGCAGTAGGAAATTCATCTCTTAAAAGGTGCTGAAGTTTTATGTTTTCGCCAAAATTAAGAGGAAGAGAAATCAGATGTGTCACACCTACCAGCCTTTTGCATATGCTGTTCCCTCTGCCTGGAACGTTTCCCCACCTGTTCTCCACCTGGCCGTCTCCACTCATCTTTGAGGAACAGATCATACTTGACTACAGATGCCTTCCTGACTTAACCCAGCTGTGCAGCCATATGTGCTAGGGTTGCCATAACAAAAGAATCTGGTTTTTTTTCTCACCAGTTTACTTTTGACCTTTCCTGGCCTTCTTCCCTGACACCTTCCTCTTCCCATAGCTGGTTCCTTCTCATTCTTAGGATCTGGCTTTGAAGTCATCTCCTCAAGAGGCCACTCCATCTTGTTCCCTGAATCCCTCTCACTTCCTCCACAGCCATTACCACACTCAGTTTATAGCATTTTAAAATACCAGCTGTTTGTCCCACTAGCATGTAAACCCCACCAGAGGAAGTACAACATCACAGATGCAGTAGAGGGTGGTGATTCAGGGGCCTAGGGCAAACCACGTAGGTCAAATCGTGGCTCTGTCACACGCTGGCTGTGTCATGGGGGCAAGTGGCTGAGGTCTTTCATGCCTCAGTTTCCACACCTTTAAATTGGGAGTAATACAGCACTACCTTGAAGGGTTGTTAGGCAGATAGGATGAGTCAATACATGCTGATCATTACAAAGAGCCTGGCACCTCCCCTCTCTCTTGCTTCCTCTCCCACCATGTGATCTCTGCACACACTGGTCCCCCGCACCTCCCACCATGAGTGGAAGCGGCCTGGGGCCTCACCAGAAGCCGATGCTGCCACCATGCTTCTTGTACAGCCTGCAGAACCATGAGCCAAATAGAGCTCTTTTCCTTATGAATGACCCAGCCTCAGGTATTCCCTTGCAGCAACAAAAGACAGACTAAGACAGGGGACCTCTTGGTCTTTCAGGCTCCCATAGCCTTTTGTGCTTTTGTGTGCGTGTGTGTGTGTGTGTGTGCACAAATTCTTCCTCTCATAGCTTCCCATTTAGCATAAATGACTTCTCTAACTGTTAAGAAAGTGATTATAGACCCACATATTCATATTCATCCACTCAATACATATTTATTGAGGGAAGACAGTGTGCCAGACACCTTTGAGAGTTCTTAAGGGTTGGAAGAAATCCATAATGGATTTCCTCCCATATACAACTCTGATCCACTGGCATTAGCTGCCGGGAGGGGCTGTGTTGAGGGGGATTCAGAGGCCTTCTCAGAAGTGAAGTCTATGACTAGCAATGCCCTAGAAGAGAAGGCATCCTCTGCTGCTCCCTGCTCCATTCCACTAGCTCCACATGACCCCAGCCCACCTGGGCCCGTCATCAGCACACCACACACACCCCATATGCAGCCTGCACACCAGACCACACCTGCAAAGTAACTGGGAGCCCAGCCTTCAGCAAAGTGTGGCTCCACTACATTCGGGCTCGTGTGTGCCTCTAGGCAGTGCTCACCACTCTCTTCTATCCGTGCAAACTGGGGGCAAGAGATGTGTCTCACAGGACTGTCCTGAGGTTCAGGGGTGACTAACCAGGGCACCCAGCCCGCTCAGGAGCAGCAGCTGATTCCTGACGTGTTTCACCTCCTCGCTGACAAGCAGGTCCTCTTAGCCAGGGTTCCAGAAGAGTCGGCCCCTTCTGGGAAAGTTCCAGGAATTCTTTATCTCTCCACATCTCATTCTGGTCTGTTTCTTCTCAATCTCCAACCGGAACATCCTGAGCTCATCTCGCTTCTAGAGCCTTGAGCTGACCCACATTCCTCTGCTTGCTTTCTCAGCCAGCTTCAGCCCTGACCTTCCAGCTTCTGTTTCCCTGGATGAAATGCCTGCTCCTTCCTCCTGTCCCTCTTTCCCTTTTCTCTTCCTTCCTCCCTCCCTCCGTCCTTCCTTTCCTTTCTCCTTCCTCTCTCCTCCTTCCCACCTCCTTTTTCTCCTCCCTCCCTTCCTCCAAGTTCCACCAGGTGCTGAGGAAATCCTGGGAGTGAGCCAAGTGGTCCCTGCCCCCTCAGCTACAGCCCAGAGGGTTCCAGCAGGTGGACTGAGACCTCACGGTGAGGCCCAGGAACACAGATAGCCAGGCACTGGAGGGTACATGGGAGGGCCTCAAAGCCAGCCAGCTGGAGACACAGAGGGCTGCCCAGAGGAACCTGCACCCAACAACACAAGAGGGAAAAAGAGAGGGTTCCAGGCCGAAGGAACTGTGCATGTAAGGGCTGGAATGTAGCAGGAGCAGGCTGTGTTCAGGGAATAGGAAACAATGCCAGGTTAGCCAGAGAATGGATGGGGAGAGGAGGGGAGCGGGCATGCCTTCAGCGAGGCCACAGGGCAAGCAAGGGTCCCCACACGCCACGTTGGAGAGCTGGGGCTGTATCTTGAGACCCTGAAAGGACACTGCTTGGTTCAAATCCCACTCTACCACTTAGCAGCTCTATGACCTTGGGCGATTTTATTCATTTCTCTTATGATGGGTTTCTTCTTCCATAAAATAGGGTAATAGAGAGTAATGATTGCACTGGGTCATTGTGAAACTAAGTGACATGGTGTCTGGCACACATCAAGCACTAAGTAAGCGTTAGCTTTTCTGCCAACCTGGACAAGGGGGTTACAGTGAATATGAAGAGATGCAGGGGAATTCCAGAAATACTCCGGATCAACACACCCTTCACGCAAACGAGTCTTTCTCGTCTATATCTTAATCAGAACCTCACTCTCTCTACAGCCCATTTCCCTATGGCAAAGGATTGAGTCCTATCCAAGAATCCAAGACTCTGAACTGACCCTGTACCATCACTGACAGGGGATGGTGGAGGGGGTGACTCACTGTGACCATGGGGGACCCAGGCTCTACCTTTGGTGCAACTGAGGATTCATCCTCCAAATATTTATTGTGCTTACCCCTGGTGGCCCTTCCTGTACCAGACCCTGGGAACAAAATGGTGAACCAGACCAACCAATTCCCTCCCTTCGTGCAGAGTCCTTGCTGGCTGGGGAGACAGGAGAGGAATGGATTTAAAACAGGAAAAGGACAGGCATTGAGAGGTGCCGAGAACGAAATTAAAAGGGTGAGGACAGAGTACGGGGGACTCCCTGGCAGGGAGCTCAGAAATGATCTCGGCAGTGACGCCATTGGCTTGAGAATGGGATGTGGGAATGCGCAGGCGCCACTGGCTTGAGACTGGGATGTGGGAATGCGCAGGCGCCACTGGCTTGAGACCGGGATGTGGGAATGCGCAGGCGCCACTGGCTTGAGCCCGGGATGTGGGAATGCGCAGGCGCCACTGGCTTGAGACTGGGATGTGGGAATGCGCAGGCGCCACTGGCTTGAGACTGGGATGTGGGAATGCGCAGGCGCCACTGGCTTGAGCCTGGGATGTGGGAATGCGCAGGCGCCAATGGCTTGAGAATGGGCTGTGGGAATGCATAGGCGCCACTGGTTTGAGACTGGGATATGGGAATGCGCAGGCGCCACTGGCTTGAGCCTGGGATGTGGGAATGCGCAGGCGCCACTGGCTTGAGAATGGGATGTGGGAATGTGCAGGTGCCACTGGCTTGAGAATGGGATGTGGGAATCCGCAGGCCATCCAAAGAGCTGGGAAAGGACATTCCAGGCATCACCAGTGAACGGCCGGGCGCGTGGCTCATGCCGGTAATGCCAGCACTTTGGGAGGCCGAGGCGGGTGGTTCACCTGAGGTCAGGAGTTTGAGACCAGCCTGGCCAACATGGTGAAACTTCGTCTCCACTAAAAATACAAAAATTAGCTGGGCATGGTGGTGCATGCCTGTAATCTCAGCTACTTGGGAGGCTGAGGCAGGGTAATCACTTGAACCTGGGAAGGGGAGGTTGCAGTGAGCTGAGATCACACGACTGCACTCTAGCCTGGGCGACAGAGAAAGACTCTGCCTCAAAAAAAAACAAGCCCAGAGGTGGGAGCGACAAAAGGGAGGTCAATATGTCTGAAGAACTGTGAGCAGGACAGGGGGTAGGAGAGATGGGCGAGCAAGTCCCGCAAGGAGCACAGGCCAGGCAGCAGGATGGAGCTTCACACAGAGGGCGATGGGAAGCTAAGGGCAGGAGGATGGGGCATAAATGAGTCGCAGAGCCAGAATGTGAGCTCTGTGAGGGCAGGACGTGGTTTTCTTCTCTTCTCAGCACCGCAGTGAATTTTGGTAAAGGCCACTCTGACAGTTTGTGCAGAAAAAAACAGAAGGAACAGAGATGGAAAGCCAGGCCCCAAAGAATCCCTGATGACATACTCCTGGGCCTGTCACCTATACATGCCATCCAATACTCAGGCATGATTTCATAAGGAAGGCACGGTGGAGACAGCAGGAGGAACACTGACTTTCAGAAGCTTGATAACTCACATGGACCAGACATCGATTTTGGGGCCGTATTTCTTCCTGGCGAGCAGTTCAGGTGCAGCGTAGGCAGGGCTGCCACACTGTGTGCTGAACGGATCCGAGTAACCCAGGATCCCTGCGCAGTTGCTCAAACCAAAGTCTGCAAAGAGAGGTGAACAAAACAAGCTCCGAATTAGAAAACTGCGGAAATGAAGAGGGAGGAACAAAAGGAAAAATAAAAAGGGCAGCAGGAAAGGAAACATTCTCTCAGGCTAACACATCATTTAGCATCCTAAAGAAAACTGTAGCAGCTGCAAACCATAACGTCTGGATACGAGACTCAAGGCAAAAGAATTCCCTGGCTTAGCTGAGAGCATTTGACATCGGGCCTCACTGTTAAAGCCAGTTAGAGCAAACAGTATGCTGAACTAAAACCTATTTCCATCCAATCTTGTAAATGAGTCATCCAGGAAAAAAAGAGAGAATTCGCTTTCTAGGATGAAGGCAGGAAGAAAGAACAAGCAGAGGGGATTTGAGTTAGCTCCCAAGCTGCCAAGTGGGGAAAAGATGAGGGAAGATTGATTCTCTCTGGCTGCCTGTGTCACCCTCAGTGACATGCAATCCAGCCACTTACAGTTGACTTTTTCAGCTGAATGTTTTCGTTTCATGAAAGTCTTTTAAAAATTCCCCCTAAGTTATGCAGCACATATAGTGACTTGAAGAGGGGAAAAATACACCCAACAGTTTAAACAACCCTGAATGCTGGCTGGAAAAGTAGCACCAGAAAGATGGCAATGCAAACTAGACTAAGCGACCTCATGGCACTGCTTTGTTCCTGGATGATTAAGATGCCCAGGAAGAGGGGGGAGAAAGCCCACTGCATCGAGTGACTTTGGGTCTATTATGCCTTCTGCGCCATGTTTATCTTTTGATCTTAAAGATACTGAAACTGACAGGTAATTAAAGAGCTGTTACTGTTATGCCCTCATCTGAATCTTTCCTTAATCTTTGTTGATCTCAGAATTAAGATCGCAGCTCATCCTTTGAACTTCAATGTAAATATTATGGTCCATCCCCCACAAACAGAAGACTCGGGCTGCAGGGCTCAGGCAGAGACAGGCTTCCAGTCTTGAACAAAACTCTCGCACTTTCTCAATCGGCAGTATTTATGTCCAGTTTCACGAATGTATTCTCACCTCACTCTAACATGTCTCCACCTGCAAGGCACATGACCATTAGGAACGTTGTAGGAAATCTCAGGGAAGGAGAAATACAGTCCAGTCTGTGAAGTTAATTGCACACCATGGATCAAGATGTCACAGCCAAAATGTTTTCCAAAAGTCATTGCGTTAAGCTTTTCTAAAAAGAATCTCATCTAAGCAGAGCTCAGAAAACTCTTGAAGACTCTAAATATCACCCAGACTCTTCAGCCCAAACTATAAGAGGGAATGGCAAGCAAACCAACCAGGCATGCTGCATGTCCAAACACTGAGCTCTTCTTTTGTTTTTTTATGATTCCATATTTCTCCCTTAACCTCCCTCCCCTTCTCCTCCTTGACTCCCTTACTCTTCCCTCCCCAACCCTCCCCCCACACCCCATTTCCTTTCCCATCAACCCAGCCAGACCCATAGACCCCACAAACCCTGTCCCAGATAAGTCCTTCAGGAGTCATGGGTGTGGGACTGTCTCTGGATTCCCACCTTAGGAGGAGATATCAGTTAAAAAGAACCTGAGAAACCCTGTTCTCAGACCCCACCCCTCAGGATCACTGAAACGGGAAGAAAAGGGGGTGAATATTTTTATAAGAAGAAAAATCTGCCGGGGACAGTGGCCCATGCCTGTAATCCCAACACTTTGGGAGGCCAAGGTAGGCAGATCACCTGAGGCCAATAGTTCAAAACCACCCTGGGCAACATGGCGAAACCCTGTCTCTACTAAAAATACAAAATTAGCCAGGCGCGGAGGCGCACACCTGTTGTCCCAGCTACTCGGGAGGCTGAGGCAGGAGAACTGCCTGAACCCAAGAGGCAAAAGTTGCAGTGAGCCAAGACTGCGCCACTGCACTCCAGCCTGGGAGACAGAACGAGACTCCATCTCAAAAAGAAAGGTGGGAGGGACAAGAAAAATAGTATTGTGCTTTAAATTGGAGGGTTGTTTGACGGCTTTCAGTTTGAAAATGAACCTAAAAGAATGTTAATGAACAAACAAATGTGTGAGGAGCACCTACTGTGAGAGACAGCACCATCAAATAAACACAATAATAGCTGGGGAGGCCCAATTTCATCAGAGTCCTGGAAATTGTTATCTCTAAACTTCTGAGATCAAAGCAAAAGACTCTGTTCCTAATCTCAAAGCAGTCCCTTCACAGCAAAGGGCTGCCTCGATCTGTTCACTTCCTCACCACCCTGAGACCTGAGGTCCAGAAAGAAGGACTTGTTCTCAGAAGAGGGCAGAGAGAGAGATAAGAGGCCAGATCACCCTCCACCATCCCAGGCAAGTTTGGGAACAGTCTGGCCTTATCTTGAGCACAGTTTCAAGAAGAAAACTTAGCAGAGGATCTGGGAGGTGGAAGAGAGAGAATCTGCATGTTAAGCAACTTATGTTGATCTAGCCAAAAGGGTTTGATTTAAAATATATTTGTAGAGAAACAACCAGTTTGCTTCACATTCATAATTGAAATTATTAAAACTGTACACATCTGCCTATAATTGGAATTGTGGAACTTGAGAGAAGGCCACCTCCCAGCAATGTCACATGGGTCTGTCTCAATTAGGTTTGGTAAATATATCAACCAACGACGACTCAATTTTCTGAGAGCTACAGAATGAATCTCACAAAACGCCCAAGTGAACCTGTTTTGGAATACTGAAGTGCAAAACTCTCCTAAGTTGCAGCTCTTCCATTTTAAGATTAAACTTACCAGACATCAGACTGCTTTTTTTGAAAGGGAAAAAAAACCTCCTGATTAAATCACATCTTACTCCTGGTAATTCTAGTTAATTTGAAACATGGCTTAAGTAGATTTATTTAAACCAAATTCTTTCAAAGAAAGAGAAACTATTAAGAGGCAATCATAATAGCTATAATCACCTTTGAAAAAAAAAAGTAGGTAATGCCTTTGAAGAAAAGAAGGTTCAAAGAGCTTTCAACTTACAAAAAAGACAGGAGTTGGAAGATCTTTGATCTAAATTGCCCAACCCAGGGGCAAGAAACCTCACAACACACTGGGCCTTCATCTCTCCCTCCATGCCTTCCGGAAATGCGGTTCTTTCTTAACAAAATGCAGTTCCTACCAGCCCTCAGGTGTGGTCTAAGGTCTCTCTCGGGGCAGGTATGAGGTAGGGTTCCTCAGTTTCCACTGCTCAGTAGAGAACTGGCAACCAAATTGGCATCTTTAACAAAGGGAAATCCAATGGTCACTGCCTGCTTTCTAGCAGGTGCGGGCATCCTGCTTTCTGAAGGAGCCGATTTTGTCCCAAATACCTAAAATGTCTTTGTAGTGCCCACCCAGCCATTGCCAGCAGAGAGGTGATGACTCTGAGAGATTTGAATAAAATGGTTCCTGGCACCCAAAGAGTGACCATAACATGCAGCAAGAGGGGAAGGGGTGGGCTCTGATTTAGGTGTATAATTTCCTCACTTGACTGGACAGGTCTCCTCTAAGAGGTTCTATTACTCAACCAATCCGTGAGCTCCTTATAAATGCATCCACCGATTGCAGCAGTGAAATGATTGGTTTTCCTAGAATCCCCTGAGCAAACGTCCAACCAATAAAAAGGTCTGTGCATTTCACCATTGCTTATTCCACAAGATAGTTCTGTCAGTGGTCACCTAGGGCTACCACTTAAGGAGAAAGCAGAGAGACCAAGCACAGAGGAGACAGAGGGGCAAGAGGAAAGGGAAGAAACAGGATGGGCAATGCCCACCTCCTGAGATGTGGAAACTCCGTCTGTACCTTACACGACTCACCAGCCTCAGTCTTTTTGAGACGGAGTCTCGCTCTGTCGCCCAGGCTGGAGTGCAGTGTCACGATCTTGGCTCACTGCAACCTCCACCTCCCAGGTTCAAGCGATTCTCCTGCCTCAGCCTCCTGAGTAGCTGGGATTATAGGCGCACGCTACCACGCCTGGCTACTTTTTGCATTTTTAATAGAGACGGGGGTTTCACATGTTAGTCAGGCTGGTCTTGAACTCCTGACCTTGTGATCCACCCTCCTCGGCCTCCCAAAGTGGGATTACAGGTGTGAGCCACTGCACCTGGCCTATTCTAACTTTTATTGTCATATAAATACTGCTGTTACAAAGTCTGTTCTTTTATAGTCTCTGGTGCTGTTAGGACAACTCTATCACTGTCACCTCCACATTTTCCAAAGAACAGTTACAGGGAACCTAAAACAAAAAACTCCTTTCCTCCATTCCCTACCCCACACCAGGAGGCCCCTTTGTTTAACACTCCAGATCTCGGAAATGAGGACCAGAGAGACTTCCTGCAAGCATTTCAACACGAGTGCCTTGTTTTCCAGCTTCTGCACTTGGCCCCTCAAGACAACTAAAATGCAATAGTAAAACAATTTAACAAAAAGAAAATCAGCCAGGCATGGTGGCTCATGCCTGTAATCCCAGCACTTTGGGAGACCAAGGCGGGCAGATCACCTGAAATCAGGAGTTCGAGACCAGCCTGGCCAACATGGTGAAACCCCATCTCTACTAAAAATACAAAAATTAGCCAGGCGTGGTGCTGGGTGCCTGTAATCCCAGCTACTCGGGAGGCTGAGACAGGAGAATCGCTTGAACCCGGGAGGCAGAGGCTGCAGTGAGCCAAGATTGCACCACTGCACTCCAGCCTGGGCAACAGAGGGAGACTCCATCTCAGGAAAAAAAAAAAAGAGAGAGAGAAAAGAAAAGAAAATCCTTTGAATTATCTAAGAATCTTCTAAGAATAGATTCTTCTAAATGCTTTTGGGGAAAAATTGGTTTCCTCTTCACGATTAACTCTCTAGTAATAAGTGTATCCATCAACACCTATCAGTGGTGTTTAATTATCCAGAGTCTGTGCATCCTCTTGCCCAGTACTGAATTGGGAGCTGACTGTAATCCCAAAATATCTAATAAGTCATTTTAATGATGTGTTTTGGAGAATCTTGTGATGACTTTCAGCATTTGTCAAACAAAAGTTCCTTCTTGGGCATAAAAGTTAAATTCACAAAGTCCTATTGATCCTTCTCTTTTCCCCTCATATAAAGTCTTTTCAAGCCATTGAGGTAAAAGAAATTACTTGCATCTGAGGTGGGAGAAAAAAGAAAAGAGGGGAATAAAAGATGGTGCCATCTAATATCTGGATATAAAAATGATGCCCTGAATTCTGCCCAGAGCGACCACAGAGGGAGAAAATAACAACAACAGAACCACCTGAATTCGTCTAGAAAACGAGTTGTGCAGTGAATTTGCTATGGACCATGAATTATGAACCAATTATGATGCCCCATCTTGTAGCTTCCTTCTGATTGGTTCAGACTTCTAATTATCCCTTTGTGGGGACTTCTCTGCACAGCTCCCATTGTACCAACAAGCCTGAATAAAGATTGTATTAAAAAGAGAAGGTCAATTGCATTCTCCCTTACTTTAGGCATCCCTGCATTCACCAAGAAGTGGAATGAGATATGGCGAAGCTATGGGAAGCATTTCTAAGCCAAACTATCTTTCACTATTTTAAAGAAGTTTTCCAGTTAATCCAAATAAAAATAAATTCTACAAAAGGTCAGCTCCATCTGAATTTATGGAGAAGCTATAGTTTGAATAAGACAAGGAAACACATGACCCATTTTCAAAACCATTATTAAATATTGGAGGTAAAAGAAGATAATCTAGAATATTGTCTGGGTATTAGAGATAGACCATGGATAATTTTCAAAGTTGAGAACTGACAACACAACACTTAAAAGATACTTTTGCTTAAAAAAAAAAAAAAGTCATACCAATCAGCTTGATATTATTGTCTTCATCTAGTAGCAAATTCTCTATCTTCAAGTCTCTGAAATAAACAAAACCACACAGCATTTCAGATAAGCATTCGAAATAATGGAATTACATTTTGCTTCTGAAGGGAAATGAACTGTTTTTAGAGCCACTTCTAACCAACCCATAAAGCTTTCTGCCAAAACTCAATCAACAAGTAAATATTTAAAAGACATGATATATTAATAATTAATTGCTGTAGACTATAAAAGCTGAAGAATTTCAGACATGACAGACAGCAAAGAGGACAGAAGGGATCATGAAAAGTTTCTGGAAAAAGCAAGACCTAAACTGGAACCTGGAAGTTAAGCAGAACCAGGGTGTGGGGAGAGAGGAACACATCACTCAAGATGGCACAGCCTGAGCGGCCAGGCAAATATTTCATATGAATGTGGCCCTGGGTTGGTGACACTATGAGCAACATCAGATTTGGGGAAGCAATTTAAAAAAAAAAAAAAAAAAACAACACATGAGGCCGGGCACGGTGGCTCACGCCTATAATCCCAGCACTTTGGGAGGCCAGGGTGGGCAGATCACCTGAGGTCGCGAGTTCGAGACCAGCCTGACTAACATGGAGAAACCCTGTGTCTACTAAAAATACAAAATCAGCTGGGCATGGCGGCGCATGCCTGTAATTCCAGCAACTCGGGAGGCTGAGGCAGGAGAATCGCTTGTACCCGGGAGGCAGAGGTTGTGGTGAGCCAAGATTGCACCATTGCACTCCAGCCTGGGCAATGAGATCGAAACTCCATCTCAAAAAAAAAAAAAAAAAAAAAAAAAACACATGAAAGCCAACTTAATTGATGAGTCCAGTGACCTCCATGTTTGGAGCCCAAGGGTCATAACAAACTGGCAGGTGATGATAAGTTAATCTATTTAGCAGGCAGATATTATCATGGGCAAAATAATGGACTCCAAAGATGTTGGTGTCCTAATTCCTGCTGTCACACCCGAGAACATGTTAACTTTACAGAGCTCAAGGGAATTAAGTTCCAGATGGAATGAAGATTGCTAATCAGATAATGGGTGATGCCATGCATTGACACTGAGGTGACGGGAGGAGGTGGAAGGGAGAAATGAGCCCAGGGTCATGTTGAGTGTGAGGTGTCTCTGGTGTCTGCGCCTGCGACTGTAAGCTCCTAGAAGGCAGGAAACATGTCTACCCTGCTTCCCATTGCACCCCAGTACTTTTGCACATTCCAGGTACTCAGTAAATACCAATGAATCCAGATTACCGATGAGATCATTTGAGATTTCAGAAGCAGAAGTATTTATGTGGGCAAAGGATGTACTTGGACATCAAAACCATCTAGGTCAATTATTATCAGCTCTGGCATCTTAAATTGTAGCCTGCCAATGCAGGCATACCTTGAATGTTAACTATGTAAAAACACTCTTACACACACGCACACACACAGACACACACAAACACACACATACAAACACACGTTCTCTTCCACCGTTTTTAAACATACCATTCTTGGTCCAGCTTTTATTTTCTCACTTTTGAATAGAGAGATAAGCAAGAGAAATGTTTCTTTTTCCTCTTATCTCTATTGTAGGGAACTGAATGGCGTAATCATGTTAAAACAAAAACGGCAACTGATACACTACGTCAATGTCTGAAACAAAAAGGAGCGATAGCTAGGACTGGCTGTGGCAAACAGGACAGCAGTGCCCCACTTAACGGGGACAGCTACTCACGGCTCGGTCCCAACACTGCCAGCTCACCTCATTCTACAGAAGAAGCCAGAGGTCTGGATTTGATCTCAATTTTTAAATGTTGGCAACAAACTCATATTTAAAACAACCATAACCCCAACCTTGCAGGCTACCAGTTTTCAACCTCAATATGGGCAGATGCTGAAGCCTTGAAAGGACGTGAGATTGTGAAGGTGAGGGCAGAGAAGTGGTGCGGGGGAAAGACCCAACAGGCTGGTGGGGAACACTGGCATTCACAGCAAACTGGGAAAGAACAGTTGCGGGGTGGGCAGGGGTTATGTCAGCCAGGCTGTTGTCACAGGAAGGGCAGGACTACAAGATGGTAAGAATTAAGGAGTCAAATGCAGAAAAAAAGGTGAACTCTAAAAGGTGTCCAACAGATTCAGAGTTGCCAATAGCCTTAAGGCTGGGCACTGGCTGAGAAGGAAGATCCATGTTCAAACTGGGGATATAAACAGACATTCCCCAATCCAATGTGCCCACCAATGGGAAGAAGAATTACATACTTTCCCTTCACTCCAAATGAAACAATACACAGAATACTTCAAAACTGTGTCTGCCTTTTAAAGATATCACGTGTCCAAATATAGGGTGACTCCAAATATACAGTGATATCCTCGCTTTTCCAACAGGAAGACTTTGTCCCTCAGTAAAAGGTTTTTGGAAAACACAAATGTATAATTTTTAGGAATGCAATAGAATTATTAAATGACTGTTGATACTACTTATCTTTGAAGCTGCATCCTCCTATTTAAGACCATACATTAAAAGGTTAACATAGTTAATTTAAGAAATACTGTTTCCACACTGTCACATTTCATGAAACAATTTTATTCAAACTAGTCACAGGCAGAACCAGGATGACTTTTTGAGTCCTTGTGCAGTGGTTCAATGTAACATGATCTTTCAGGTGACTGGATATTTGAGATAAAGTATTTTTAAAATTTGCATATGAGGCACTTGCTGGAAATCTTATCCCAAATCATACACACCCATTTAAAATCTCCATAAATTAACCACTCAGTGAACTGTTTTGAGACTGGTCTCTCAAACTCTCACAATCAAGAGGCCGTATCTCTAGAAGTTATTATTAAAGCCCCATAAATGCTTTTACCTTCCTTCCTACTGGGTTCCTCGAGTGATTTCTAGAGCACCCAAAGTCATCAGTGAGCCAAATAAAGGTTTATGTGTCTTCTCTAACTAGTACTTTGTTATTGAAAATAAAATACTATGATTGAAATTGTGTCCTTATCATATGAGAGACTTGCAAGGACTCTGTAAGGCACTTCTTCTTTTCTGAAGATACTGAAGATGTAATATCAGCCTGACTTCTATTCAGGCATAAACAGTAATTCCGAAACACACACATGCATACACAAAATAGTATGCCAGCAATATCCCAAACTGTGATTCCGTGAACCCTGATTATAAACAGCAGTACTCTCTAAATCTAAAGGAAGGCCACAGTTTGTTTCAAACGAAGTTAAGCCCTCTTTGCCTGGGAAGAATGGAAGCCCCTCTAAGGCATTAAAGGAGAAATTTGGTTCAGAGCAAATACTGTGGGGAAAAACATCCTAAAGAGGCAAGGTAAAAGACAGCAACTGCCAAGAACAATAAAACTAAGTTGGGTAATTCTGGGGCCACAAAAGCCTAGAGAACAACCACAGTGATTAGAAGAATGATATAAACGAAAGACCAAAAATAAGAGAAAATGCAAAAGAAAAAAAAATATCCGCTTTTCAAATCTAGGAAATGTCCTAAAACTAGGGCAGGACATATTAAAAATAATTATTAGGCAAACTGAGAAAAAAATAAAATCAGTTCAAAGTCACTATCTTCCCACCCATAGCATCCCATTATAACCAACTCCCATCCCCTAAGAAAAATGCACAGAATAAACCTGGTTAACCTGGGTTATTTGTCCAGATTTCTAAAAGGTTTCAGTGACAACCAATCCAACTGCTTAAAGGTTCCATGGCTAGTTAATGGGAGGGTGAGCTACTTCTGTCTCTGTCCAAAAGATCAGTGTACTTACCCACGCAAAAGAAAAGAACATTCAATAGCCTTTGGCTTTATTTACTTCCACTTCCTGCTCTGTCCTTTGTAACTTATCCAATAGGAAGAGAGAGAACACTTTCTTCCAGACTTTAGGACAAAAGGCACTAAAATCTCATTTTTTAAAATAGCTTTTACCTAGGTATTTACCTAAATGAGTGGAAAACTTATGGACATAAATGTTTATAGCAGTTTCAATCATTCTTTCCCCAAACTGGAAGCACCCAAGATGTCCTTCAGCAGCAGAATGGATAAACAAACGTTGGCACACCCAAACAATGGCATATTCAGTGATAAAAAGAAATAAGGTTGGGCGCGGTGGCTCACACCCATAATCCCAGCACTTTGGGAAGCTGAGGCGGGTTGATCACCTGAAGTCAGGAGTTCAAGACCAGCCAGGCCAAAATGGTGAAACCCCGTCTCTACTAAAAATACAAAAATTAGCCAGGCGTGGTGGCACACACCTGTAATCCCAGCTACTCGCCTGAACCCGGGAGGCGGAGGTTGCAGTGAGCCAAAATTGTGCCACTGCGCTCCAGCCTAGGGCGACAGAGTGAGACTCCATCTCAAAAAATAAAAAAGAAAAAGAAAAAAGAGATAAGATATTACAGAATATCTTTTTATCTTCAGTGATAAAAACAAATAAGATGAGCCAAAAATGGTGTGATTCACTTGGAAAGACATGGAGGAACGTCAAATGCATGCTTTTAATTGAAAGAAGCTAGTCAGAAATGGCTACATACTGTTTGACTCCAACTGTATGACACTCTGGGAATCTATGGCGATGGTAAAAAGAGCAGTGGCTGCCAGGGGTTGGGGTGTGAGAGGGAAAAAAGGACAGATGAATAGGTGGAGTATAGAGGGGTTTTAGGGTGTTAAAATTATTCTTTATGGTACTGTAGTGGTGTTACATGATACTGTGCATTTATCAAAATCCACAGAACTGGACATCACAGAGTGAACCCTAAGGTAAACTCAGACCTTAGTTAATACGACTGTATCCATGCTGGTTCATCCATTGTAACAAATGTGCCAGGGGAACACAAGATATTCGTAACAGGGAAAATGTGAGTAGGGGGAAGGTATGCGGGAACTCTCATAGTTTCTATGCAAGTCTTCTGTAAATCTGAAACTGCTCTAAAAAACATTGTCTATAGATTTTTGTAAAAGCAGCTTTTGGATACATTTCCCTTTCCTAAGCAATCCACACTAAGAATGGTACAACTACAACCAAGTGCCTCACTCAGGCAGTTCACTGTGGGACATCCTTAGCCCCCTGAAGTTATGTCCCTGAGTCCATTCAGAACAGTGAGCAACCCAGACCCTCTGCTCAGCTACTCAACAGTGATCAAAGAGGACACAAATGATCCAAAGAGGCAGAAAAATTGAGAGACAACTGGAATAAAAAAGGGTGAAAATCAATCATTCTACCCAAAAGACACTACAGCGCTATTCACAACCGCAAAGACACGTAACCAAACTAGGTGCCTATCAAAGGTGGACTGGGTAAAGAAAACGGGGTACATATGTACCATGGAATACCATGCAGCCATAAAAAAGAATGAAATCATGCCCTCTGCAGCAACATGGATGCCGCTCGAAGTCATTATCCTGAGCAAATTAACAAAGAAAAAAAAAATCAAATATTGCATGTTCTTCCTTGTAAGTGGGAGCTGAACATTGGGTACATATGGACACAAAGACAGGAACAACAGATACTGAGAACTACCAGAGAAGGGTGGGAAAGAGGAGGACGAGGGTTGAAAAACTACCCGTTGGGTACTATGCACAGTACCTGGGTGATGGAATCTGTACCCCAAACCTCAGCATCACGCAATATACCCATGTAACAAACCTGCACAGGTACACCCTGAAGCAAAAATAAAAGTTGAAAGTTTTAAAAGGGGTGAATTTCTTCATAAGGTTTCAGTGTTCGTGTATTTTTTTTTTTTTTTTTTTTTGAGGCAGAGTCTCACTCTGTTGCCCAGGCTAGAGTGCAGTGGCGTGATCTCAGCTCACTGCAAGTTCCGCTTCCCGGGTTCATGCCATTCTCCTGCCTCAGCCTCCTGAGTAGCTGGGACTACAGGCGCCCGCCACCGCACCCGGCTAATTTTTTGTATTTTTAGTAGAGACAGGATTTCACCGTGGTCTCGATCTCCTGACCTCGTGATCCGCCCGCCTCAGCCTCCCAAAATGCTGGGATTACAGGAGTGAGCCACCGCGCCCAGCCTCAGTATTCGTGTATTATAATGGACCTTTAAAAAAATTATGAGCAAGCCTATATTATCCAGAATACTGGCTCTATCAGAAAACCTCCTTGTGGTCCATGTGAAAAGCCTGATGTTTACTCTAGCTCCATCCCAAGAGCAAAACATTTGGCTCTGCTAAGTGTGAGACGTGCTTTAAGGGAAGGAAGGTGAAGGGCAGGCTGGTCGGCACATGACGATGCGGTGAGGGAAGTAGAATGCCCACTTCACGTGAATGGTCCTTGATCTGATTAACTTCTTTCATGGAGGGGAGAGGGAAGTGGGAGGATCTTCCTTCAGTCCTGCCGTCTGAAGAGCTCCCCCTGTGGCATATAAACTGGAAATTCAGTGTTAACCTTTTTTTTTTTTTTTTGAGACAGAGTCTTGCTCTGTTCCCCAGGCTGGAGTGCAGTGGCACAATCTCAGCTCACTGCAGCCTCTGCCTCCTGGGTTCAAGCGATTCTCCTGCCTCAGCCTCCCGAGTAGCTGGGATTACAGGCATGCACCATCACACCCAGCTAATTTTTGTGTTTTTAGTAGAGACGGGGTTTCTCCATGTTGGTCAGGCTGGTGTCGAACTCCCAACCTCAGGTGATCCACCTACCTCGGCCTCCCAAAGTGCTAGGATTACAGGCGTGAGCCACTGCGCCCGGCCAATTTGTGTATTTTTAGTAAAGATGGGGTTTCACCATGTTGGCCAGGCTGGTCTTGAACTCCTGACCTCAGGTGATCCTCCCACCTTGGCTTCCCAAAGTGCTGGGATTATAAGCGTGAACCACTGTACCTGGCCCAGTGTTAACTTTTAACTGAGAACAAATGTGAAGGAGAAGAGAATGGCCCTGGGATAGATGGGAAGTTGCTTTTTCTTGGCCAATGGGCCTTCAAAGAGGAGCTAGGAGAAGCAACAAAGGGGTGTGGCTCAAGGCACAGAAGGTAGTGCAGGGCCAGGCATGGTGGCCCACACCTGTAATCCAACCACTTTGGGAAGCTGAGGCAGGTGGATCACCTGAGGTCAGGAGTTCAAGGCCAGCCTGGTCAACATGGTGAAACCCTGTCTCTACTAAAAATAAAAAAATTAGCCAGGTGTGGTGATGGGCGCCTGTAGTCTCAGCTACAGGCTGGAGAGACTGAGGCATGAGCATCGCTTGAACCTGGCAGGTGGAGGTGCAGAGAGCCGAGATTGCACCACTGCACTCCAGCCTGGGGGATTGAGCAAGACTCTGTATCAAAAAAAAAAAAAAAAAAAGGAAGAAGGCAGCGCAGGAGGATGGGTTGGTGAGGACAGTGCTGGGGGTGAGGATGCAGGGGTGCAGGGGATGTCTTAGGAACAACAGGCAACACCGATATACCAACCAGAAGCCACGGTGAAGCAGGAGCAGGGAGCTCAGCAGAGAAGAGGCCACTAGAGAGACAGTGGTGTGGGTTCAGAAGGCTTCAGGACCCTTCTCTGCTCATTAGGCAGTTCCAGGAAGAAATGCTCAAAGGGGACCCATCACAGCAGACAGACCAGATGTTGAGATAAGTGCAGGGTGTTTTTACAGAGATCCGGAAAGGACCTAAGGGGAGAAGACTCCTCCACACCCTCTAGGTATCACCTAATCACAGCCCTTTGTTTGAAGTTCTTTCAAAAGCACAAGCATGCAAACAGGCCATGACTAACCATTCAAGGTTCCCCCACAGCCTACCAAGCAACCCCTTCCCCTCCCCTCCAGCCACCCACCCAGACTCTCCTTGCATCTCTTTCAAGATGGTCAGTTGGAAAGTTCTGAGACTGGCCGCCATAAACTGAGTCACTGCCCTTCAGGACAGAGGGTGCGAGGGAGGAGAGTCAGGGAGGGTCCTGTTGCCATGACAAACATACAGGTGATCCCCCACCCCTGGGGGCAGAAAGGCAGCTGCTCCAACCCTGTGGAGCAAAGAGGCAGACAGGAGCAGTGCTGGGGAAGTGGAAATCAGGAGTGTGTGTGTGTGTTTACGCCCGAGTGTGTAAGTACACATGAGTTTGTGTGGGCACATTGCAAGTGTGAGCACATGTTCATGTGACTATGTGCACGTATGTGCATGCACGTGGGGGAGAGCATGAGTGTACGTGTGTGGGTGTGTGCATGCATGTGCACGCATCCATGGGTGTATGAATGTACACATGTTTGCACATACGTGTTGCATACACACGTGTGAGCTCTGTGTCAGCGTGCACCCTGTGTATATGGCGGTGGGCGCGCGTGTGTGTGTGTGCGCGCGTGCATGCATCACATGCATCCAGGGTTGTGGGATGGGAGAAGGCAGATGGGAGAAGGCAGTCTCTCCCCTGGGCCTCCACAGACCATGCCCAGCCCAGGAGGTCTAGGCTGAGGGGCAGGAACTCAGGAAAGAGCCTGGGGGAGCCGCTCAGGGTTGAGTCCAAAGAACTGAATGGTGTAACACCGAGGCATCAGGAGAGGAGGGAAGGGGAGGAGAGCGTGAGACGTGGCAGAACCAGTGAACACCCCGAGTGAGGAGGCTGAGCAAAGACAGGCAGCCAAGCAAGGGGGCCTGGGGAAGGGAGTAAGGACAGGTGCTGGGGTCTGGCTCTCTCTAATGGACCCGCCAACCCGGCCCGGGCAAGTCATTTAAACTCTCGGAGCTTCTGATTCTCCCCTGGAACCCGACCATCATGAGAAGGGTTACCCAGCAGGGCCACTGGCAGAGGGAGATGCCACAGTGGATTCCCGAGGGCTTTGCGGGCCACTCCATTTACGAGGTGAGAGGCTGGAGGTGAGGATAATAAAGTGAAAGATTCTAAGACAAGGTGAAGAGGAAAGACTCCAGAAAATACTTAAAAGAGGTGATTAATTTGGCCATAAGCAAAGAGTATTGGGGGGCATGCCCCCCAGCCCAATGAAAGGTAAGAGAGAAGGGGCCCAGGGAAGGATAGACCCAACTCAGACAGGATTAAGTTGGATGGAAAAAGTTTTGCCTACAGGGATGGTCACAAGATGGATTTTAATAATAAACTAAGAATAAAGCATCCCAAACTCCCCAAGCACATAACTCCCCAAGGCAACAGGCATTTTGCAGGGAACATGATTTTTTTTTTTTTTTTTTTTTTTGGTTAGGTCTTATCTTCAAAAGCACTGTATTAAAAGCAAATGATGTGCAAATTCTTGATTTATTTACAATATGGGTATTTTGGTAAAATACAAGAATAATGTGTCATCCATGAACCTGATTTATTTATTCAAAATGAAACCTTTATTGAGTTCCCGTAATGTTCCAGAAACAAATTCTGTTTATAAAACTGAAAGACCCATTCACTAGAAAGATGCCACTCTACAAATTGTGACCTAAAAAATAAACACATTGACACTAAGTCAATGAAGAAACTCCTTTGAAATTCCAGGGAGAATATGGACTATTCCAGAACATAGGACTGGCTACCAGAAAGCTTCCATCCCAGTGCAAACTCTGACACTAGCTGTATTCATTCAATTTTCCTTCCTTCATTCAACAAAGTCTTACTGTGTGCCCACTGGGCTGAGCACTGGGCTAAGCTATGGCCTGTGCAGAAGGCAGATAGAGAAAAGTAACCATGGGATACGTGCTCAGAAAGAAAAGTAGAGGGTGCTGAGAGTCTATGGCCAGGGGGCCAAGCCTGGAGGGCTTCCCAGAGAAGGTGAGCCTGGAGCTGGGACCTGAAGGATGAGTAGAATTCAGCCAAAGCCAACAAGGGCAGTGCAAGCAGAGAACAGCTGTGGGACCCTCAGCACGGAGAACTGTGGGTCTCAGCTTCCCGTGGATAAAATGAATGGGCTGGACTGAGTAGTAATTACAGAGAACATGGACTCAGTCCTTACACAGAGTCTCAGTTTTTAGTGCTTTATGCAGATTGACTTATTTAATCCTCACAACAGCCATGTGAAGTGGATAATCCGCTTTCCCTGTTGTGTAGCTGTGGAAAGAGAGGCACAAAAGCCTGAGCGATTTGCCCAGCGCCACTTTCGAGTGGTCAAACCAGCATATGGACAAGGGGGTCAGGCTTTCGCATCAGCACTGCGGACCACTGTACATCCCAATCCATGAAGCTGTTGGGCTGGAGCTTTGCAAGAGCTCACATTTCCAATGCTATTTTTTTAAACCCAATTAAACACAAAACTTTTGCTGTAACTGATGCCTCCAGATATGTGCTTGCTCTCAGCAGAAGGCCCTGGGATTCCACCCAGCTCCTGGATGTGAGCAGAAATCCAAGAAAACCTGAAAGTTAACAGAACTTCTTAACCCCCTAACCAGCACAGGTTGTGCCTGCTTCTTGTCAGGCCCAAAAGAACAAAGAAGGGCCTCCTCTCTTCCACTGCCTTCCTCTTAAGCGCAGAGAGCCCTTTTCTCCATATTGATGAATGGATAAGGTCATGGCCCTGGGAGCCACGGTGTTGACACACATCCGAGCTCAGGCTCGGGCTCCCTTTGATCATGTGTCTCTTTCTCCTGGTCCTGCAGCCCCGTGGCTTTTCTCTTCCTGCTTAGGGATGGTGGTATTGTATTACCCAGTTGTGTTTTATCTGTATAGTTTGATTGGACTTTGTTATTTTGAATGAACACATGAATCTCAAATTAGCCTCTCAGCAGAATCGGCGTTCTTGGTGATTCACGTTAAGAGTTGATGCTCTATATACAATAGGCAAATCATCAGATTTTGGCATCCTGCTCAGTAAGCACGTTTAGGGGAAGGAAAAACAACTCGTTATATTTTAGAGAAGCTTAGACAATTCTAAAATAGAATAATAAAGAAGTTAGAACACACTCTACCTTTGTAAAAATGAACAACAGCCCTAGACACAGAGGCTGTGGCAAGTCCAATCTAATAGGAAGCTCTCTGCCAGCAAAGTGAATCTGCTTTATACATGCTAAGTTTCCTTTGTATTAAAAAAAAAAAACAAAACCTACTTGTCATATTTATTGTTTCTTTTAAATGATGTTTAAATAGTTCTGGAAAGATAAATAAATATTTCCATTTAATGCCACAGGAAATGAGGGCTCTGCTAGCATTAAGTTGATTATGACATAATAACATAATATCAGCCTAATCAGGAACTGCATTTTTAAAGCATCCCCTAACACACACACAAACACACACACACACACAACCAAAAGCCCCTTAAATCACTGTACACATATAGCCACAAAAAATCATCCTGCATCCTTTTGCATCATCCAATGTATTTACTTAGAAATCTTCCCACCAGGGACTCCAGGGCCTCTCTGAAATGCAATACTCTCTTATTCATTTGAAAAATCTAACCTCAAAATAATTTATGAAATTCATTCCACCTTTGCAGCATAAAGGAGAAAATTCTTTATGAGAAAGCGCTCCAGCAAAGAACATACCAGTGGTCAGCTGAAATACGAACACCCAAAATTAGTGGTATAGAGTCTTTGAAAGTCAAGACATTCCGTTAAAGCCACTATGAATATATTCTAAACAAGCATTTTAATGTGAGGTCTCAACCACCTAATCACCTATGTCCGTGTGCGGTGACACACATTAACATGATTTTTAGAGGGAAAAGTGAAAAAAATCTTCCTAAATCGTCCCTGTATCTCCAGTCTTCTCTAACTTTAAAAGATCTGAGCCCTTGCCATTATTGGATTATAAATATATTCCTGAGGAGAGAGAGGCAAAAGTAGAAAAAGCTGGAGATCAGAGAAAGAAAAAGTATACCGTCTTTGCTATCAAAACATTATTAAATTCATTGCTTTGACATTCTGACAGTAATTGCGCTGAGAGGGATTGGATTTTGTTAAAATTACTTTAAAAGGGCTGTTGAGAATTTCCTGCAGGAGAGGCCAGTGCACAAGGCACAGCTTCCACTTGGTTTTCTTTGTTGTTCTCGCGATCCTGAGAAGCTCGGTGCTCATCCTCTTTTTGACAGCACAAAACCCTTGGAAAAAACACCCTGAGTACTACAGAAAGATCTGCCGCTCCCAGTCCCTGGTTCTATTTTCCACTGTGACCTGCGGAGTCGGTGATCCAAGCTGATTCACTTGTGAGGTTTCTGCCTTTGTCATCTTAATAAACAAAGACAGAGCCAGGCACACTTACGACTATCATTTTCCTAATAACAGCAGCGTTATGACACCTCAGGCTACCCAAGGGTATTGTTGGGAAGAGCCAAAAATAGCGTGATTCACTTACCATTTCTGAATGTTCTCTTCCTTGCTAATCTAAGCCCAAAGAGTTCTAATGAAGGGTGATCTCATGACAACATGCATGACTAAGAATACGTATGTGAAGAGGTGCTCTCACCTTGGTGAGGCGGAAATGATTGGCCTGAATGGTGCCTACCCAAGGCTGGCTCTAGAAAAGGCCTGGACAATGGTCCTCCCCTGGGTTTAGACATGAGAGGGCAGAGCATCCCACGGCACCAATCCCGTTAGTAAGGAGGCAGCTCTCTCCACCTTGGAAGTCTAAGTTCTATTAAGTAAAGGCCTGGAGCTGCTTTCATCACTGATCAGAAAATAAATGGCTTTTTTTTTTTTTCCAGACAAGTCTCGCTCTGTTGTCCAGGCTGGAGTGCAGTGGCGTGATCTCGGCTCACTGCAAGCTCTGCCTTCTTGGTTCATGCCATTCTCCTGCCTCAGCCTCCAGAGTAGCTGGCACTACAGGCACCTGCCACCATGCCCAGCTAATTTTTTTGTATTTTTAGTAGAGACGGGGTTTCACTGTGTTAGCCAGGATGGTCTTGATCTCCTGACCTCGTGATCTGCCTGCCTCAGCCTCCCAAAGTGCTGGAATTGCAGGCGTGAGCACTGCGCCCGGCCTGAAAATAAATGGCTTTCATGGCTGGGCACGGCGGCTCACACCTGTAATCCCAGCACTTTGGGTGTGGCTGAGGAGGGTGGATCATTTGAGGTCAGGAGTTTGAGACCAGCCTGGGCAACATGGTGAAACCCCATCTCTACTAAAAATACAAAAAATAGTTAGGCATGATGGCACGTGCCTGTAATCCCAGCAACTTGGGAAGCTGAGGCAGTAGAATCTCTTGAACCCGGAAGGCGGAAGTTGCAGTGAGCCGAGATTGTGCCACTGCACTCCAGTCTGGGCGACAGAGTGAGACTCCATCTCAAAAAAACAAAAAACAAAAAAGAAATAAAGAAATAAGAAAGAAAAAAGAAAGAGAGAGAGAGAAAGAAAGAAAGGAAGAAAGAAAGAAAAAGGAAAGAAAGAAAGAATAATGGCCTTCAAATAGAGCTAGATTATCATTATTAAAATTAAAATTAGATTTATCATTAAATGTTGAATTTTTTTAAAATATATATTTCCTCAAAAGGATAAAGAAAGCTGACATATGACCCAGCAATTCCACTCCTAAGAGTGGAGTTTTCTGAGAAGTGAAAACAGCGCTCATAGCAGTATTACTAGCCAAAGTGTGGGAACAACTCAAATGGATCAGCCAATTGTGGTATATCCATACATGGAGTATTATGCAGTCATAAAAAGGAAGGAGACACTGACACATGCTATAACTTAGACAAACCTGAAAAACATAATGCTACATGACAGAAAGCAATCACAAAAGACCGGGTATTATATAATTCCATTTATATGAAATGGCCAGAATAGGCAAATCCATAGACACGGAAAGTAAATTAGTAGTTGCCAGGGCTGGGGGAAGAGGGAAATGGGGAGTGACTGGTAATGGGTACAGGGTTTCTTTTGCGGGGGGTAATAAAAATATTCTAAAATTAGAAGGTGGTGATGGTTGCACAACTCTGTGAATACACTAAAAAACACTAGATTATACACTTTTAAATGGTGACTTTTATAGTATATAAATTTATTAATTTAAAAATATTTAAACATACATGTGCACACGTGTGTGCATGTTTATATATATACACACACATAAATATGTCATGCCTCAATCTTGCTTTTTAAAATAAGCACCAATTAAAAATGATTTCTATGCCGGGCGTGGTGGCTCACGCCTGTAATCCCAGCACTTCGGGAGGCCGAGGAGGGCGGATCACCTGAGGTCAGGAGTTCAAGACCAGCCTGACCAACATGGAGAAAGCCCATCTCTACTAAAAATAAAAAATTAGCCGGGCGTTGTGGCACATGCCTGTAATCCCAGCTACTAGGGTGGGTGACACAGGAGAATTGCTTGAACCTGGGAAGTGGTTGCAGTGAGCCAAGATTGCGCCATTGCACTCCAGCCTGGGCGACAAAGCGAGACTCAGTCTCAAAAAAAAAAAAAAATATTTCTGGTTGTTCTCAATAACCCAGAGTAATTATTGATCATAATTCCACAAAGGAAGAACCATGCATTTATTGGTGAAGCCAACACTCCCTTGGAGGAAAAGAGGGAGCTTTTATTTCTTTAAATTTGTTTGATTTTATTTTCATACAGTACTAAAAGCAGGCACCCACTACCAATGGCAACATTGCCAAGAACGCTGTTTCCATTCACTTTCTTTGTAGAGCCCCTTCCTAGGAAACAACAGGATATTAAAAACAAGCTTGATTTTCCTAACTATTTGCAAGACTGGTTTGGTTTGTGGAAAACACTCCTTGATTTCAAGGGCAAGTTCAAAATTCGAATGGTGATTCAATTTCATTGAATAAAACTGCTATTGAGTGTCTACTATGTGTAAAGCAAAGACAATGAAAGCACCATCATCCCTAGCACGAATCTCATGCCATTTTAACACTGGCTCTTTCAGGCACCTAAACAACTGGTCTCATGACTATGCAAACAAGAAGAAAAGCAGCTAACACTTACCTGATACCTACTAGGTAACAAACACTGTCCCAAGCTCTTCCCATATATTAACTCATTGACCTTTACTCCAACTGAGAGAGAAGTGTTATTATTATTCCCATTTTACAGATTAAGAGACCAAGGCTCAGAGAGGTTAAGTAACTTGCCCAGGGTCACATAACTGTTACAGGGCAGAGCCAGGTTGCAAGCCCAGTCACTCTGGCTTCAGATTCTACTCTTTTAACCCTCACACTGGCATTAACCCAATTCACAAAACAATTCCATGGAATAAAAATACAGAAAAATTCCCAGCCTGGCCAACATGGTGAAACCCCGTCTCTACTAAAAATACAACAAAGTTAGCCAGGCATTGTGGCAGGTGCCTGTAATCCCAGCTACTTGGGTGGCTGAGGCAGGAAAATCGCTTGAACCCACAAGGCGGAGGTTGCAGTGAGCCATGACTGCGCCATTGCACTCCAGCCTGGGCAACAAGAACAAAACTCCGTCTCAAAAAAATAAACAAATAAATAAAATTAAAATATAGACAAATTGTAAAACAGGCTGCAATTGCTCAGCCTTTCTCAGAGGCTCAGAGGGTGCCACAGCCCAGTGCCACCCACGGAGCACACAGTCAGCGATCACCAGCGTGGCCTGGCCCTTACCTGTGGACCACCCCGGCCCGGTGCAGGTGCTCTACGGCAGAGATGAGCTGTCGGATGTATCTGCGGGCTTCGGACTCCTCCAGCCGCTTCTTCTCATAGATCTTGTGCATCAGGTTGCCCCCAGGGCACAGCTCCATGACCAGGTAGTAGCTGTTTTCCGTTTCTAAAATATCAAGGAGCTGAGTGATATTGGGGTGGCGGATCATCTGCTGGATCTGACCCTCTCGCCGCAGGTTTTTGGTGACATAGGTGTCCTTTTTGGCTCTCTTCTTATCAATGACTTTTATGGCCACCTAAGGAGAAAACAAGAACATGCCTGTTATCAGACATTACAGACAATAGCGATGCCTTGGCTACTCACAGGAACCCAAGAAAAATGCTAGCTATGTCTCTGCAGAGGAGAAACACCTTACCTAAAACAGCATCAACAGAAAATATATATATACACATTTATATTTATGCATATACCACACAAACACACACACACACACACATATAGGTACAACATTAGGAAAAATCAAAAGGTCCAATTATTAAGGAAGACAATGGAATTTACCTAAGAAAACCTGAATGGCTGTCTGGAAGGCACAGTGCAGGATTAATGTCAAATTTATTTTTCTACAGGATGGGAAGATGAAATAACAATTTCTCTTCCAGCAAAGGGCTTGTCCCAGTCCCCCTCAGGACTCACCATCATCTCCCTCCAGGTCTGAGGACCCCCAGCCACTTCAGAAACAGCTAAATCTTCCCCCAATCTTAGTTCCAAGGCATGGTTGGGGGACACTGCCCAAAGATGCAGCACCCCTAGCCTTGCCCGCCCCCGCTCCGCCCTGCCCTGTGCACACCCTCAAGCCTCAGGGTCTACCTCCTTCCCTTGATGAATTGCCTCCTAGGGAAACTTGGCCCCCACTGTCAGGACCCAACCTTTGTTGTTACTCAGGATCACATTTCTACTACCCTCAGGAAGCTCCTCCTGGGCCATTGCCCCTACAATCAACTTGTCATAAGAGGTACGGTGGGAGGGAGGGAAGAACAGAAGGAAGGATGGAGGAACAGAGGGAAGGGAAGATTGTCTATTCCACCCAAATCCGCATCTGTCCCCAGTCCTCTTTCCTTTAGGGGAAGTCACCTCTCCATTGTATTCACCCTTTTCCTTCCCTTCCCTCCCTCCCTCCCTCCCTCCCTCGCTTCCTTCCTTCCTTCCTTCTTTCCTTCCTTCCTTCCTCCCTCCCTTCCTCCCTCCTTCCCTCTCTCCCTCCCCTTCCTCTTTCCTTCCTTCCTTTCTTTCTTCTTCTATCTCTCTCTTTTTCTCTTTCTTTCCTTCTTGACAGAGTCTCTCTGTTGCCCAGGCTGGAGTACATGGTGCAATCATGGCTCACTGAAGCCTCAAACTCCTGGGCTTAAGTGATCCTCCCACCTCAGCCTCCCAGGAGCTGGGACTATAAGCACACACCACCACGGCTGGCTAATTTTTTTCTTTTTGTAGAGACCGATCTCCCCATGTGGCCCAGGCTGGTCTTGAACTCCTGGCTTCCAGTGATTCTCCTTGTCAGCCTCCCAAAGCACCGGCGTCAAAGGCGTGAGTCACCACGCCGGCTGCCCTGTTCCTTCTTTTTTCTTCACTCCCCTCTCTAATGTGATCAGCCACTGACGTCAACACATGATGTCAATGTCTTCTTCCAGCTGTCTCGCCACCTGTCCTTCCTCTCTGTTCCCCTACACCACCCGCCTGGTTCATTCCAACCACTGCCCCAGTGCCCAGATGCCCTGTCATGAACTGAGACATGAGCATCCCAGGAACACCTTCATACACAGCTATGGAGCCTCCGGGTGCAGGATGAAGTCAGTGGACCTTCCATTTCTTGTTATTTCTCTTTTTTGTAATTACATTTTGTACCTGTTTCACAACGCACTCAATATGCATTATATGCAATATGCCATACACAGAGGTACAAGTACAGAAATAAATAATAAGTAAATAAATACAGATGAATACATGTTTTCAGTGAGGGGCTCAAATATTATTTTGTGGACATAGTTCATGATAAAGAAAAAAACAGAAGTCTGAGATCCAATGTACAGCATGGTGACCAGGCTTAACAATAATGTATTGCACACTTGAAAACTGCTAAGAGGCCGGGCGTGGTGGCTCGTGCCTGTAATCCCAACACTTTGGGAGGCCGAGGAGGGTGAATTACTTGAGGTCAGGAGTTCAAGACCAGCCCGGCCAACATGGTGAAACCCTGTCTCTACTAAAAACACAAAAATTAGATGGGCGTGGTGGTGGATGCCTGGAATCCCAGCTACTCGGGAGGCTTAGGCAGGAGAATCGCTTGAACCCAGGAGGTAGAAGTTGCAGTGAGCCAAGATTGTGCCATTGCACTCCAGACTGGGCAACAAGAACAAAACTCCGTCTCAAAAAAAAAGAAAGAAAACTGCTAAGAGGCTGGGCACGGTGGCTTGTGCCTGTAATCCCAGCACTTTGGGAGGCCAAGGCGGGTGGATCACTTGAGGTCAGGGGTTCGAGACCAGTCTGGCCAACATGGCGAAACCCTGTCTCTACTAAAAATATAAAAATTAGCTGGGTGTGGTGGTGGACGCCTGGAATCCCAGCTACTCAGGAGGCTGAGGCAGGAGAATCGCTTGAACCTGGGAGGTAGAGGTTGCAGTGAGCAGAGATTGTGCCATTGCACTCCAGCCTGGGCAACAAGAACAAAACTCCATCTCAAAAAAAAAGAAAGAAAATTGCTGAGAGATTTTTTAATGTTCTCAAGACACACACAAAACTGATAACCCTGTCAGGTAATGGACATGTCCATGAGCTTGACCATGGTAACCATTTCACAACATGCTCACTTATCATAACCTGCATACTATAAGCACACGCGGTTATCTGTCAGTTAAACCTCAATAAAGCTGAAGAAAACCTTAAAAAACAAAAAGAAAACAAAAAAGGGAAAAAGTCCAAACTAAAGGCAAACTTTAAATTAAACAAAATAGTGAACGAATCAATAAAAGTCTGGCCACCCCCAGGGTGAACTAAGGCATGGATGTCACCTCTTCTTGAGGCTCCTCCTGGCCTCTTGAATTCATTCTACACTCTGCCTCCAAATCAGTGGGTCTAGAACTCTGATTTCTTGCAGAAGCTCTTGAGGTCTCACTGCTGCCTATGGGAGCACCCAAGCATCTTCTCCATCAGCCCCACCACCACCCGGTCCCAACTCCTCCCAGCTCTCCCTCCTGGCATGTCTTGTCACTCCCTGGGACATGCATTCTATCACTCTCCAGGTACTCCAGCCACCCCCTTCCCCCACTCAAGCCCCCAACCCCAGGTCCTTCAGAGGCTAACCTCCCTACCAGAGAGACTCCCCCGCACCTTCCTTCCCTACGTCCCTATACAACAGCATCTGCAGTAAGATGTAAGTCATGGCTTAATGCAGGGACCACTCCCCCTTCACGACACACAGCGCTTCATAAACAGCAAGTGACTAATAGTGACTAACCAATGGAATCACCAAAGCAAAGATGGCTATAAACAGCATAATGTATTATCTCCTCTATAGAGCAGTGTCTCCTTCTTTTTTTTTTTTTTTTTTTTTTTTTTTTGAGATGGAATCTCGCTCTGTGGCCCAGGCTGGAATGCAGTGGCACAATCTTGGCGGCTCCCTGCAACCTCTGCCTCCCGGGTTCAAGCAATTCTCCTGCCTCAGCCTCCTGAGTAGCTGGGATTACAGGCACCCGCCACCACATCCAGCTAATTTTTGTATTTTTAGTAGAGACAGGGTTTGGCCATGTTGGCCAGGCTAGTCTCAAACTCCTGGCCTCAAGTGATCCGCCCACCTTGGCCTCCCCAAGTGCGGGGATTATAGGAATGAGCCACCGTGCCCAGCCCAGAGTCTCATTTTAATAGGGAGGTTCAGGCCCTTAATCCAAAGATGGGAGTAACAAAGAGTCAATCAGCCCCCAAGGGGACCAGACAGGCTAGAAGAGCCCCTGCCATCCACACCTCACAGCATGGGGCCTGCACTACCTCAAGTCAGCTCGGGCTGATGCTCTCAGCCCCCAGGAGGTAAAGTTACACTCTGGCTGTGTCTGGCCCCAAGTAGTTCAAGGGATGCTAAACTAACAGCTTTGTTAACTGTTACCCTCCAAAAACACATAGACACACACATATTTCATATCCATCCTCTTGGGGAGGTGGAGAAAAAAGAATGCTGAAAAGTACAATTAGGCATTGTCTTTGCTCCACTCCGTGTGGCAGTATCTAAAAAATTACACCCTCTGGCAATGAAATTCTTACAAGTACTGTAAACAAACAAGTCTAAAGGCCCAGCAGTAATACAATCTGCCTTTTTAACAGAGTACACAATTATAGTTAAGATACCTTATTGAGTTCTTCAATTGCCTGTACCAGGTTGAATAATGGCCTAATCTCTGGATCATGTGACTTTATTTGGAAAAAGGGTCTTTGCAGAAGTTATTAAGTGAAGAATTCTGAGATGAGATTAGCCTAGATTACCTGGGTAGGCCCTAAATGTCCTCATAAGTGTCCTTATAAAATAGAGAAAGAAGGAGTTTTCACACAAATAAGCAGAGGGGGCAGCCACAGGAGGAAGGAGGCAGACATTGGGGTGAGGGGCGACAAGCCAAGGAATGTTGGCTGCCACTGGAAGCCAGAAGAGGCAGGGAAGGATCCTCCCCTAGAGTCTCTGGAGGGAGCGTGGCCCTGCCAATACTTTTTAAGACTTCTGGCCTCCAGAACTGTGAGAGAATCAATTTGTTACTTTAAGCCACCAGAGTGGTAATTTGTTATAGCAGCCACAAGGAACAAATAGCTTCCCTGAAAATATAAGGAATCTATCTGATGCCCTTTGGGACGCATTTCCAGGCATGGAGAGACCCTCCTTGGCAGTGGGGAATGACGCCACCTTTCACCGGCAGCCTCTCTCTCCTCCTCACTCTAGCCCTTCAGCGTAGTCTCAGGAGCCTCTGACAATTCCTCATTGACTCCACCGTCCCCTCTGCTCCCGCACGTCCATGAGACCCACGGAGAGCAGAGTCTTCACGAACTCCCTCTCAGGCTCCACTCCCAGGGCTGAACCAGCCCATATCAGGGTTTTGCACCTCCATGAGCTATGTCAAAATAGGACCCTATGAAGCTCCACAATTGGTTAGCAAGTGTCTACACTGCAGACCACTCTGAACAGAAAGGACAGCCCAGGTGGCTCTTTCCATGAATCTAGACCTCATTATCACAGCCGTACGATTACAGTCATCCTAACAATTGGTGTTGGTTCCCACATGCCAGGCTTAAGGGTGCATGCTAGGCTTTTCTTTAGGCAGTTCTTCCTGTACCTTCCAACTTCTGTGCAAATGCAGTATTTCCAAGCATTTCTCCCCACTCTCTCACTTCTTGCTCTTTCTCTAGCCCATCCTCCTCCCTTTCCTGAAGGTGAAAGGACAAGGCAATGAGGTGATCTATGGTGCTGGGGAAATACCCCCTGGAAACCCCATCCAGCCCCTCATCCTCATACCACTCATTCCAGCCCCTCCTCCTCATACCGCTCAGTCCAGCCCCTCAACCTCATACCGCTCAGTCCAGCCCCTCCTCCTCATACCGCTCAGTCCAGCCCCTCATCCTCATACCGCTCAGTCCAGCCCCTCCTCCTCATACCGCTCAGTCCAGCCCCTCATCCTCATACCGCTCAGTCCAGCCCCTCCTCCTCATACCGCTCAGTCCAGCCCCTCCTCCTCATACCGCTCAGTCCAGCCCCTCCTCCTCATACCGCTCAGTCCAGCCCCTCAACCTCATACCACTCAGTCCAGCCCAGGCCTTGGGCCGTCGTACCAAGGCCTTCCGTGAAGCAGGCCCAGTGTGGTAAGTCGAAAAATGGCCTCCCAAAGATAGGCCCACATCCTAATCCCTGGAACCTGAAAATGTCATCTTTAGGGGGATGGGACTCTGCAGACATGATGAAGTTAATGGTCTTCAGATGGGGAGGCTGTCCTGGATTAACTGGGTGAGTCCTAAATGCCATCAAAAATGTCTTTAAAAGACGGAGGGGATCAGATGGACAAGCAGAGAAGAAAGCAAAGTGAAGACGGAGACAAGAGAATAACATGGCCACAAGCCCAGGAGATGCCCATGGCAGCCACCAGGGGCTGGGAGAAGAAGCAAAGTCCAAGTCTCCCCTTAGGTCTCTGGAGGAAGCGTGGCCCTACTGACACCTTGATCTCCAATGAGACTGATTTTGGACTTCCAGCCTCCAGACTGTGAGGGAATCACTTTCTGTTGTTTTAAGCCACCAAGTTTGTGGTCATTTGTTACAGCAGCTGCAGGAAACTAACACCCCTGGTGTGTGCCCTACCATCATCTGACACCTTGATTCCCAAGTTCTGCCATCAAGGTTCCCTCCATGAAAACCCTGAGCCCTTAAGCTACCTCACCTTGGAGAAGGTTTCCTATTAAGCTCCCTCTCAATTTTCAAATACCAGCTCATTATCAGCTTGTTTTCATCCACCCCCTGACTTACAAGCTCCATACTTACAAGTTGATAATACTGAAATGGAATGCCGTTCTTGATTACACAAAACCATTTAATCGACTTCATCTATAACAACTGAAATGGGGAAAAAAAATGAATGGGAAATTAAGGAAAAGTCAATCAGTGATCAGCAAAGGGAGACATCTAATTCAATTTGACAGTAATCAGAGGTTTGCAGGCAAAACAAAGCTAACACTGACTCTAACTGGGTAAAGCCTAATGCAATAATGGATCTCTAGCTGCAAAATAAACTACTTGAGTCGGGGGAGTTTTACAGAGTGAAATTAAATCTTTGCTATCAAATGGCAGTAAAATAAGCAAGTTTAGCATGTTCCAGGCAACAGGAGTGATAGCACCACACCAATCAATGGCTCTTACCAACGCTGCAGGTTCCCCGATTCACTTAAGGATGAGGCCCCCAGCCAATGCCGCCAGGGAACTCCCAATTCAGTCCAGGGGTGTGTGTGTGTGTGTGTGTGTGTGTGTGTGTGTGTGTGTGTGTGTGTGTGTGTGTGTGTGTATGTTTGGGAATGGGAGTTTCAGGAGGGTATCTAAGCCTGGATGTCATCATGAGCACAAGAAAAACAACTTTCTGTCAAAGATCAGTAAAACCGAGACTCATCAACAGATCCAAGTTGCAAGCCTTTTCAAAATTTTACAAAGGAATCAGTTTTCCAAAGATTTCCCCCATATTTCCAAGAAGATTAGTAGCAAAGTCCTGCAGTGGTGGAAAATTAGTAGAAAGAGAAGAGCACAGTTCCAATATATGACAGTTGAAAGAGATTATTCATCAACTTCTTTTATTAATTAAGAAATAGCAGCTTGTGCAACATGGCGAAACCTCATCTCACAAAAATTAACCAGGCGTGGTGGCTCGTGCCAGTAGTCCCAGCTGCTCGGGAGGCTGAGGTGAGAGGATCGCTTGAGTCTGGGAGTTCCAGGCTGTAGTGACCTATGATCTCACCACTGCACTCAAGCCTGGGCGACAGAGTGAGACCCTGTCTCAGAAAAAGGAAAAACAGAAAGCATTTCTCACAACACGGTAACTCCACCCTCCTCCTTCCCTGCCAAACAAACACCACCAATCAATGATGATGGATAAAATCAGCAAACCACTTTTAAATAAATAGCTAAGCTCATAAGAAAGCAATGGAAATCCCCCAAGGCCAAAAAATCACTAGCAGCAGCTACAGAGATAACGAAATACAAGATGCAGGAGAGACAGAAAGAGAGGAAACCCGGCCGGGTGTGGTGGCTCACACCTGTCACCCCAGCACTTTGGGAGGCTGAGGCTGGTGATAACTTGAGGTCAGGAGTTTGAGACCAGCCTGGGCAACATGGTGAAACCCCATCTCTACTAAAAATACAAAAATTATCTGGGCGTGGTGGTGCATGCCTGTAGTCCCAGCTACTTGGGAGGCTGAGGCAGGAGAATCACTTGAACCTGGGAGGCAGAGCCTGCAGTGAGCCAAGAAAGCTCCATTGCACTCCAGCCTGGGTGACAGAGCAAGACTCCATCTCAGAAAAAAAAAAAAAGAAAGAGAGAGGAAACCTTAAGGAAGGAGAGGAAGAGGAGGAAGAGTTTGCCCTGCACGAAAGGGAAGCACTGCTCTCCCCAACACAGGACAGGAGGAAGAGGCCATGTGTGTGGATCCCAACCCATCAGGAGAGAGGTCACTTGCTGACTGCCGAGGAATCCATGCTTGACGGCCTTTGTTAGGTATTAGGAGAAAAAAATCCAATGTAGAATTTTACTTAGAATAAGGGATGCTCAAAATCACCCAGGCCCAGTAATGCACCCGGTAATGACACACACTTCCATCTACCAATAGTCCCTAAGATAATGTACATAAAGAAAGCACTTAGGGCCGGGCGCAATGGCTCACACCTGTAATCCCAGCACTTTGGGAGGCCGAGGCGGGCGGATAACGAGGCCAGCAGATCGAGACCATCCTGGCTAACATGGTGAAACCCCGTCTCTACTAAAAATACAAAAAATTAGCCGGGTATGGTGGTGGGTGCCTGTAGTCCCAGCTACTCGGGAGGCTGAGGCAGGAGAATGGCATGAACCCGGGAGGCGGAGCTTGCAGTGAGCTGAGATCGCGCCGCTGCACTCCAGCCTGGGCGACAGAGCGAGACTCCGTCTCAAAAAAAAAAAAAAAAAAAAAAAAAGAAAGCACTTAGTACAATGTCTGGCACATACGAAGTGCTCCTTAAATTGATGCTGTTATTATCATTACCAATTTACTTTCAATGAATCAACCCGTAGAGAGGGTGAATAAGCATTCAAGCTCAGTTCAGCTAAGGAAAACAATATGCATTTCCTTGACCGGTGGCTTCAGCATATTAAAAAAGAAGGCTGAACTCTATCTCAGGGTTTTCAACTCTCTGGAATAGAGTAGCTTTTAAATCCCAAGGCAGTGACTTCCTATCAGGCGAGTCTCTCATCTTCTTTAAATATTGACTTAGCTGAGACTGTCTACATAGGATCAGAGTTAACAGGATTTTAAATTCATCCCTTCCTCCTGTATCACCCTTCACTGCCTTTAAAATTCATTACTCTGAAACACATCAAGTATTGATGTATCCAATCTCCAAAATGAGAAGTCAGATGTAAAATGGATCTTCTGTACAACTGAGAGGAAGAAAAAAAATATACTGATCAAAGAGACTCCTCTTTAATATCGCAGAAATATACATATGTGTTTTACACATTATACAATGTGCTGTATTTTAGAAAGTTCATAGCCTTTCCTTAATCAAAGCACTTTTACACCATGTTTTAAATAATCAAAATGCACAGGGAATGGGAAGCCCTGATCAACTGAGTTTTCTTTTCATATGGAAATTATCCCCAAAAAAGCTTTCTTCCCAGAACACTTTGGTTTCTTAATGAATACTGTATACTAAACTCAAATGAATCTTTCCTTCTTCAACAAACATTTATTAAACACCTAAAATATACCTGCCAGGGTTCTAGGTATAAGTGTATGCAGGTTGAACATCTCTAATCTCTAACCTGAAAACCCAAAATCCAACATGTTCCAAAATCTGAAACTTGTTAAGCATCAACACGACACCTGTAGAAAATGGTCACTGGAGTATTTGGAATGAAGGGTGCTCCACTGGATACTAAGCAAATATAAAAAAAAAAAAAAAAATCCCAAATCTAAAACACTTCTGGTCCCAAGCAGATAAGAGATAATTAACCTGTACTATAAAAGAGTCCTGGATCTTTAGGACCATTTGTCGGGGAGGGGAGGATAATTCAGATTCTTTGTCATGGTTCAAGATTGCCATCTGCAATAGACTGAATTGCGTATGTTGAAGCCCTAACCCCCAACGTGACTGTATTTAAAGAGAGAGACTTTAAAGAGGTTATTAACGTTAAATGAGGTCATTAGAGTGGGGCTCTAATCCAGTAGGACCGATGTCCTTATAAGAAGGAGAAGAGACACCAGAACTCTCTCTGTCTCTGAGCCTGCACAGAAAGGTCATGTGAGGACACAGAGAGAAGGCAGTCATCTAGAAGCCAAGGGGAGAGCCTTGGGAGAAACCAACCCCGCTGGCACCTTGATCTCAGACTTCCAGACTCCAGGACTGTGAAACATGAATTTCTGTTGTTTTAAGCCACCCACTCCATGGTATTTTGTTGTGGCAGCCTGAGCAGGCTAATAGACCATCTGAGCATCCTACAATTCTACGGGATTCCCTGCAGAAGAGTAAAAATGTAAGAACAAAGGGCTAGCATTCATTCACTGCGGGCTAGGGCCGGGTCTTTTTTTTTTTTTTTTTTTTTTTTTTTTTGAGACAGAGTTTCACTCTTGTTGCCCAGGCTGGAGTACAATGGCAAGATCTCAGCTCACTGCAATCTCCACCTCCTGGGTTCAAGCGATTCTCCTGCCTCAGCCTTCCCGAGTAGCTGAGATTACAGGAATGAGCCACCATGCCCGGCTAATTTTGTATTTTTAGTAGAGACGGGGTTTCTCCATGTTGGTCAGGCTGGTCTTGAACTCCTGACCACAGGTGATCCGCCCGCCTTGGCCTCCCAAAGTGCTGGGATTACAGGCATGAGCCACTGCGCCCGGCCTAGGGCCAGGTCTTACAGTTCCTCTTCCACTCTCCTCCTGCCTTCCCCAGTCTGGGGACGTCACAGCAACAGCAGCTGGGCACACAGCCTCTGAAGCTGCAAACCCTGGCTCTGAGAGCATTCATCAGAGTCCTCAATAAGTGGTGGTCAGTAGGCTCTGCGTGTTTGGTTCAGAGGAGTGGGTAGACACGGAAGCCCAGACAGCCCCTGCCCCGGACTGCCACTCCCACTACTCCCTGTGACTACCTCACCAGGGTCCCTGGCACCCGGAGGCTACTCTCCCTGCTGACCTCTCACACCCTGCTTGCCCTCCCAGGTCCCACACCTCCTGCTTCTCCCCCAGTAGCCTCCCTGAGGTTCTATCCCAGGCCTTCCTCTGCTGGGGAGGCACGCGTCCACCCCTCCACTTCCAGCACGCTCATGACTGTCCATCTGCCCATGAGTGCCAATGCCTGTCCTGCTCACACCTCTTCCTGAGCTCTGACGTGCCTCTGGCCATCTCCACCTGGATAATCTGTGGGCCTCCGAGCCTGTCACCTCCCCCGGCCCCAACTCCTCTCTGGGGCTCCCAGCTCAGCCTACAGTAACCATCCACAGGTGGCCCTACTGTAACATCCTCCTCCAGCCACCCTGCCCCTATTCCCACACCTCATTCATCACCAAGAGTCTGTCACCTCCACCTTGGACAATTTCCCTCCCCTTCCCCTTCCTTCCTGTACTCCCCTGCTGCAGCCCCACCATCATCCCTCGGGCAGAGTTGGGCCTCCCTGCTAATCTCTCTGCCTCCTGTCTCCCACTCCCACCCAGCCCAGCCTGGAATTCCCTCCCACACACTCTTGGCCAGGTCAACCCCAATTCCCACCCGCCACTGGCCTCAGGTTACAGTTTGCTTCCCCATCCAGACTGGCTGGGGTCACTCCGGGCCTCTCCAGCTGTCACACCCATCACACACACGCTTAGCTGCTATGATACCCTCCACTGTACTTTCCATGAAAGTAGGAATGGTGTCTGACCTCCCAGCACCCTAGGACAGTGCTGGGCTCATGGGAGCAAGGGAAAGAGGGAATCAATGAATAAATGAATGCATGTGTGGAAAATCCCACCAGGGCACTACAGGAGGCCAGTATAAGTTCTTGGCCATCTCTACTACTGCCTTGGGAAATCCCACGACTTCAGCCCTCAGATTTCCCAATTACAATGTAGGCAGACCAGTGCCTTCCCTTCAAACATTAAAATCATTTAAATCAAATATGAGTGCTATCTGTGGACACCGTTTCAGCTTGTGTGCGATCGTGATGCAGAGTCGACAGACCTCTGTGTGAGAAATGTCCCCCAGGCAGATGGCTTGAGCCCAGGAGTTCCAAACCAGTCTGGGCCACACAGTGAAACCCCGTCTCTACCAAACAAATACAAAAACTTAGCCAGCTGTGGTGGTGCAGGCCTGTGTTCCCAGCTCCTTGAGAGGCTGACGTGGGAAAAGGGCTTGACCCTGGGAGGTTGACGCTGCAGTGAGCCGTGATCACACCACTGCACTCCAGCCTGGGAGACAGAGTGAGGCCCTATCTCGAACAAAAAAAGAGAAATGTCCCCTTCTCAGAGAGGCTTCCCCAACCAGCCTAATTACAACTCTACCCCTCTCCTCCCCCGACCGAGGCATTCACAATCTCCTAACCCTATTTTCCCCTGTAACTCACTAGGCTACAATAGGTTTTCCTTCGTCACCACAAGAAATTCTCCCATCTCCAGACCCCTGCTGGGATCAGCCCTTTTGGCTCCTTCTCACCCTTTTTCAAGGCCAGGCCCATTCTTTTCCTAGAACACTTTCAGAACCCCCTTCCAGGCACCAAACCCTCGGTCATTTCAAAAATGACTGAACCTGGCGTGTCCAGTGTCCAGCACCGCGTCAGGAACCTGGAAGGAGCTCCATCAGCATGCCCTGGATAACAACAGGGCCAGCATGGACCTGGAAAGAAGATGGGGAGGGAGGAACGGTGGGGGAAGGACAGATGCATGGCCACGGCCAACCCCAATCCCAGGTGTTTCTTCCAGATTCCAATTTGGGGTAGACAGCAGCCGTACAACTGACGCCAAATGCCAATGCTAGAAAGTAGGTACGAGGAGACCGAGCAGCTCTGGGAAAGTCCCAACAGAAACAGAAATTTAGGATCCGCGCTGAGCCCAAGGCAGTGACTATCGTCCCTGCTTGCCGTCCAGCCTTTTCCTGCTGCAGAAAATGGTTTCTCACTTCCTAAAAGTGTGACTAAGAATTGGGGACAGGACATGGGGAGAAGGGGTGGTGGGGAGACCTCACAGGCGCAGCATTACAGCAGGCGATCCATGACAGAAGGACCCTCATTCTTCACCACCAGCCCCCACACGCCCCCCTAAAATTCCTGACATGCCAATGTCTAATTCTGGGTGGTCCCCTTGGTAGGCACCCCATCTCTCTCCCAAACTTGTCTGAGCTGTCACCTTCTCCAGAGCAGCGAATCTAGAGGGACAGGAAGGCTACCCAAAAGTGAGGACCATGAAAACACACCCAGGCTCCCCGTGGCTCCCAAAGGAAAGAATCCACGTCATGAGGATGCCTGCGCCACTCCCATCAGGCAGCCCACGGCTCCCTCGGCTTGACCCGCCTCCTCGTTGTTCCTCAGCAGCAGAAACAGGGGTGTTCCCTCCTGGGGATCTTGGCCACATAGCACTCCCTCAACCTCTAAGATCCTGACGAAATGTCAGCTCTCAGAGAAGCTTCCCTGACTCACCCACTTATAACCACATCATCTGGAGCTCACAACCCCTGTGCCCCGAGGCTATTTGTTCCATAGCACTTATCACCTCTGAAGTCCCACAGAACTGAGTGAGCATGGAATCTGCCTGACGCTTAGAAGCCCCAGAAGGGAAGAGATGGTCCCTCACTGACATGCTTACCACATCCAGAACAGCCCCCGCACACAGGCGGCGCTCAATGAGTATTTCTTGAATGAATGAATCCACGTGCAGTTGGAAGAAGAAGAATCTATTAACTATTTCAGAATCTGTTATGGGCTAAGTCGTGTCCTCCCCCAAAATTCCAGCCCCAATGTGATTGTACAGTTGACCTTCCATGGGTTCCAACCTCAGATCAGAAATGTTGGGGAAAATAATTCACAAAGTTCCAATAGGCAAAACTTGAATTTGCCGCATGCCAAGTGCTAAGTTGAATCCACGTGAATGAAGTGATGTGTAGGCATTGCATTAGGTATTCTAAGTAAGGTGGGGATGATTTAAAATATACAGGAGGATATGTATAGGATATATGCAAATATGACACTATTTGTTATCAAGAACTTGAGCATCCTTGGACTCTGGTATCAGAAGGAGATCCTGCCCAGCACTTTGGGAGGCAGAGGCAGGCAGATCACCTGAGGTTGGGAGTTCGAGACCAGCCTGGCTAACATGGCAAAACCCCGTTTCTATTAAAAATACAAAAATTAGTCAGGCGTGGTGGCGCATGCCTGTAATCCCAGCTACTTGGGAGGCTGAGGCACAACAATCACTTGAACCTGGGAGGCAGAGGTTGCGGTGAGCCGAGATCGCGCCATTGTACTCCAGCCTGAGTGATGGAGTGAGACTCAGTCTCAAAAAAAAAAAAAAAAGGATATCCTGAAACCAATCCCTGCAGATACAGAAAGATGGCTGTATTTGGAAACAGGGCCTTTAAACAGGGAAATAAGGTTAAATGAGGACATGAGGGTGATGCCCTAATCCAACAGGACTGGTGTCTTGATACGAAGAGAGAGACACCAGGGATGAGAATACAGAGGATGTCTGTGCGAAGACACAGTGGGAGGGCAGCCTTCAGTCAGCCAAGGAGAGGAGGCCTCAGGAGAAACCAAACCTACTGACCCCTTGATCTCAGGTTTCCAGCCTGCAGAACTCAGACAACATCAATGTCTGTTGTTGAAGGCCCCCCAGGTCTGTGTTATTTACTGTACTAGCCCCAGCAAACCAAAGCAGAACCTTTATGAAACCTTTATGATGGTTATTAGTAATAACAGAATGGCTTGCTTTGTAAATCTCATCATAAAAATTCAAACCTGGTTGACAGCACTGGAGGAAATGATTTGGGCAGGGTGGGCAAAGGGAAAGCCCCCAGAGCAATGAAGGAAATGACAAGGGCCTGAGGGCTCCCGGCTCCCGGCTCCAGCCCAAGCCTGAATTCCGCATAAAAGGGCTGAAAACTGTGGTGATTAGCATGACCCAGTGGGGAGTTTTGAAAATAAATTGGTTTCACGCCATCTTCCAAAGAAACGATGTGGGTAAATGCATCCGAGTGGAACGTGCTCCTGTGTGGACAATACTTATTTAACAGAAAGCAGAAAATAGCCTTTGCTGGCTTTATAATTAATTTCAGTGTTGCTCCGATTTGCAGAGAAACGATGCTAGACAGCAAACACACACATCCCTGTCTTTTACAGGGGCCCATTAATTGCTGCTATTTATGTAGCAGGGCTCAACTGCCTCTGACCCCTGGCTCCCCACTGGCCACCCTCCTGCTGCTGAGCTAAAATTCGCCTTTTTGTTGAGGGAAAAAGTTTCCTTCCCCAGTTTAAACAACAAAGCTCATTAGGACTGATCTTGGCGATGCTAACAGAACCAGGTGCTGGGCAAAGGCAAAAAGCAAGACTAAGGAAAAAACAATGGCAGCTCCCAACGCAGGGCTGGGAAACCCTCCCACGCCCACCCAGGGGAGTTCTCAAGCCACTTTCCCGGGGATCCTCTGCGCCTGGGCTCCAGCCCCAATTCAGTAAGCAGATCACCCTGGAAACGTATCCTGCTGGTGAGAGACTAGAAACTGGTTCCTGCAAGAGAGGAATGCAAAACGGAGAATATTGAGATAGCAAGGTAGAATTGCTGGGCTGTACAGACAACGGTGGGGCTTGTGCAATTGCTGGAATTCTTATCAGAAGGCTGCTACTTAGTTAAAATATGTGTTCTTCCTTTGTCCAAGATGCATTTATTATCCACAAGGATAAAATTAACCCTCAGTCCCTCCGGAGTGCTGCCCACTTACAGTGCACAAAACTCGGGAATCTTAAGGGGAGATGAGTATTGTTAAAACAGGTAATGCTAGCATCCTGTCTCTTTGGTTTGGAAAAGTGTCAAAAGGGCCCAGTTTACAAGTTTTTTGAGACCGTGTGTGATTCATCTTGGTATGCCCCAAAATATTTAACTCCTGAAACACAACTGATAAATATATTGGCAAAAAAAACCCTGAACACCCAATGGTCTTAAATCCTCAGACACTCCCATTCCCCAGTAGCCCTGTCTGTTCCCAGTCTCTTCCAACTCTGCCCCATCTTTAATCATCCAGAGTGTAACTCCGCAACAACAGAGAGGAAGCCTCAAATGACATAATCTAAAAGCAAACAGATCCACGGGATCCAAAAAACAATGGGCTGGTTATGCACAACCACCCCTCGCCAGCCATGACGGGGAACTTGCTGAGAATCCCAGCTGGACACCCCGACGTGGTGGGCAGCCTGCACCCCACTCTCCCTCCCTGCCTTTCAAAAGTCACACATTCACAACCGTTCCTCCTCGCTGAGGCCTGCCTTCTCCCCACCTGTTGCCCGACCGGTTCATCCCCTTTCCCCTTGCCCCTCCCCTACGATGGATTGCCAAGTCTCCTCCGAAAGGTTCCTTCCTGGCCACCACCCTGCCCTGGCCAGCCTCCTTACAGGCCCCTAGCACTCCCCCACCCTCCCGGCTTTCAGCACTTTCACGCGCTGAGGCCCCACAGTCTTCTTTCTAAAGACAGTTACGGTCATCGTCTAAATAAAGTCCAGATTCCTCGATGAGAAGTTGAAAGTCCTTCATGATCTGCTGCCAGCACGCCCCCACTCCCACCCACACCTCCCTCTCCACTTTTTTTTTCTTGGAACAAAGTTTATTTTGACTAGCTTACATTCTATCAATTTTTGTTTAGCCCAATTGCCTATGGTCAAATAAAATTTTCATTCTTTAAATGCTTTTATACAATAGTCATAGTGAGACACATACTCCTTAAGTTTTTGTTCATTTAAAAAAAATTTTTTTATTGCGGTAAAAACACCTAAATAAAAGTTACTGTCCTCACCATTTTTTTTTTCTTTTGAGATGGAGACTCGCTCTGTCACCCAGGCTGGAGTTGCAGTGGCGCGATCTCAGCTCACTGCAACCTCCGTCTCCCGGGTTCAAGTGATCCTCCCACCTCAGCCTCCCTAGTAGCTGGGACTACAGGTGCCCACCACCACGCCTGGCTAATTTTTGTATTTTTAGTAGAGACAAGGTTTCTCCATGTTGGCCAGGCTGGTCTCAAACTCCTGACCTCAAGTGATCCGCCTGCCTCGGCCTCCCAGAGTGCTGGGATTACAGGTGTGAGCCAGCACGCCCGGCCCATCCTCACCACTTTTAAGTGCACAGATCAGAGGTGTGAAATATGTTCACGTGGTTGTGACTCCTCTCTACTTTTTATATCTTCCAGGTATGCCCCGTGCTGGCTCCCTGCTTCTCACATGTCCAACTCATCAATGGTCCCCACCTGGGCACTATCACTCTTGGTTCAGAGGGAACAACCGGTACCTCTGAGCAATCTCAGAATGGCACAAGAGAATCCACAGGAGACATCCTCGCCTCAGCCACATGTCCAGTGCCATCCAACCAAGATCTGTAAGCCACATAAGTCATGTTACATTTCCTAGTAGCCACAGTACGTAAAAGGACACAGGTGAAATTAACTAACACTCTATTTCCTATAACCCCATTTATCTAAAATATTATCATCTCAGCATGTGACCAATATTTTGAAATTCTTAAGGAGATATTTTGCATTTTTTTTTCATACTATGACGTCTTGAGATCTGGTGTGTGTTTTACAATTGGAGCACATCTCAGTTCGGACAAAGCACATTTTTTCTGTTTGTTTGTTTTTGAGATGGAGTTTCACTCTTGTTGCCCAGGCTGGAGTGCAATGACGAGATCTCAGCTCACTTCAACCTCTGCCTCCCAAGAAAGAAATTCTCCTGCCTCAGCCTCCCAAGTAGCTGGGATTACAGGTGCCTGCCACCACACCAGGCTAATTTTTCTATTTTTAGTAGAGCCGGAGCTTCACCATGTTGGCCAGGCTGGTCTCGAACTCCTGACCTCAGGTGATCCACCCACCTTGGCCTCCCAAAGTGCTGGGATTACAGGTGTGAGCCACCACACCGGGCCAGACCAGGCACATTTCAAGTGTTCAACAGCTACATGTGGTGAGAGGCAACTGTAAGGGACAGGGAAGTTCTGGCTGTCTGGCTTTGGGCAAACCACACACCCTCTGAGCCCACGGACCAGCTGACTGCCTGCCTGAGACCTAGCACTCAAAACACAAAGTCTGGGCCAGGTGCAGTGGCTTACACCTGTAATCCCAGCACTTTAGGAGGCTGAGGTAGGCGGATCGCTTGAGCCCAGGAGTTCAAGACCAGCCTGGGCAACATGGTGAAGCTCCATCTCTACAAAAAATACAAACATTAGCCATTTATGATGGCACACATCTGTGGTCCCAGCTACTTGGGAGGCTGAGGCAGGAGCCTGAGCCCGGGAGGCAGAGGTTGCAGTGAGCTGAGATCGTGCCACTGCATTCCAGCCTGGGCGACAGAGCGAGATTCTCTCTCAAAAACAATTAAACAAACAACAACGGCAACCACAAAATCTGGAGAATGAAGGAAGGAAGAAATGCTCTGTTTTCTCATCTGCAAAGTGCATATGAGATTACCAGTCACCCACATTTGTAATGAGAATTAAATCATGCCTTTTGGAACCCAGCTGAGGTCAGAGTCCCAGCACTGAGAAATCCTAGGCAAAAAACTTAACCTCGGTATGCCTCCGACTATTCATCAGTAAGCCGGGGATAATAATGGTGGCCAAGGTAAATAATGGAAAGTGCTTGCACATAGTGACCATCCATTAATTGTAGCTAAAACTGAGCCAACAATAATAACAACACAGTGGAATTAAGATATAGCTAATAGATGCAGATGATGCTAAGGGGAAATATCAAAGCAAGCCAGTGCATGGCAGGGGCAGCAGTGCAAAAACCCAGGGGAGGGAGAGACACAGCAGCTCCAGGAAAAAAAAAAATTAAAATAACAGTCGTACACTAAACTGAACACAGGAATCCTTATCACAGCTCCTCCCAGCCCCAGGCCCGCTAGTGACCCATTCACAGGAGGTCCTCAATAAACCTCTGCAGATGGCTTCTCTATGCTATGAGAACACGAGGCTTCCTTCCTCCCCCACTAAATCACACACTAAACATCGGGGCTAGCCCCCATGCCTGTGTTCATGAGAAAGGGAAAAGTAGGTCTTTTTTCCACTCTGCCCTGATTTATTCATGTGCGTTTATGGTGTCCGTCTGTACAAAGCAGAATTTGTGTTCCTGCAATGACTCCATAAATCCTCCTGGCCTCCCTGCACTGGCTGGGAATAATGAATGCTCTGCTTCCACTGACAGCAGATAATGGCTCTCAGGAAGGGCCAGGAATCCATAAGCAGATAACAGGGAGCTCAGTGGGAGGTGGGCGCAGGTTTGCACACACGTGTGCACATGGTGGGAAGAACGACATGGAGATCATAAGATGCCGGCCTTGACTCCTTTTTCTTTTTCAATACATTTTGCTCTTTCAACCATTTTAATTACTATCTCCCAGTGTGTTTGTTTGCTAGGGCTGTCACAACAAAGTATCACCGACTGTGTGGCTTACTGTCTTACAATTTTGAAAGGATACAAGTCTGAGATCAAGGTGTGAGCAGGACTGGTTACGTCTGGAGCCTCTCTCCTAGGCTTGTAGGTGGCTTTAAAAAGTAACAGGTGAAATTAACTAATAATCTATTTCCTATTACCCCATTTATCATCTCCTTGTGTCTTCATGCGGTCTTCCCTATGTGTCCGTGTCCAAATTTCCTCTTCTTATAAAGACACCAATTAGATTGGATCGAGGCCCACCCACAGGACCTCACTTTAACTCAACTACCTCTTTTTTTTTTTTTTAGACACAGTCTCACTCTGTTGCCCAGGCTGGAGTGCAGTGGTGCAATCTTGGCTCACTGCAACCTCTGCCTCCCGGGTTCAAGCAATTCTCCCATCTCAGCCTCCCGAGTAGCTGGGATTACAGGTGTGCACCACCGTGCTGGCTACTATTTTTAGTACAGACAGGGTTTGAGGCCAGGCTGGTCTCAAACTCCTGACCTCAGGTGATCCGTTCACCTTGGCCTCCCAAAGTGCTAGGATTACAGGCATGAGCCACCACATCCCGCTCAACTATCTGTTTAAAGACTATCTCCAAATCGAATCACATTCTATGGTACTAGGAGTTAAGGCTTCAACATGTGAATTTGGGGGTGGGACACAATTCAGCCCATAACACCAGTAAAATTTATCACGAATTCTAGAACTAAGGAAAAAAGAAATAGATCTAAAACACGGAAGACCCACGGAAACTCCGGAGAGGAAGCAACATGACTCAAGGAAACGCCAACAATCCCAAGACATCTCCAAGCAAACCTGATACTTTGAGTTCCTTTTCTCTCTGTCACATGTTTTCCCAGCTTATGACTTTCTAAATACGATTTTAAGCTATTAACTTTTCTGCAAATAAGCCTATCGCTGGCATCTTTGGAGACATCTCTACTTCTTGCTTATCTTTGCAAAAAGAGGTCACCATCTTTTTATTTGCATTAGTCACCTTGGATTTTCATTTTCTCAGCTGCTTTCAGTGAGGCATAAAGTTTAGGAAACATCAGATAAATGTAGTTTCTACTCTTTACCATTTGTTCAACCATTTAAAGTTTAGCAACATGTAAACAGAGACAGAAGGGGCCCGAAGAGTAGACCCAAAAAGATTTCCTGAAGCAAAATACATGTCAAAATCTCCTGGGATTTCAATATTTGAACATAAAAGGCCAATCTTTTGTGGTGAATAGCCATGATTTGTATACTAGATGGAGAACCGAGACTAATTGCTTAGCTTACAGGAAAAGGGGAACTCAAAATACCTCCATGAAGAGGTACTTAAACTCTTGCAGTAACTGTAACTACTGGATGAGAAATTCACAGCTACCAGCAAGTGGGCTATTTCTTTAGTTGATTTTGTTTAGTTTTCTTAAACAGCATCACGACTGAAGAGTAACATCATCTAAATCAGCTATCAGAAAACAAAAAGAAGAAACTAATGACTTTCAACCAATACTGTTGATCCCATTAGATACAACCTGAGGACGTTTTAGAAAAACTAACTTAAAACATTCCTCTTACTTTCTCCAAAATCTTCTGGGTCTCATCTTGTGAACATGCAGAAATAGCACAGTCCTTTTGAAACTGTGATCACTGAAGGAACAATTGGGGGTTTTACTTTTGTTTCCGTTAACGGAGGGGTAAATTTTATTTAATAGAGGTTTGGGGACTTGCCTAGAGTCACACAGACAATTCCAAGACTGAAACACAAACATTTCTGTTCTATCCAGGACACTAACTTTCAAAATTCTTTTAAAATATAGACTTCTTATTCATCATTTAGTCAACCGCCTAGCTGTAAAGGTAATTTTTTTTTTGGCAAGAGTAAATTAATCTGTGTGGCCAAGAATGAAAATTATTTTCAACTCCACAGTATTTTTAGTACCTAGCGAACATTTTTTACTATTCCAATGACTAAAAAGTAACTAATGAAACAATATGAAATATACACACGCAGCACCATGAATATTTATATAGTCAAGTTCAATAAAAGAATTATTTCTAGAGAGCAGAATATCATCGACTTCAAAGGGATGTTTTCCACTTACAAGAACTAATCATTATGAAAATACATTTTAAATTCTGAGATATCTTTTTTGATTTGTGGTGGAGGGGTAGCTGTGATTGGAGTTATTATTCTCAGTTTATGATTTTCTATCCCACTGGGCCCCATGCTCTGAATTTGGGTCAAGCATAAGTTATCCATTGCTTTCATCAACATTAATGGAGCTTTGTTATGTTAAAATCATGTTAGAAAGAGTTTAATGTGGCTTTCATCGAATCAAGATTTATTGGTTGCAAATTCCACCTCTCTCCCGCACCGAGAAAAAAAAAGTAAAATTAGACACTTTGATCATGATCACATTTTCAAAAGTGGATCAGTAGTGTTAATCTCATTATATTAAACACATTTTATCATTACATAAAGAAAAGATTAATAGTGTGAGAGCTTATAATTAAGCAGCACACAGGGCGGATCTCCATGGTCTAGAAAATCAATAAATAAATGTAGGCAACTGTCTGATTAACTTAAGCTTAGTAAATATTCCAATGGCTGGGAGATCCATTTAGTGGCCTAAATTAACTAGTTTAGCTGTCAATAAGCATGCAATTGATGAGCTCTTTGGACAATCGCCATTTCTCTGTAAATTTCATGGTGTGAAAACAAAAAGGCCTATGTGTGGACCACAGCATGAAGCCATATAAACCTCCAACTGGGACTAGTTTCATTGAATAAGCACTTGACCAGCAAGACCCTACGAAACACTATACATGCTTCATGTAACTCCCACAAGCCCTACGAGGAAGAAGATTTTTTTTTTTGGAGATAGAGTTTTGCTTTTGTTGCCCAGGCTGGAGTGCAATGGCACGATCTTGGCTCACCGCAACCTCCGTCTCCCAGGTTCAAGTGATTCTCCTGCCTCAGCCTCCTGAGTAGCTGGGATTCCAGGCATGCGCCACCACGCCTGGCTAATTTTGTATGTTTAGTAGAGATGGGGTTTCTCCATGTTGGTCAGGCTGCTCTCGAACTCCCAACCTCAGGTGATCCACCTGCCTTGGCCTCCCAAAGTGCTGGGATTACAGGTGTGAGCCACCGCGCCCGGCCGTGGCCAACTTTCTTAATCTGTGTGAACCAAAAGTTTCCCCTCTGTAAAAAGGGGAAATAATGGCATATTCTTCCTCGTAGGGCTTGTGGGAGTTACATGAAGCATGTACAGTGTTTTGCAGGGTCTTGCTTATCAAGTGCTTATTCAATGAAACTAGTCCCAGTTGGAGGTTTATATGGCTTCATGACTGTGGTCTACACCTATGCCTTTTTACAGAGGGGAAACTTGCCCACAGTCTGTCCAGCTGGGACATGGTCAGGCATGGATGTGACTCTCAACCGACAGCTAAGTAGCCCCTTGCCATCTAGAGGGGTGGTATGACCTGGTTGAGGCCTGAGCTGGGCCTCAAATAACCCAGTGGGTTATTTGATCATTGTGAACACCTAAATCAGGTAGTAGTTCAATGTGACCAAAGAAAAACAAAAACATCTTACTCTCCAAATTTGTCACTTTAAAAGCATAATTCCCATATCTCTACACCATGGACATCCTCGCAAGACAACCTATGCTCTCCTGGCATACAGAAGTAGCCTTACTACACCTGAGCATCATAGTTTAGTTTGCAGAGGGAGAAACAGTATAGGTGAGAAACAGAACAGGTGAGCTACAAGTTTAAACATTAGCTAAATACAGATGTGACTGGCCCTGGGTCCTTAACTTTGAGACTTCAAAGCTCCCTCTGAGGCGGCCTGCCAATCTCTGTGGCCTGTCAAGCAGAGGTGACACAGGCTGCCTGCTCAGCCCAAGCTCATCATTCCTGCCACCAAGCCAAGGCCTCCACATCAGAGAACTCCTGGCAATGCATTAAAAGCCAGGTGTACAAACCGGGAGTTGCTTTCCCAGGGCCTAGAGGGGGACAGTACAGGTGAAGATGGTCACACCCTTCTACTCACCACTGAGGGTGTATCTCTACCCTCTGCAAACCTCAGTGACCAACCAAGTCACCCAGCAGACACACCCCAGACTCTACAGAAGAACTCAAGCTGAGAACCTGTTATGTGTTTGTTATGTGTCCCCCAACAAATTTCATGCTGAAGTCCTAACCCCCAGCAGCTCAGAAGGTGACCTTGTTTGGAAATCAGGTCATTGCAGATGTAATTAATTAAGACGACATTATTTGTGTGTACCCTAATCCAATATGACTGGCGTCCTTATAAAAAGGAGAAATTTGGACACAGAGACACACAGAGAATGCCATGGGAAGGCTGGAGTCGTGCTGCCAGTAGCCACGGAAGTGCCAGAAGCTGGGAGAGGGGCCTGGAAGAGACCCTTCCCCAAAGCCCTCAGAGGGTGCAACTTGATTTTGAACTTCCAGCTCCTTCTGGGTTACCGTGAGACAGTTTCCGTTGTTCTAAGGTCTGTGGACACTTTGTCATGGCAGCCCCAGGAAACGAATGCAGTACTCAAGGGCTACAGGCATCTGATCCATACTGAAACTACCCTGGGAAATTCTTCCCAACCACTCCGTGTCCAGTCCATCAGAAAGTTAAACAATAAACACGATAAACCCAAGGCTGACTCTGGATAAAGGCTTACTTCCAGAGTACTGATTAACTCAGGTATCACTGCACGCGCAGGGCTCTGTAGTAGAGTGCTGTTGTTAAGAGAGCCAGACTCGAAGAGGAGACCTTTGGACCATGACAAAACCTCAGAATTGTAGCCAGAGCTTCCACATGGAGACCTGCATTCTACCGAGTCTGTCAAAGTACCCACTATTCGTGAAAAATCATGACGAGCACAGTAGAGTTTGTGTGTGTGTGTGTGTGTGTGTGTGTGTGTGTTTCAGTAACTAAGACCTGGTTCTAGCCTAAATAATCCTGCAACCTGGGAGGCAGCTACCACACGCTTGCTTGTGCTCAAGATGTTGCATGGAGTAAGAGAGGTGACATGGAGACAGAACAAAGAGCGGGGAGAAACTACCTCCAGCTGGGCAGAGGAGGGCAGGCTCCAGGAAGAACTAACGTGGCATTTCAGTGGGGCTGGAAGGAGCTAGGAGGGTGGGCCTGGAGAGTTTGTGGACTCATTAGAGTTCATTTCTAGGCAATTAGGATGGATTATGCTGCGAGGAACAGGGGATGGGGAGAATGAACGAGGATTAAACTAGACTGTGTCAAAGGGACTCAGTAGGAGATAAAAATCAAAAAGCAGCCAGAGGCTGGGAGCAGTGGCTCATGCCTGTAATCCCAGCACTTTGGGAGCCCAAGGAGGGTGGATCACTTGAGGTCAGGAGTTCAAGACCAACCTGGCCAACATGGTGAAACTCCGTCTCCATTTAAAAAGAAATTAGCTAGGCATGGTGATAGGCACCTGTAATCCCAGCTACGTGGGAGGCTGAGGCAGGAGAATTGCTTGAACCTGGGAGGCAGAGGTTGTAGTGAGCCAAGAACGCACCACTGAACTCCAGCCTGGGTGACAAGAGTGAAACTCTGTCTAAAAAAAAAAAACACACAGCAGCCAGAGGTGTAACTTACAGGAGCTGAATAACCCAAAAGGGACTGAGAAGATGGAGGAACCAAGATGGTGCTGAGCAGGAGTAGCAGGGAATGAAGAAGAGGCAGATTGGTCAGTGGCAAAGGCAACGAGTTTGGTTTAGAACACATTATAGGTTAAATTGGGTTTCCCATAAAGATACATTGAAGTCCTAACCACCAGTACCTCAGAATGTGACCTTATTTGAAGATGGGGTCATTGCAGATGTAATTAGTCAAGATAAGATCATAGTGGAGTAGGATGGGTCCCTAATCCCATAGAGCTGATGTCTTTACAACAAGAGGAAACACAGACACACACACACAGCAAAGGTCACGCGAATTTGCAGGCAGAGACTGGAGTGAGGCATCTACAAGCCAAAGCAGGCCAAAGACTGCAGGCAACCACCAGAGCTAGGAAGAAAAGAAGATTCTCCTCCCCTACAGCATTCAGGGAGAGCATGGCTCTGCCAACGCCTTGATTTCATACTTCTGGCCTCCAGAACTGTGAGATAATAAATTTCTGTTGTTTGACACTACCCAGTTTATGGTACTTTGTTATGGCAGCCCAGGAAACTAATAGAGAACGTTAAAAGGGAAGATCTAAGTAAAATCAGTGCAGCAGGAAGTCGTTGCCAGCCTCGACTTGTTAAATCATTTCCTCCATGGCACCAAGTGCAGAATGAGTTTTTCCCCTTTTATACTCATAAACCTACCGAGAACAAGGGAAGAGGGTGGGAACTTAAGAGCAGCTTATCATCATTCAGTTTCCACGATAACATACATTACAAGTGTTTGTAACGTTAAACCATAAAAGAGAATAAGCTCACAGATGGTATTTCTTAAGAGGAGCCTAACAAACTATTTAGGCATATTGATCGGATGCTTTGTGGATATTAAAAGCTTTGCTTTCATATCAGTCTTCTAGCATCAGTAGACACTGCCCTTTCTCTCAAACTTCTCAAACTCATTCCAAGCAGAGCTGGCCTGACATTAATCATCCTCTCTCCTTACACTTCCAGAAGCTTGGACCCCACTCCTGCCCTGTTCCACCCCACTCCACAACAAAGCTCAATGCAGGGCCTCTCCATAGGGGTGACCAAAAGACGGGAGAGTCCTCCAGGGTCGAGAAGAAAAGTGAGCTGAAAAAGGCACATTCAGTCCACCTATTTTTGCCCTAATAAAAAATCCACGGCCGGGCGTGGTGGCTCATGCTTGTAATCCCAGCACTTTGGGAAGCCGAGGTGGGCAGATCACTTGACGCCAGGAGTTTGAGACCAGCCTGGCCAACATGGTGAAACCCTGTCTCTACTAAAAATACAAAAAATTAGCCAGGCATGGTGGCGGATGCCTATAGTCCCAGCTACTCGGGAGGCTGAGGCAAGAGAATCACTTGAAACTGGGAGGCGGAGGTTGCAGTGAGCCGAGATCGCGCCATTGCACTTCAGCCTGGGCAACAAGAGCGAAACTACGTCTCAAAAATAAATTAAATAAATACCCACAAAGTATAAAGCTTGTCCTAATGGTAATCACAAAACATAAAATGGTTTTGCCCAGGTGGGGTTTCACTACAGAGTATATGGATTAAAAAATAAGACTGAGAAATACTGCCCTGTGTGACTCACCTCTCGGCCTTCTCCTGGAAGCCAGACCAGCGGGGGGTCTTGCACCTCAAGTCTGTTTCCAGAGTCTAAGGTCTTCCTTAACAGAATGTCAGCATAACTGTCGTATCTCTGCAATGCATCCCTACTCCACGTAGCCTCCCTCTTTCTCTCTCCAAGAGAACTGCCAATGAACCATAAGCCCAAGTGCACTTAACAATGATGAGCATCCCAGGGCAGGGGAGGAGGTGAGCATCTCGGAAAGATAGAACATGGTGGAACAGAGGCAATGAAGCTACCTAGAAGGTCCAGGCAGCACCCTCCACCCAAAGCCCAAGAAACATCAATGCCCAGGGCAGTCTACCTTTTAGCCCTGACCACCCCACCTCCTTCACTGTCCTCTTGGCCTTTGCCTGTCTCTTGCTCTTTGCTTCCAGGGTCCAAAGACCTTTTTGCGGCTAATGAGATGGGATAAGAAAAACAATAACATGGTGTCATGAGTCAATTCTGTCCCCGCAAAAGATGCTGGAGTCCTAACTCCCAGCATCTGTGAATGTGGCCTTATTTGGAAATAGAGTCTTTGCAGATGATCCAGTTAAGATGAGGTCATTATGGTGGGCCCTAATCCAACATGATTGTGTCTTTATTAAATGGAAAATTTGAACAAGAGGCAGACATGCACAGAGGGAAGATGATGTGAAGACAGAGGGAGGATGCCCTTCAAGCCAGGAATGCCTGGGGCTATCAGAGGCTGGAAGACAGGCCTGGAAAGAGCCTTTCCTTGCAGCCCTCGGAGGGAACCAACTCACCTTGATCTTAGACTTCTGGCCTCCAGAATGAGACAATAAATTTCCATTGTTGAAGCCACACAGTTTTTTGTTGTTGTTGCTAATTTTTTTTGTTTTGGTTTCTTTGAGACAGGGTCTTGCTCTGTCAACCCAGCTGGAGTGAGTGGTGTGATCTCGGCTCACCGCAGCCTCCACCTCCTAGGCTCAAGCGATCCTCCCACTTCAGCCTCCCAAAAGTAGCTGGGACTACAGGCCTTCGCCACCACTTCTGGGTAATTTTTGTATTTTTGTAGACACAGGGTCTCCCCATGTTGCCCAGGCTTGTCTCAAACCCCTGAGCTCAAGCAATCCACCTGCCTTGGCCTCCCAAAGTGCTGGGATTACAGGTGTGAGCCACCGCGCCTGGCCCTAAGCCACACAGTTTATAGTACTTTGTTATGGTAGCCATAGGCAACTAATCCACATGACATCATGCTACTAGCAACAACATTTTTTAGTTGATCACTTTAAGAGTGTTCCTAAAGAGTGAACATTTTAAGAGCTACAGAGAATAATCTTTTGGGTTCACACAAATCATACGCAAAGTAATCACAAGTCATGTGTCAATATCCTACAAACAATATAAAGAGCTTTATGGACCATCCTAATAATTTCATACATTTATATGTGTCCATGAAGAAATTCTAATAGCAACCTCAAACACCTTCTTCTTTTGACGGTGTTTTGTAGAAATATGCCAGGGAAACCAAGAAACCACTAGAGGGACAACATTTTCTTGTTTTTGTTTGTTTGTTTGTTTTTTTCTTGACCCAACATGGAATGAGACAGCACACAACACCATACAAGTCAGGAATCCAGTGAATATTATTGATTTCCTTACTCAAGGAGGAGATTGTTTCCAGGTATCGTGGTATCTGCACAGAATGTGATTTGTTACAGAACAGAGTTTAGTGAGGCAAGAAGTAAGAGAGAGAAACCCCAGGTTCCTTCCCAGAGGAAAAAGTTACTGAAGAGGAGGATCCCATTAGAAAGTGGTCTCGTGAATCAGGTGAAGTTTCCCGGCATGATTCCTGAAGCCGACCTTAGCTTCTGGGACACTCAGCAAATGGAGGTGTATGAAGAGTGTATTAGTTGGCCCGGGCTGCCAAAACAAAGGATTATAGACTGGGCAGCTCCAACAACAGAACTGTATTTTCTCACAGTTCTGGAGGCCCAAAGTCTGAGATCAAAGTGTCAGCAGGGTTGCTTCCTCCTGAGGCCCTTCTCCTTGGCGTGTGAATGGCCACCTTCTCACTGTGGCCTTCGTGCAGTCTCTCTCTGTGTGTGCGCACATCTGTGTCCAAATTTCCTCTTCTTCTAGGCATACCAGCTACATTGGATTAAGGCCTATCCAGATAACCTCATTTCGCCTTAGTTACCTCTTTATGATCCTATCTCCAAATGCAGTCACCTTCTGAGATACTGGGGGTTAGGACTTCAACATATGAATTTGTGGTTGGGGGTCATAATTCAGCCCATAGCAAACACCTTGACAGATACAAGACTTGTCAGGTTCAAGGTAATGCCCTCCTTCACACTGACCCTCTACCAGGGGTGATCAGGATGACAAGAGCTCAGCAACCACTGTGAAACACACAGCAGCTCACTGGCCCTTTCAGATGCAGAAGCCACACTGAGCAACTCTATTTCAAAGGCTGCTTAAGCCTGGGCACCAGTGAGGCATGGCCCACCCAGCTGTTTGTGATAAATCAGAAGTTACTCTCCTAATGCTGAAATTTTCCTCTGTCACACAGAGATGGATGGGCCTCTCCCATTACACATAGAGAAAGCCAAAACCACCACGTACCATTCCCAGAAAAGAAAAATCTCTGTTCCAAGGCTGGTTTTTCATTCTCTCCACTTGCATGTAATTGTCACAGGCCCGTTATTAAATTGTCACACCATTTCCCCATCCAAGAAAGGAACCGGGCTGATAAGTAATCAACACTGGGGAGAATTTTTCTCTTCGAATTTGCAGACTGGAGTCTCTGAGACCCTAGTTCAACAGCTGCTTCAGCTCTTAACACACAGGAAGTCTGAGAGCCCTGGGCCCCTGAAGCAGGTTGAATGATGACTCAGGAGACACAAAGTTCACAGGTCTCGTGAAGGGCATTCCCCCAAGACCCTAATTGTTACATATGCCAGAGCATGTCTTGTGTCTCCTGGGCCTTGAGTGACATAAACACACTGAATTTATTTATCATCCAAATTCTTCACCTTGCTTCTCTTTCTCTTACAGAACAAGCAACGAAGCAGACTTTGCCAAAGAAAGAGACCAGGACTGATTCTGCAGATTTTTACCTGAGATTCGCTAAAATCCTGGGACACTTAATCAGTCACTGTTGGAAGAAACATGGCCTTTTCCACTGTAATAACATGAGTTCCGTGTTTGTGATTCACAGCTTAGCTCTAACTACTGGGTGCAGATCAGATTGTTGAGCCTGTTCGCGGTGCATTTGGTGCCTCAGACAAAAGCACCCAATGGAGGGGGCCATTTGGGGGAAGAAATCCAGACCCCACTTGGCTTGCCAACTCTGTGCCCTAGAGCAAAGGGTATATTTCCTCCCGCAATGCTGTCTGCTTGCTAAACCATGCACCTTGCAGCTGCATCCATTCAAACAGGAAGCCTTTGTCCAACTGGGCTGCCCAGAGGGGACACCTTTTCTAATTGGCCCACTTGAGGAAGTGCTTTTTTTTAATTGGTTCACCCAGAGGGGATGTCTTTTTCTAATTGGTCTGGCAAGGCACAGCTTTTCCAATGTGTACAAAAGCCCATACAGGTTACCAGCAGCTCTGCATAAAAAGGGCCACCATTAAGTGTTTGAATGACAAAACAAATGATCATCTCCAAGTAAAGGTAACGTTTGTTTTATTTTTTAAGCTAGTTACAACTGGGAAATTTCCCCAGCAGTGAGTATTCTGACATCACAGTACACCTGGCAAATGGCTTGAGATGCAGAATTCTGAGTCTAAAAATGGATTTTACGAAAATGGAAAGAGCATTCCATGAGTGTAGAGGGAATGATCTGGAAGAGGGAGAAGTCATCAGCTATTTTCTCCTTTCTCTTTTCTTTCTTCCTTTCCCTTCCCCTAGGCCCTGGGATGACCTTCGCTTCCACAACAAAGAGGTCTTAGATGTGCTTTCTTTCAAATTTGACATTTAATACTTTAAACTCCAAAATTAGCTCTAATTCAAGAAGCATTCCTGTCCCACAGGCAACAGGAAGCAATCAATACTCTATTCTCACACCAGAGGACAACTGGCAGCCAAAAGCAGTTGAAAAGGTACAAGAATAACGCAGCCTCGGGGAAGAAGGGAGAAACCACAGGAATTGGAAACCCAGAGATTTTGGCAATAAGAATCCAAGACAAAATTCTCAACCCAGTCCCGGAAGCTAAAGAGGCCTTCGATGCACATTGGAAATGACAGAACTTCTAGCAAAGGGTCAGTGAAAAAAATGCATTAAGCTATCCCTACAACTACAAACATGGGAGAAAGTATAACCCTTAAAGGCAGTAACATGTTTTCCTGAGTGTTGAGGCAGGTGTTGCCTACCTGATCAAAAACATGGAGAATTAATTGTCCCACAAACTTTCTCAAACCATACTAATCTGGTAACTCGTGTAGAATCATCTATAAATAGCATTCTTTATTCCACTGTGAAAAGGATTCTCTGCTGTTAAAGGACGCTCAGTGGCAAAAAGGTGACAAGGAGGTGAGGCCAGTAAGGATTCCAGTATCACACTTCTACCACGATGTCATCAATCCCAGAAATACAAGACAACCCAGTAATACCCATGTTGGGGCTCAAGACACACCAACCACCCCGAAACATGACTATAGGAGACCAGAACATGACACTCCAATTAGAGTTCTTTGGCATAGTTTGAGCTGCTTATCCTGAGAAACTGCAAACAAAGAAGCAGCTCCGAAAAGCTGTCCTTTTGCAAATAATATCTATAAAGAAAATTCATGTATCGGGAAAAGAGTTGCTCCAGGTAACTTTTTATTACCTGGAAGACTTTTATCTGCATAACAAGACAAGCTTTATTCACCACCGTACATTCCTTCCCCTCATCCTCCCAGAACGGATTGCCACCACCCCCAAAGCCCCAAGCCCCTATTCTTTTCTGTAGCTCGGGTTGCTGTAGAAGCTTCCATGACCTGGCCCTTCTTGGAGTCTCATATTCTGTGGGACTCCCATGCATACGATGTCCTTAAATGTGGTTTTCCTCCTGCTACTCTGTCTTATGTCGATTTAATTTGTAGCCCAACCAAATAAGTAGACGGGTGGAGGGAAGACATTTTTCCCTCCCCTACATCCAGAAAGAGCAAAAAGTGAAACACAGGAGGAGGCAGAGAAGCCAGGAATAGTGAGAAGCCTTGAGGCAGGGGGCAGGGTGAATGGCAGGATGCGCCCAAGGAACCACAGAAGCTGCCAAGAAAGGGAGGTCTGCGGCAGAGGTGGGCAAGAGGAAAGTGGAATCCCAGGAATGCAGACATCCAGAGAGGCATCGCGGTCCTCAGGGAGGTGTTGACGGAAGAGGCGTCCCCATCATCTTTTTCCTCACCTCCCTTTATCCTTAAAATAAAATGCCGTTATCTATGATAAACTGAGTGGGTATCTGTTTCTTACTATCTAAAAGACCATAAATAATACATACTTTTAAGGCGGAAATATAACTATGAAAGTCTAAATGAAGAGAACAACCAACTACCATTTCTTTTTTTTTCTTTCTTTCCTTTTTTTTTTTTTTTTTTCAGAGAGAGTCTGGCTCTTTTGCCCAGGTTAAAGAGCAGTGGCGCAATCTCGGCTCACTGCAACCTCCGCCTCCTGGGTTCAAGTGATTCTCCTGCCTCAGCCTCCCAAGTAGCTGGGACTACAGGCATGCGCCACCAGGCTTGGCTAATTTTTTGGTATTTTCTTATAGAGGCAGAGGTCTCACCATGTTGGCCAAGCTGGTCTTGAACTCCTGATCTCAGGTGATCTGCCCACCTCGGCCTCCCAAAGTGCTGGGATTACAGGTGTGAGCCACCACGTCTGGCCACTTTTTTCTTGACTAACACAATAATGACTGTATTTTCAGGCTACGTGCTGTACACACACACACACACACACACTCTCTCTCTCTCTCTCTCTCTCTCTCTCTATATATATATATATATATTTTTTTTTTTTTTTAACCAAATTCTCATTGAATACCATGAGGTATCTTTGTCACCATTTTGCAGATACAGAAGCTGAAGTTTAGAGTTTTTGAACACTGTGCCCAAGATCACACAGATACCAAGTAGCAGAAAGCAGATAGGAGTCCCAAGCTGTCAGCCCCCACAGCCTGTGCTTTAGTACATAACACCAACAGGTTAAATCATTATGTAACGGATTAGAATATATAGTCAAATATCCCTACCCAATGCAAAGATTTTTCTGCAGACAACTATGAAACACTGGACCCACTGATCATTTATAAGACAAAACCAACAACAAGCCCTCTAGTTTACTTATGCATAAAAGCAATAAGAGAAAACTAAAGATAAAAGACTACTGGATTGGTTAGACAAAACACAAAATTTCCATGTGCCTTTGCCCCCTTCCTAAAATAAAAGCACCATAAGATGAATCAAAAGGCAAATGATCACCTGGGAGACAATATTCGCAACATAACAAAGTGTTAAATAAAGTTTAGCTAAAGATGCTTTCTTACATATTTTAAGTTCAGCCTAATGGTTTCTCTGCACATAGTGAACTGTAACCTCACTTGTATGTGTAAACAGGATCCTAACAGGATGTGTAAACAGATGTGCAATAATACATTTAACAGTATTATTAAATGTAACCTGCTCTTGTACCAGTCAGAGTCTGGGCCAATCACGGGTGTGTTCGTATGTTCAAATAAGGCAAATGCCAAGCTATAAGCAATCCAGCTGTTTCTTTTCTTTTTGTTTGTTTGTTTGAGACACAGTCTCACTCTGTCGCCCAGGCTGGAGTGCAGTGGCGCAATCTCCACTCACTGCAACCTCCGCCTCCTGGGTTCAAGCTATTCTTGTGCCTCAGCCACCCAAGTAGCTGGGATTGCAGGGGTGGGCCACCACGCCCAGCTAATTTTTGTATTTTTAGTAGAGACAGGGTTTTGCCACATTGGCCAGGCTGGTCTCAAACTCCTGACCTCAAGTGATCCACCCACCTCGGCCTCCCAAAGTGCTGGGATTACAGGCATGAGCCACCACATCCAGCCTGTTTCTGTACCTCACTTCCATTTTGTCTGGTTGGGGGCCAGGGCTGGGGGGTGCTCGGTTCTCAAATCATTCTTTGCTAATTAAACCGTCAAATTTAATTTGTCTAAAGTTTTTTTTTTTTTAAACAAAAGATTAAAAAGCTAATATCTGTAATCTGAAAAGAGTTTCTATAAACCAATAAGATAAACAGGAGAAAGATAGGGGAAAATTACTAGTAACAGTTCATAAAAGAAGAAACACATTTTCAATCAAGTACACAAATTATGATTAGCCTAATTATCAAAATGCTCAGTTAAAAAGTCACTTTCATATCTGTTGTGTCACTTGGTACAACCTTTCTGAAGTGCAATGTGGCAATATGTCAAAAGCCTTCCAAGTATTTATGTTAAGGAATGACTCAGAGATGAACATACAAGGATAGCAACAGCAGTATCATGTATCCAGGGAAAATTTTGTAACAACCTCAATGTCCAACAATTGGGAACTGGATTTAAAAATTACAGCAACTCCAAATAATGGAATGCTATGCATCACCAAAAATCAAACTTTAAAAGAATATTTACCGGCCAGGCGCGGTGGCTCATGCCTGTAATCCCAGCACTTTGGGAGGCCAAGGCAGAGTGGATCACCTGAGGTCAGGAGTTCGAGACCAGCCTGACCAACATGGTGAAATCCCGTCTCTACTAAAAATACAAAAATTAGCTGGGCACGGAGGTGGGTGCCTGTAATACCAGCTACTTGGAAGCCTGATGCAGGAGAATCGCTTGAACCCGGGAGACAGAGGTTGCAGCGAGCCGAGACTGTGCCGTTGCACTCCAGCCTGAGCAACAGAGCGAGACTCTGTCTCAAAAAAAAAAAAGGTATCTAAAACAGAGAGAATGGATAATGCAATGTGATTAGTATAGTAACAAGTGGCAAAGTTGACAATAAAAAAGTATGTATAAGTGGCCATGATTTAGATGGCAACTATCAAATATGAGCCCAAGACTTCTTTTGATCTGTTAAAAATCTCAACTATTCTGGAATATACCTGTGACTTAACTGATTTAAAGAATTTTAAAATTCTTAATGCTTGGTCAAAAATACTTAAAAATATATTATTTTTAAAATATTTATAGTTGATCATAGAAAAAACACTGATTTATATTAGACTTTTTAAAAATAAATGCACTGTTGAGTAATATGTCCCTTTGAAATCTGGAGGACATAATTCTAAGTCTGAACACTGGAAAGAAACTATCTGTTACCCCGCACATTCTCAGGTACTTTCTCAGCTGCTTTAATGGCCTTTATGATAAAAAGCTCATTCTTGATCTTGGAAAAAGCATCTCAGAGTAATAAATTAGGTGGGAGTAAAATAGCCATCCAGCACCTTCCCTCCAGAGAGAAATTCAAGTTTTATTATGTCAAATTGGCCTTGAAATTGCAACTACTTCTCACAAATGTTAGCTTTTAATAGAATAAAATGTCACCCTATGGGAATGACACTATGAAAACCTGGAGATGTGTTTTCAAAACAAGTTTTCTTTATTAGTATTATTAAATGTAAATGTTCAACTGAGAACTGAGTCATCGACTAGTTTCTCTAATTAAATTTTTAACCTGGAAACAAGAATGCACTGAGAAAGCTACATCAGAGCAGCAGTAATTCCAACTAAAAACCAGATTATATAAGTGATAACACTTATCTTTATCCATTTGGTTTCACTAAAGTAGGGCTCAGATAAAATGTTAAAATATTCTGATCTCAGACTCCACAGCTAACTTTCCCTAAGCTTCCTTTTCACCTGAGGCACTTCCTCATTCCATTTGCCTCTCATGTCCTTTCTCAGCCCAACCGGGGACTAAGCAATGGCTTGGGAAAGCTGGTCTGCCTCCAAATCGTCAGCATAATAAGGCAAAAGCACTGGGTATTTTGTTTTGTTTTTAATAAGTAATCTGTGTTCATTCTCGTAGGAGGATGGTTTAACGAGGAGACTGGAAGGGACTGTTCACTGTGTGACGTAAGAATGCACTTCCAGCTTCACGATGTGATTCAAAAACCTCTCTCCCCTCCAGTAGATTTTTCAGCCCCCAGCGCAAAAGAGAAGTACTACTAGAGTTAGACTGATGCGAACCAGAGCTACTCAGAGAGCTACCAGTCCCCACTGCTTCCTTCATTGAGGAAGTCTGCTAACAAAAACGTGTATGTATTTAGCATAGTATTATATAATTTATATTTAATGTTATATATAATACACATATACATCTGTGTATATGCATTTATATATATATACACACATACATTTGTGTGTGCACATACAACCCCCTTTTTTTTTGCATTTTTTTGTTTGTTTGTTTTTGTTTTTGTTTTGAGATGGAGTTTCACTCTTGTTGCCCAGGCTGGAGTACAATGGCACAATCTTGGCTCACCATAACCTCCGCCTCCTGGGTTCAAGCGATTCTCCTGCCTCAGCCTCCCGAGTGGCTGGGATTACAGGCATGCGCCACCATGCACGCCTGGCTAATTTTGTATTTTCAGTAGAAACAGGGTTTCACCATGTTGGTCAGTCTGGTCTCAAACTCCCGACCTCAAGTGATCTGCCCGCCTCGGCCTCCCAAAGTGCTGGGAATACAGGCGTGAGCACTGCGTCCAGCCTAACACACATATTATTAATAGCTCAAGCTCCTCATCTCATGTGAACCCATAAAGATGGTAGATCTGTACTACATATGTGAGAAAAGCACCTCTCAGTCCCTGGGAGCACACAGGGACATTATTATTACCAACAAAAGCATCCCAGTAACGCCCAGGGCTTTGGGCTTTACTTCTTCACTCATTCATGACCTGATTGGCTGCTTATTAATACTGTTATTCGGAAACCTGCAGTTTGGACTCCAAACACTCTGATGAAATATTTTCCTGGGTGAATGTGGTTTTGGCATTATCTGAGGGGCTTCCTCAAATCCAAGACTTCCTACATTAAACTTAAGAGAGTCCTGGGCAAACCAAGATTCTGGTCATCTTAATCTGCAAAATCAGGACAACAGTACCTACCACAAAAGGCTACTATGAAGAGTAAGTTGTCTCATGCAGCAAAGCATCCAAGACATGGCCCAGCAGATGGTACGAGATCCACAAATGTTCATTATTTTCGTGATCAGTATGACCTCCTCATGATCAAAGCAAAAACCATGTACCCATTTCTTTCCTGCAGGTTTTTACTGATTTGGAAGGTTATGCAATCATAACCTGCCTACCCGTGTTCTGCTCCAGGTAGACAAGGGAATCGCTAAGAATCCAAACTTCATTCTATCATCCCTAAACAGAGCTGGCGAGGCTCCCCGAAGGCGGTTACAACATCCACTGTTCCTTTATCTCTTAGCACCACGCTCTGTGTTCACGGGTCACCCACTACTGCTGCACGCTTTCAAGCTGCTACACACAGAGCCCCGGCAAAGAGCCGACGGTGACAAAGAGAGGAGCGTCACATACAAGAGCGTCTGAAGAAAGGCAGAAAGATGGCCTGACGACTTACCAAAAAGCCTTGGGGTTGGACATAAGACAACAAGAACTCAAAAAGAGGACTAAAATGGCAGTGGTGATGCAGGGAGGGAGCCCAGAATGAATCAAATGGCTCAGAAAATGGGCAAGAGAAGCAAGCAGGATTGCAAAATGTTTTGGCAGGAATGTGGCTTAGGAGACTAATAAACTTATAAAAAAATTACAGTCAAAGAGACAGACTCCAAACCTACATATATCTCCATGGGAAACATCCAAAATAAAATGTATGTTTGCAAATAGCAACTTCTCCCATCTGTTGCAGTGTTGCTACATTTTCTCAGGAAAGAGAGAGGGTCCGTTAACATCCCCTGACACTGCAAAATACTGTCTGGTTCTGGTTAGTCACCTGTCACTCAGATACCTAGGTGCCTAACTAAATCCCCGCAGAAAGCACAGCTGTTCAGGGGCCAGGATTTTTCTACAGAGCACCAGCCAGACAACCCATTCAACATAGTCATCACCCAGACAGGCACACCCAGAGCAGCAAGGAATGAGAGAAACATACAGCGCTTGCAGAACCAGAGCCTGCCAACTTGGACATTACCCCCTAGAAGGCTGTCCACATGTCTTGGGAAGATCAAACCATGCTTGGATCCATTCATAAAATATTTTCTGGCCGGGCACGGTGGCTCATGCCACCCAGCACTTTGGGAGGCCAAGGCAGGTGGATCACCTGAGGTCAGGAGTTCGAGACCAGCCTGACCAGCCTGACTCCGTTTCTACTAAAAATACAAAAATTAGCTGGGCGTGGTGGTGTGCACCTGTAATCTCAGCTACTCGAGAGGCTGAAGCAGGAGAATCGCTTGAACCCGGGAGGCGGAGGTTGCAGTGAGCCAAGATCCAGCCTGGGCAACAAGAGCGGAACTGTCTCAAAAAAAAAAAAAGTATTTTCTGAGCATATTCTCTGTACCAGAAACTATTCTTGGCACGGGGAATAGAGCAGTGGTCTCTTCCTCATGGGGCTTACACTCTAGTGGGGAGACAAACACATCAACTCTAAATATATTCCATGGGATCAGGTGATGTTAAAGGTTTAATTATGTCCCCCCAGAATTCATCTGTTGGAGTCCTAACCCCAGTACCTCAGTACTTTATTTGAATATGAGGGGTCTTTTTTTTTTTTTTTGAGACAGTCTCATTCTGTCTCCCAGTTTGGAGTACAATGGCGCAATCTCGGCTCGCTGCAACGTCCGCCTCCCAGCCAGGTTCATGTGATTCTCATGCCTCAGCTTCCCGAGTAGCTGGATTTACAGGTGTGCACCACCACACCCAGATAATTTTTGTATTTTTCATAGAGACAGGGTTTCACTGTGTTGGCCAGACTGGTCTCAAACTCCTGACCTCAGGTGATCTGCCTGCCTCAGCTTCCCAAAGAGCTAAGATTATAGGCGTGAGCCACTGCGCCTAGCCCCCTGAATATGAGGTCTTTAGAGAAGTAATCAAGTTAAAGTGAGGTCATTAAGGTGGGCCCTGATCCAATTTGAACTGGTGTCCTTATCAAAAGGGAACATAGGCCAAGCGTGGTGGCTCACGTCTATAGTCTGTAATCCCAGCATTTTGGGAGGCTGAGACGGGTGGATCACGAGGTCAGGAGTTCAAGACCAGCTTGATCAACGTGGTGAAATGGTCTTTACTAAAAATACAAAAATTAGGTGGGTATGGTGGCGCGTGCCTGTCATCCCAGCTACTCAGGAGGCTGAGGCAGGAAAATCGCTTGAACCTGGGAGGCAGAGATTGCAGTGAGCCAAGATTGTGCCACTACACAACAGCCTGGGCAACAGAGCAAGTCTCTGTATCAAAAAAATAAAAAAATACAAAAGGGAACATTTGGACAGAGAGACAGACACACGTGGAGGGCAGACGATGTAAAGAGACACAGGAAGAAGACAGCCATGGATAAGCCGAGGACAGGGGCATGGAACAGATCCATCCTGCACAAGCCTCAGAAGGACCCACCCTGCCAACACCTTGATTTTGGACTTCCAGCCTCCAGAATGAGAGACAGTAAGGCCTTGCTATTCCAGCCCCCGGGTCTGTGGTGCTGTCTTATGGCAGCTCTAGCAAACCACTCCAGGTGGTGAGGAGGGACAAAGCAGAGTGAAGGGGCAGAGAGTGACAGGGGACAGGGCATTCAGAGACGGTCGTCAGGCCGAGGCCACAGGAATTCCAACAGCAGGGCCCGCCTGTCGGCCCCACCAAGGCTGCTCCTCAGAGGGCATCTCAAATAGACAGAGCCCCTCGAAGAGTGCCAAGGCGCATGCACTGTCACACACACGCATTAATGTACTAATACCTGTCTTAGTGCATTTTATGTCCAAGTTACGTAATGGCTCTTGCTCCTTGAAAGGTTTTCATTTCCCTCGATATTCCCCCTTTCTCTTTCTTCTCAACCACTGTCTTAGTCAGCTTGGGCTGGTGTAACATAGTACCATAATACCATAGACTGGATGCCTTATAAAGAACAGACAATTTGGCCAGGCGCGATGACTCGTGCCTGTAATCCCAGCACTTTGGGAGGCTGAGGCGGGTGGATCACCTCAGGTCAGGAGTTCGAGACCAGCCTGACCAACAAGGCAAAACCCCATTTCTACTAAAAATACAAAAATTAGCCGGGTGTGGTGGCACGCACCTGTAGTCCCAGCTACTCGGGAGGCTGAGACAGGAGAATCACTTGACCCAGAAGGCAGAGGTTGCAGTGAGCCAAGAGGGTGCCACTGCACCCCAGCCTGGCCGACAAAGAGTGACACTCCATCAAAAAAAAGAAAAAAAAAAGAAGAGACGTGTCTTTCTCACAGTTCTGGAGGCTGTGAAGTCTAAGCCTAACACACCTGCAGATCCAGTGTCTGATGAGGGCGTGTTTTCTGGCTCATAGAAATGGCACCTTTTCACTGAGTCCTCATATGGTGGAAGGACAAACAAGCTCCTTTAGGCACCCTTTATTTATTTATTTTTTTTTTGAGACAGAGTTTTGCTCTTGTCACCCAGGCTAGAGTGCAATGTCATGATCTTGGCTCACTGCAACCTCCACCTCCCAGGTTCAAGTGATTCTCCTGCCTCAGCCTCCCAAGTAGCTGGGATTACAGGTGCCCACCACCACGCCTGGCTAATTTTTGTATTTTCAGTAGAGATGGGGTTTCACCATGTTGGTCAGGCTGGTGTCAAGCTCCTGACCTCAAGTGATCCACCCACCTCGCCCTCCCAAAGTCTGGGATTACAGGTGTGAGCCACCATGCCTGGCCTTTTTTATTTTTTTATTTTTTCACTGCAACCTCAGTCAGGCACCTTTTATAAGGGCACTAATCCCATTCATGAGGGTAGATCTCATCACCTCCCAAAGGCCCCATCTCCAAATACCATCACACTGGAGGTTTGAATTTCAACAAAAGAATTTTGGGGGACACAAACATTCTGATCATAGCAACCATCCACCATAAATGGTACCACCTTTCCCATGAAGAGATGATGGGACATGGACTCACAGTTGTCTTACTTAAACCAGCAAGAGTCAAAGATTTCCAAAGACCATCCCACACAGTATCATGCCTCTCCCTTGCAATCCAGGCATGGTAAGGGTCGGGGCAGAATCAAGGGTGCTTACTCCAGGGTCATGGTTGCAGAACCAACCTGCCTAGCCTGAGTGTGTATAATCTACAACTGTAGCCCAACTGGCACCGGTGTTAACAAACCAAGGTGACCCAAACCCTCAGCCCAGTAATCTGCAGACTTCCATTTAGTCAGCAGAGCCAACAAGGGTGGGCAACAAAGCAGTGGCTCTTAATATTTTAGAGGTAAATAACTCCATTTAGAGTATGACGAAACCCATGGACCCTCTCCTCAGAAATATGTTTACATGCACACAATTGATAGGGCTCCATAGACCTCCAAAACTTATCAATTATCCTTCTCTAGTTCATGAACTCCCAAGAAATAACTTCTGCAAATGGCAAGAACCACAAAGAAAAAGAGAAAGAATAATGGGGAGCGAGGGAAGGTGGTAGACACTGCAAAATATATCACTCAAAGACGACTAATTTCCTTAATATATAAAGAGCTCCTATAAATCAATAAGAAAAAGGCCAAAACCCCAAAAGAAAATTGGCGAATGGACATGAACAATGAACAGAAATGAAGTACAAACAGTTGAGAAGGTATGAAAATATACTCAATTCCCATGTAAATAAGAGAAACAATAAATAAGACAAGATACCATGTTTAATACACTCGATTGGCAAAGATCAAAATGAGTACCCTGTTGGCTGACATGTGGAAAAGCAAACACTCCCATACCAGATGGGTGTGGTTATAAGTTGGGAACCCTTATAAATTATAAGGGTTATCAATGTGATTATAAATTGCCAACCTCTATGGCAGGCAATTTGGCAATACTTATCAACAGTTAAAATAGACATACCTTTTGGCCTAAGACTAGGAATTTACCCCTCAGATACACTGAGGGGTCACATTTACAAAGTGACAAATGGTCATGGATATTTACTGAAGTATGGTTTGAGAATAACAAAAAAAAAAAAATTATGTACTCCCTAAATGTCCATCAACAAGGGATGGTTAAGTCAACATGATACTTCCACACAATGACTACTATGCAATAACTAATTAACATAAAGAGTGAGGCAATTCTGTAGTAGTCATGGGGAAGAATGCTCAAGACATATTGCTAAGTGAAAAAGCAAGATAATGAACAGCATGTACAGTTTAAAAATACATCTGCCCTGGTGGGTGGGAGGGATGGATGAAGAGAAGCTGGTTCATGGGTACAAACATACATAGATAGAAGAACTAAATTCTAATGTCTGTTAGGGTGACTATACTTAGTAGCAATACTTTGTATATTTCAAGGTAACTAGAACAGAGGACTTGATATAATACCAACCCGTGGAAATGAATACTTAGGTGATGGACACGCCGATACTCTGGCTTGATCATTACACACTCCATGCATGGAACACTCACATGTACCCCATAAATATGTAAAATATTATGTATCAATAAAGAAGAAAAATCTGCCCCTAACTACGCATTTACAAATATGTATGTGGGTCTCTATGCATATAGGGTATCTCTGGAGGGATACACAAGGACTAGAAGGAGGAGTGACCTCTCACGAGAAGATCCAGGAACTGAAGAGCCCAGATAAGAAGCAGTTACCTCTCACTGCAAACCCTCTCAGAACCTTTGAATTTCAGACCATGTGTCTGTATTACCAATTCCAAAACTTAACCAAATGCATCTTGAAAACACAAAGATGATTAAAAACCAAAAAGAACCCAGTGATTAGAAGTTGCATAGCTAGGGCACAGTGGCCACCGTAAGAGTGCTAAGAGGATGTTAACAGATGGCTCTACCCTGAGTAGTTTTTTTTGTCCATGAGAATGTCCCAAACTGTTACTCTACTCATCAAAAATCCAAATTCCCACAACTCCTTCAACAACTTTTCCCACCACTCACGAGTGATGGGGGAGGGGGGGTCTCTTCCCAGGAAAGTGCCACCGTCTCTGAAGTAGGCATGCTGGCCCACAACTTGGCCCAACACTCAGTTGCCCCAGAGTTCTCAGGAAAAAACCCATAGAGCATACATATAAAGTGAGCTTTCAATCTTGTAAGTACTGAGAAACACAACAGAGCCCTGATGATTCTAACCTAAGAGAAATGTGAGGCCAGAAAATCCCCCAGCGTGTGGCACATAGAATCTGCTAATGAGATGCCACGCCGGCTGCTCCCTCATTGCAGGGAGAGAGACCACAGTCGAGCAGCAAGGTAGGGCAGGCTGAAGAGAAGCTGGTTCATGGGTACAAACATACATAGATAGAAGGACTAAATGCTAATGTTTGCTACGGGGACTATATTTAGCAGCAATAATTTGTATATTTCTTTGTTGTTGTTGTTGTTGTTGTTGCTGCTGCTGTTGTTATGGAGTTTTTGCTCTTGTTACCCAGGCTGGAGTGCAGTGGCACAATCTCGGCTCACTGCAACCTCCACCTCCTTGGTTCAAGCGACTCTCCTGCCTCAGCCTCCCGAGTAGCTGGGATTACAGGAACACACACTTGGCTAATTTTTTTGTATTTTTAGTAGAGACAGGGTTTCACCATGTTGGCCAGGCTGGTCTCAAACTCCTGACCTCAGGTGATCTGCCTCCCTCGGCCTCCCAAAGTGCTGGGATTACACGCGTGAGCCACCACGCCTGGCCATACTTTGTATATTTCAAGGTAACGAGATGAGAGGACTTGATACCAACACATGGAAATGATGACCACTCATATCCAAAATGCGCATGGAAAAGATGCCCACGTTGTCTACGGTCCATATGGTATGGACTCAGATGAAAAGCCCTGGACTCTGACCCTGTCTCTTTCAGTAAACAGCAAATGCTGGGCTGCACCCCCAGATTCCCCGTCAGTGCTGAAGAACTGACTGCCTCAGCTGCAGGCTATCAGCTGTGAGCTCTCCCCAGGAACCGCCCTCAGCAACTGTCCCGTACGAGGCCATGCCCCTTGCCTGGGCAGCCCCCATCAAGGACTGGCCGATGCGGAAATATAAATCCCAGTCCTCTCAACCCAAGTTGGTCAGCTCTGAAGGGCCAGCTCAGCTCCAGCACTCACCACGGCATGGGCAGGGGCTTTGGCTGAGAGCGGTATTGGAGCCCAGCTTCTCCCTCTGCCCAGTGCTGCTTTGCCCCTTCCCTTGCAGAGGTCAGTTCTGAGAGTAATCCCTAAAAGCACATTCATCTCCTTCCCAAGATCCGCTTGCCACAACCCAATACTGACAGTCTAAAAAGGTGCTGGAGCTTGAACTATGCTCCCCCAAAAGATACCTTCAAGTCCCGTTGGTACCTGTGGATATGATCTTCTTTGAAAATAGGGACTTTGTAGATGTCATCGAGTTAAAATGAGGCAACACTGGATTAGGGTAGACCTACATCCCATGACTGGTGTCCTTATAAAGAGACATAGGAAAAGATTAAGAGACAGAAGAGACACTCAGAGGGAGGAACACTGTGTGAAGACAGACGCAGAGACAGAGCGCTGCAGTCATAAGCCAGAAAATGCCAAAGAGTGCTGGCCACCACCGGAAGCTAGTAAGAGGCAAGGAAGGATTCTCCCTGTGGCTGCAGAGGGAGCATGGCCCTGCCAACACCTTGGTTTTGGATCCTAGCCTCCAGAACTGTGACAGAATAAATTTCTGTTGTTGAAGCCACACAGTGTGTGGTAATTTGTTAGAACCATCCTAGCAAACTCATAGAGAATGTCAGAGAGAAGATCTACTCAGGGCACCCTTCTACGTAATCAAGGCAGGCAAGAACACCAGCAAGCTGGCTGTTACCCCCTCCACCAGGGCTGCTGCAGGCATCTAACAAGAATGTGCACGGGAGGGGCACCCTGAAAAAAACCGTAAAACACTGTAGCACTGGGCTGGTGCTGGTGATGGAGGAGAGGGAACAGCTGTCTCGAATTCACAGAGGCATCCCCCTCCTCGGGGACTATTCAGTCCCTGTGTTTCTAGCTCTTTCCTGCTGGTCATCGTACCACCCAGTGGCACCTCCTATCAGAAAGCGTGAAATTCAATTCAGGTCAGTACTTAGACCAGGGCTGAGTAGAGAAAGAAGTTTCACCCATCAGCTAACATAAGGCCTGGGGATTATCTACGGGTTTCAATTAGCCAAGAGAGCAGGTCTCTCCGTTACCATAAATAATCGACAGAGGGAATATATGTCCCAAGGCAAATGATAACCCTGTGCCCAAGCCTCCTTCCCATGGAGAACACCCCAACCTGTCCCTCTCTTCGGGGGCACATGGCTGCCACTCCCCACCCCTTCTGGGCAGATAAACCCTGGGACAGATGATTGCCGCGCTGACCTCCAATAGCTGGCAGCATGCAGAATTCTATAGTCTCACAGACCTGAGTCGGATTGGTATGCACGGGTAGCTATAGCCGTGACTCAACACCTGCAGAGAAAATGTAGGGTTGTACTCCTCTCCGTGGGCACCGTTTCTGCACTGTTGCGCTGACTCAAAGCACCCTTTGAAGTCCGTGGGACCTGTATCAATGAACACTAGGAACCAGGCCCTACGTGCCAATTTCCATCATTCACAAGTACTTCAAAAAGATGAGGCAGGGCAGGAAGTTCAAAAGAATCCGCCTGCAACTGCAGAATGCAATCCTCGAAATTACAGGCACTGCCTTGTCACACAGGGCTCACCAAGCAGGTGCTTTGCAAATGCCTCCTTCTTGCCAAGAAGTCCCTGCCAAGGATTAATAGGAATTTCCAGTTCTCTAAGCATTTCTTGTTCCTCAGAGCGATTACCCCTAAACTTCTAGCACTTCAAAAATACAGGATTTAGCACCTGTTTGTTTCAGAAATACTTGCTAAAAACAGATCTGCCAAAAGGCCACCTCTAAAATTAGTCATATTTCTTGCTCTGCAAAACATAGTAAATCGTATTTTTAGTAACTCCTTCACTCCAGGTATCTGGCACTGTCATGCTCTAAGCATGATTACTGGCAACTTAGTAAGCAGGCAACCCTTACTCTTAGCCTAAAAATAGTTCTGATGGAAGTGACAAGCCGGCTTATTATTCTTTAACCAAGGGTTAGAACAAGATATTTCAACATCTTAACCAATCATTTTATGTACTCAACTTTGTATCTCAGTGAGACTCAATCACAAAAAAGGTAACAGTGGCATGGACTGTCTGTTCTTGTTCTGTAGTTTGCCTGCCTACAACACTGGCTCAATACCTGAGATACACCTACTCTTTTCTCGATTCAGCTTTTCCAACTATATTTTTTCAACTTTTATCAATTTTTTACAAAACACAATAACCTGTCATGTGCCAGAGACCATGCCTCTTGTAGGTATCACGAACCATCACCAGGGTTCAAGCAATTCTCATGTGTCAGCCACCCAAGTAGCTGGGACTACAGGTGTGCACCACCACACCCAGCTAATTTTTGTGTTTTTAGTAGAGATGGGGTTTCTCCATGTTGGCCAGGCTGGTCTCAAACTCCTGACCTCAAATGATCCACCCACTTCGGCCTCCCAAAGTGCTGGGATTACAGGCATGAGCCACCGCGTCCAGCCACTAAACCAAACTTCTAAGGAATTATCCAAATATATTGCTGATGATAAAGGACCATTGTTTTACTGATTCCTTACAAACATTATTTATAATGTCTGTATTAGAAACATTATACGTGGTTTCTAAGTTGCTTCATTTAAAGTTTAACGTTTATGGAAATTTAAAATCTTAAACTCTTTTTTTTTTTTTTTTTTTTGAGATGGAGTCTCATTCTGTCACCCAGGCTGGAGTGCAGTGGCACAATCTAGGCTCACTGCAACCTCCACCTCCCACATTCAAGCGATTCTCCTGCTGCAGCCTCCAAAGTAGCTGGGATTACAGGTATGCACCACCACACCTGGCTAATTTTTGCATTTTTATTAGAGACAGGGTTTCACCATGTTGGCCAGGCTGATCTAGAACTCCTGACCTCAAGTGATCCACCCACCTTGGCCTCCCAAAGTGCTGGGATTACAGGCATGAGCCACCACGTCTGTCCTGTTTCTGGACCTCACTTCAATTTTCTGTAAGTCACTTTCCTTATTCTGTCGACAGATGATATTATCTGATCATGCAGCAGCCCCCAAGTCACTCTGTCTGGTTGGGGGCCAGGGCGGGGGGCACTTGTTATGTGCCAGAGACCACGCCTCTCATAGGTATCACAAATCAATACCAGGCTCTGCAAGCACAACCACTCCAGGTGTTTCAAAGTCATTACCCCATACTGTTGCTCAACAGCTTTGCTCTTCGTCTCAAAGCCAGAGAGTGGTACTTTTCAGAATCTGGTTTTGTGATCATTTTCCCTGGTCTAATCATCAACTTTGGTCAAAGACACTCAGCCCTGACTGTGAAGGTACCTATTAAGAGTTTCACATGGCCAAGTGAACTATTTATTTTTAAAGCCAGATTAACAGAGATTGCATTAACTCAAAGGAGGACACAATTAGGTCTCAGCCGCAAGCCATCTTTCCTTTACAAGCAGTAAAAGAGCCATCTAGATTCAAATGGCTTCTAAACAAACAACTTCAGAGGAAAAGCAGGCAAAAGATTGTCCTACAGGCAGTGGTGGCAAAAGCAGCCTCTTGATGAGATCAAATTGAAACCTAAAAGGAAAGTTGGGAAAAACTGGCTCCCTTTGTCATCTGGACTCAGACAGTGATTCCCAGCAAACCATGAAGGATTTCACCCAAAGCTTTTTGGAAGTGTAACCAAGTCGAAACACAACACGCTACACACACACACACACCCCCATACCAAATGCCTTCAACTAGCAATGCCCTAGATTTTAGCACAAATCACCCAAAACTAATTCTCACAGTTTGAGAATGCAGCTATGAAGCAGGCCAAACTTGGGGTGCCCTCTCAACTTCTGTTTCCCTATGCCCTCTTTCAGCTTTTTCATGGACTGATTTCCCAAGACAAGCTGCCCTGAATCCTTTCGCTCCACGTGGGCTGGGAGTACTTCTCACTACAGTATTAATGACTTCATTCCCCTCCTAATGTGGAATGGATCCTTTATAAAAGGATGGGCCAGGTGCAGTGGCTCACATCTGTAATTGTAGCACTTTGGGAGGCCAAGGTGGGAGGATCACTTGAGGCCAGGAGTTGGAGACCAGCCTGAGCAACACAGTGAGACCCCTGTCTTTATAAAAAATTTAAAAAATAAATAGATAGGACAGGAGAAAAGTGAAATTCTAAATCCAAAATGTACACACCCCAAGAAAAGAGGAATTAATGAGGGAGAGAGGCCTCCCTGGGTCACCCACAGTGGGGGACACTGGAGGCTTAATGACCTCCTTTTCCTCAGCTCTGCTCACTGGAGGAAACTTTCCCCAGGCCAAAATCATCTTAGTAGCTCACCTTTTAAAAGAACTTCAGGTTGTAAATAGCCTGAGGCTGTGGTCATCTTTGTTTTGGCCTTAGTTAGGCAATACCCAAAACTAGAGTGGGAATGAGGACTCATTTTAATTTAGCAATCTTTCTCAGAGTCAAGCATACACACACAACCATTTTAATCCCCACAATCTGCTAAAACCCAAATCTATTAGTTAAGCATTAAAGGTGCTGGATTTGGGAGATAAATGTTATGAATGACACCATTGTTTCTTTAAAGCCAGCAATTGAGTGAACTAAAATCCAGATTTCTCCCAATGCCCGCAATCCCTGGAGCACTGATTCTCCCCGCTGGGGAGGAGCATCCCGGGAAAACCAAGTTTTTCAACACAGACATCTCTCCCCTGCCTCCTTCTCCACCCAAAGAACCACCATCCTTACCCGCAGTCCACCAATGGGTCCAGGGGAATAATTTTACATCCAATTAACATCTCCTGTCATTGCAACAATGAAGTGAGATTCATCATTTAAGAAACATAAGATGGGAGGGAAGGGGAGTGGGCACCTGGGGAAGCAGCGAGTCTCTTCATGTGAATCCTATTTGGGCAAGAATTCCCTGCATGTCGGGGTTCCCAGTGGGCCCAGCACAGAGCTCCAGAACCCAAGCGCTGGCTGAGCTCTGAATCCACCCCCAGGCAGTTCAGCCAAAGCCAAGAGTTTTATGGTGCAAAAATGCGCTGCTACAGAGCCAGAGGCACAGCACAACACAGCAAGGTGGAGGGAAGCCAGAAAAGAAGTCTGTGCACCAGGGCAGGCGAGAAGAATGTACTTGCAGTGTTTGCCATGACGTTGTGAGCATAAAGACTCGCTTCTTTCCGTTATGTTTAGAGAGGAAATATGCACAACCAGCCTGAATCCTATACGTTTCCAATGAAAATAAACTTCCATCGCCAGTGCCAACAGGAATTTACACAGGGCCAGGAGAAGAGAGCTCACTCTAATTAGCCGCATCCTCGCGCCCTGAACGGACCCGCAGTGTGGAAGTCAGACAGCTCACTACGAATCGAATCGAATCGAATCGAGGAGTGTAAGTGTGCCTCGCTCCTGCGGACTAGAACGAGGTTTGGAGGTTTTTCCTTTTTCTTTGAAGACTTACTCAAGTTCATACTGAACGCTCCTTTTTTGCATGGGAATTCAGGCAGGAGGCACTTCTAAAAACTACTCACTCTATCCCCACATACCCATAATAAAGCGGTGCCTCACTCAAAACGGCTGTAGGGAACACAGGGAAAATGACAAGGGTGACGGAGACCTGCATTCACAGGCAAAAGGCTCCAAGACAAAGAGGGGAAATGGGGTGGGGAGGGAACTACAGGTGGGGTGAGGCTAGAGACAGGCAGGAAGGGCAGGTTGGCCCTGTGACCAGGGGTTTCACAGGGCAGCCCCAGGCTGGGCAGAGGCCCCCAGGTCGGAAGGCAGAGGGCTCGGCTCCCAGGCCACCTGCTCGGTTGGGAAGTGAACTCCGCCTTCCCTCCTTGCGGCTGACGCCTCCCTGACCCACGGACCACACAAAGGAGCTGGTCCCCCTCCAGGTTTGAGCCACCCCCAGCCTGGGGGCAGTCTTGAGCCCGAGATGACAGGAGCTTGGGACAGCTCCAGCCTGGATTGGCTCTGAGCTCGGGCAGCTCCAGCCTGGGGTGACCCGGCCTCAAAAGCGAGTCACCAAGCTCTTGGGTTTCTTCTCACAGCTCTAAGTTACACCTTCCATCTTACCTGCCCCTCGCCTGGCAAGGGTTCACAACCATCTAACTTCCAACAAGGCTGGAGAGGTGCCCCTTTTGGTCTCGCGGAGGTCCCCTTTCCTTTCCCCTCTTCTAGAAAGATAAGAAGGCATCTCCCAGTCTCTGGGGGGAGGTATCTGTAGTTCTGTTCCTGCCAGTAGCAGGGTCTTCACTGCAGCTCCCACCCTGAGGCTGGAGGGCACAGAGGAGCTGGGGGAACGGAGAGAAGGGGATGAGAATGGCGGGGATGAGAATGGTGGGTGATGAGGGGGCAGGGGTGGGAGGGTTGAGTGGATAGAGAGGAGCACAGGTTGAGGGATGGACAAGTGGAGGGCGGAGGCAAAAACCCTCCTCTGAGCACGAAAAATTCCCTAGCTGCCAAAAAACATTCCCTAGCTGCCGGAGCCCACAGGTGGGAAGGAATGCAGGATCTCAGCCTTCTCCCACCTCCTCCGAGAGCCCAGGACGGGGATCAGACTCTAAGCTCCCCCCAGAGGCTGGCTGTTAGCTTTCCTGCCCCCCCCGCCCCCCGACATAAGAGCCCACCTCCTCTAGCCCTGGTTCCCGCCTCGCCACGGATCCGCCGCCCCTGCCGGCCTGAAGGGCAGAGGGGCCCCATCCCGCCCCCCGCGCTAGTGTCGCCAGGCGGCGCCCTTCCACGAGCAGAACGGCCGCGCGGGACGCTTCCCGGGGCAAGGCCGTCCCCTCCCAAGCCCCCAACCCCCGGGCAGCGGACCGCAGGCCGCCTTCGGGAAAGGCTGCGAGATGCTGAGCGCGCGTTTTAACCCAACAGGAAAGCCGGGCGGAGGGGGAAGGCGCTTGGCCCGGGACTGCACACTGGGACTCCCAGTGCAGTGCTCCCCGCGGGGTCCTGGCCGCCGACTCCCGCCCCTGTGCCCCAGCCCCACGGCGCCCGGGAGACTCACCTTCTCCCCGGTCAGCACGTGCAGCCCCTCGCGCACCTTGGCAAAGGAGCCCTCGCCCAGCTTCCTGCTGCCGATGAGGTAGTTGCCCACGCGCTTGTGGTGCTGGAAGTCGCGGAGCCGCTCGCGGGGCACGCCGCTCACCCAGGCAGGCAGGAAACTTCCCTCGCAGGCCGCCGCGGGCCTGGCCGCGTCCTCCGCGCCGCCGCCGCCCCCAGGCGCCGCCGGCTCCCCCAGGAGCCCGTCCCCCGCCGCCGCCGGCATCGCGCTCGCCGCGGCCCGCGCGGCTCCTGCTCGTCTCCCGCGCTCGCAGCTCCTCCTCCCCAGGCTCTTCGGCTTCCCCGGCTTCTCCCGCCGCCGCCCTGGGCCCAGCCCCGCCTGGGTCTCCGCACCCAGAGCCCGGGGCCGCCGCGATCACGCCCCCCGCGCCGCCCAGCGAGGCGCGTAGACAATAGCGGCTGCCCAGGGGACGCGGGACCGGGGACCCCGCCCCCAAAAGTTCTTCCTCTTAGGGTCGCCCGGGCCCCTTTCAGGACACCAGGATCCCGCCCCGGGTCCCGTCCAGGAAGCTAATGACAGTCGCCCTGCTCGGGCGCGCGGGGTGGGGCGCGGTCCGGCGGCGCCTGGGTCCCGGGGTCCGGGTGCCTGGGTCCGGGAGCCCGGGTGCCTCCGCAGCCTCCGCCTCGCCGCCGCCGTCTGGCCCGCACGGGCTTGGGTCGGGCTCCCGCGATCGCTCCTAGCCGTGCGCTGGGCGGCCGCTCCCGCCGGAGAGAAGCGCGCGGCGGGCTGCCGGCGCCCTCTGGAAGGCAGCAGAAGAAAGCCCCATTCAGTTTGAATTTGCAGAAATTTAATCCGCTCGCGGGCGGCGGGAACAGATGCGAGCTCCACTCCGCAGCCCGTGCACTTTCAAATCCCTAGTAGCCCCTCCTTCCCCGCGCGCCACAGTCAAACTCGACCCTCGCTGGAGAGGGGAGGGCCCGGGGAGGGGAGCGGCGGAGTGGACGGAGAAGCCACCTGAGCGCCAGACAGGGAGAACCTGCGCGGCCTCGGAGGCGCGCGCTCCCGGGCCGCCCAGGTCGGGCCGCCTCCGGCTGCGCCTCTTGCCCGGATTCTGGGCTTGGGTTTTCTGGACCTTTCGGCGGTGAAATCCCCCACTGGCCGCACCCACCCGGGGCGGGGGGAAGGGGGAAGGCTCTCGAACTCCGTGGACTGTGAGTCGGGTTGCGTGCCCGGCCCTGAGTCCGCCACACAGTAGGGCCCCCTGGACCGGGGGTGGAAGGATAGATGGATGGCTGGAAGAAAGGGTGGGGAGGCGGCCAGGCGTCTGCCCGGGCTCGCACGCAGCCTGGTTGGCTGTGTTGGAGGAGGCGCAGCCACAGCAGTAATAGTAGCAGCAGCAATGTAGGAACCAGGGCGTTTGCTGCCTCTGCTTGTAGCTTACACCTTCTTTGCCTTCCATTGAAATGATGCCTGTGATTGCAGGAGGTGGACCGGCGCTCGCCTCTCTTCGATGCTTTTGTTCTGCAAGCGCTGTGACTGTGCTCATCGCATAAACAATTGCAACTGCCCTGACGACACTGGACCCTCTCCCAGGATCCCCAACGTCTTCTCAAACCGAAAATGAAGAATCTTGTGAGGGAGAAGGAGGAGGGTAGGTAGGAGGAGGCATTTACAAAATGCTACCTGTTGAGGTGCCCGCATTTGATGGAAACTTCACCCCGATCATGCAACATCAGAGCTGAAAGGAAGGATTTGGTCCTAACAAAGTTCCTTTCATTGTTTATTCCTGAGTAAACAAGTATGACATCGACCCATAGCAATGCTTTGAGATTGGGAGTGGGGGGTGGGGGAACAACAGCTGTCATCAATCCAGTGTCTGGGGGTCTCGCTGACCCATCTGAAGAGGGACGCAGAGAAATGCCTGCTTTCAATACATCTAATTTTAAATACGCTACTATATTCATCCACCTACCTGTTACAAGTCACCAGCCTCAGTTATTATGACGGAACATACTGCGTTTTCTGTTGTTCTGTCTCATTGTTCCCGTTTACCAATATTAAAGATACAGCTTAAAATGTTTTTCTTGCTGTGCTGAAGGGACTTCTTTGCTCCCACCGGCCTTGACTATTTCAGTAACGTTCATTCAATCCTTTTAATGTCTCTAATTCAGTAATCAAATCTTAACAGGACAGTTGCATGGGAGGGGAATGGTAACTAGCGTGGTGCCAGCAGAATAGATGTCCAGCAACTGTCTAAAGAATGAGGAATATGGAGCTCACTTTGGGGTAAAAACCACTCTGAGGCCGGGCGCGGTGGCTCACGCCTGTAATCCTAGCACTTTGGGAGGCCGAGGCAGGTAGATCACGAGGTCAGGAGTTCAAGACCAGCCTGGTCAAGATGGTGAAACCCTGTCTCTACTAGAAATACAAAAATTAGCCGGGCGTGGTGGCGGGCGCCTGTAATCCCAGCTACTCGGGAGGCTGAGGCAGAGAATTGCTTGAATCCAGGAGGCGAAAGTTGCAGTGAGCTGAAATCTTGCCACTGCACTCCAGCCTGGGCGACAGAGCAAGACTCCTTCTCAAAAAAAAAAAAAAAAAAACCACTCTGAATCTTCCATCAGAAACAGTTTGGGAGTCCACCCAATGTTGTGTTAATAGAGTATGATTTTTTTTAATGTTAGGACATGCACTCTTTATGAAAATTTAGAGATTTATTTATTAAGGTTTAAGGGAAATTTCTGAGACTGTTCCCCAAAGTATTTTTATGGTCTAAAAAAAAAAAGTTTCATAAAAATGGTGGATGACATTTACAATGAAATAGAGATTTTCTTTCCTTTTAATTATCCTCTCAGGGTAGAGGTCAGGAAAGGGGTGAAGAAGAGAGAAAATCCAGGCCCATTAAATCTTTTTCAAGCCTGCTGCCTGGGTTTGATTCAAGTTCACTGCTAATTCCATAAGCTGGGATGGATGCCAAAGAGAAGTCCAAATCCTATCCGTGCGTCCCCTTTGTAACTGGTTTTGGAACTACAAGTCCTAGTCTCTGAAATGGCCTGTTTAACAAGAAATCACCCCAGAAATGTCTTTATGTAAAACAAATTAGTACACAATATATTGCCCTCATATTCAGTGTGCAGAAAGCATCTGATTATTCAATGCAACAGTAATGCAGCCTTGAAAATTCTCTGCTAATTAGCCCAAACTAATTTCTAGCCTTATCCTCCTGCGGAGTTCCCGGGTAGGGGGTGGTGCTGGCCGGGATCCGGCCTCCCTACTGCCACACCTTTGCCTGTGCCTTGCCCGCCCCCAGTCTGCTGTCTCCGACTCATTTCCACCTAGCACAGGTGTTCCCTTTCCCATGAAGACCTCCCCAACCAATAAGCTGCAAGAAGCCCATCTCCCTCTGTTGTCTCTTAGTTCATATAGTCATTTCACATTCCTCTTATGTCCTGTAGTACTTATTATCTATGACTTTCTTCTCTTTTAGACTTATTGAGGACAGGAGCTGTGTCTAATTTCATTATTTGCCCTACAGTACCTAGCACGGTGTCTGAGACATGATCATTGTTCAGTAAATATCTGTTGAATAAATGAATGAAAGTAATCATTCACTGATTCTCAAGTGGGGTTTTACTGCTCCTGAGAGCAAGACCCCATCAAGTCCTGGGGGAGACAAGTTACCAGTGACTTTCTAAAAGCATTTTTAGGTGCATTGTTGGTTGCCTTTGGGGATCAACAAATATAATTGTTTGTCTTGTCGAAGATGGATCATTCTCTAACTTGGATGAGTTAACCCTTTCAGAAACAGGAGCAATCCCAGTGGGCTGTGAAGCCTTGGGAAGCTTTCTCAGTTGACTCGTACCAGCTGCTTCCTTCCTTCCCTTTTCCTTCCCCATCTCCTCGCCCCATATGGCTGGGAGACTGCCTCTGTGCTCCCACAGAACGCCAGCTTCTAGACCCAGCTGGAAGCAGTCAAAGACAATTAGAAGTAATCAGGCTGGCACAGCCAGGAAATGAGAGTTGGCTAGAAGGGGTTAGGCTGGCAGAAGCCGTCTGGTAACTGGAGAAGGAACGGATGGCAAAGCAAAGACGGCAGACATGGATCAACTTTGCCTGGAAGACATCCTGTGAACTCTATATGTTCATGTTCCCAAAACAAAGTGTCCCATAAATAACAGACTGGACTTGAACCCGTGTCCCCAGAGTTCGTGTCCAGCATTATTCTTTCACAACACCCAGCTGTTGAACGTGCACAATGCAATGGCTGAGGAAGAAAGGGTTCCTCAGGCATAAAGACTCGTGTGCAAAGGCAGCCCAGTGTGCTATTGCAGAGTAGGCTACTGCCAGCATCCCCACAATGAAATGCTTCTCTAAAAATGAGTCGTGACACTTACCTTTTGATGCTTCAGTTTCCTTAAGCTGCAAAAATGGGATATTAAGGAATTGTGTGGAGTCAATCAGATTGTGCACACAAAGCACTCAGATCAGTGCCTGGCACATTATAAGTACAAGGTGAATTTTGGCTTTCACACCTTCCATCAATACGACTATCATCATCATAAACTAAGAGAAGTCACTCAAGAATGCCCCAGAGGTCCACCAGCACAATTGCCCTGGTAAATGATGAATCCAAAAGCATAATCTCCAGGTTGGATCTCTTCCCTGAAACCAGAGTCCTATGTCAACCCTCTTCAACTCTGCCGGGCTGTCTGATAGGATCTCACTCACATTTAACTTGGGATACACACACACACACACACACACACACACACACACACCCACACACACCCCTCTGTGCTTCTTTCCTAAGGCTTCACCCAAATTCACCCCAAAATTTAGCAGTCATCCTTTGCTTCCTCTGCTTCTCGATTCTCATATCCAACCCATCAGCAAATCCTATACCCGCCTGTGACCCTTTCTCTCACTTCCTAAGTGGCATCCTTTGCTTCCACGCCAAAGCCAAAACCAGTTCTTCAAAATGGGAATCAGTAATCCCAGCACTTAAGGAGGCCAAGGGGGAAGATCACCTGAGGTCAGGAGTTCAAGACCAGCCTGGCCAACATGGCGGAACCCCATCTCTACTAAAAATACAAAAATTAGCCGGGCGTGGTGGCAGGCACCTGTAATCCCAGCTACTCGGGAGGCTGAGGCAGGGAGAATCGCTTGAACCCTGGAGGCAGAGGTTGCAGTGAGCCAAGATCATGCCATTGCACTCTAGCCTGGGCGACAGAGCAAGACTCCATCTCAAAAAAAAAAAAAAATGGGAATCAGATCATATCACTTCCCTGCACTCGAAAGCTGTTCAACAGACCCCTGCAGAAAAGATTCCCCAAGCGCTTTGTCATGATATGGCCCTGCCCACCTCTTCACTGTCACCTCCTGGGAGCCAGACACCAAGCTCTTCCCTGCTTCAAAGGCTTTACCTCTGTGTCTTTGTCTGCTCAGACTGCCATAACAAAACACCTAGACTGGGCGGTTTAAACACCAGACATTTCTTTCTTATTGTTCTGAGGAATCCAAGATTTAGGTTCCAGCAGATATACATATATAGAGATTTACTCTAAGGAATTGACTCACATGATGATGGAGACTGAGAAATTGACTCACGTGATGATGGAGACTGAGAAGTCCAGAACGAAAGTGCTAGCAGATTCAGTTCCTGATGAAGGCTGTCCTCCCGGCTGACAGACGAGTGCTCTCGCCACGTGCTCTCATGGCAGAAAGACACACAGCCCTGGTCTCTTCTTTTTCTTATAAGGACACCAATCGGATCATGAGGGTCCCACTTTCATGCTCTCTATTAAGCCTAAATGCCTTCCGAAGGTCTCACCTGCAAATACCATCACATCAGAGGTCACAGCTGCAATGTATGAACTTGGGCCAGGGGGATGCAAACATTCAGTTCATGACACACTTCTTCAACATTGCTGAAGTTTCTTGCTTCATTCAGGGCTCTGCTCTCTCAATCAGAAAATCAGAAATCAGGCAGACTGTCCCAGGGTCGCTAACTACCACACTCAACTTTTCATGTCATTCATCATTAGCTAACAGAAGAATGTGCATTCACTTGTTTATGTGTTTATTCTCTCTCTCTCTCTCTCTCTCTCTCTCTCTCTCTCATTTAATGTCCATGAAGCGAGGGACTTTGTATCCCAACACCTATGCATGCCTGGTACACTGTACATGTGCAGCAATGGCAATGCGGAGCTTCATCTCAACTCTTGATCTGTCCATGTGGGAGAGGAAGGAGTTGCTGAGCTTTGTGTGGTTGTGGCACTGCAGCATGATGGTGTACGGATGGTGACACCAGGCCAACCTCCGGCAGCTGCTTCCCAGCAGCCACTGAGCTGATATTCAAGAAGAAAAAGGTGCATTCTTCAAACAAGATGCTGATGGCTTCTCACAGGACTCATCACAGTTGTACCTCCATCGGTCTCCAAAAGATGAATGTAATGGCTATTTCAGTAAGAAAAATGTACCTGCCACCTCCCAACTACAGATGGGCCCAGGGCTTTAGGACGTCTTGATGTGTGGTCTCTTCCTGTAAATCCCTGATAGAGGCTATTGAGAAGGAATGGAACTTTAAATATTCTATAGGAAGAGGCCATCACACATACTGATCTGGACCATTCCCCCTTGTATGCATGTCTCATTTGAAAGTGGCTTCCCATCGTACACTGACACCAACATCATCCCTATGGCCCTGCCAGGCCCAGCACAATCTGCATCCCACCCTGCAGGGCTCATCTCTCTTCCCTCATCCCATCATGTCTCTGATCTCACTTCCTCCTATTCACTGCCCTCCAGCCACACTGACCTGTGTGTGGGACCCACTCCCCCAGTGGGCTCTTTTTACTTTTTTGGAATATTATTCCAAGAAATATCTGTAGAGCTGGCTTCCTCATCATCTTCCGGTCTTTGCTCAAATGTCACCTTCTCTGTGGGCCTTTTCTCTGACCTTTTCTCTCTGATGCAAATTTCCCCTGGGCTACGCCCCACTCCCCTGCACCCCACCTCCTTATCCCCTTCCCTGCTTTATTTTCCTTCACAGCACTTATTGCCATCTGACAAATTACATCATTTCCCTCTTTGTTTTGCTTTTTGTCTGGCTCCTTCCCTAGAATGTCTGCTCCATGAGGGCTGGGACTTTGGTTAAGTCCACTATGCATGGTGCCTGGCTCCTGGGGAGTGCTCAACACAAATTCATTGTGGTTGACTAAATTTGTAATTCACAGGGAGTCTCGTTGCAGAAGCAGACGACCATAATAAATGAGAAGGCAGAAAGGAGAAACGCAACAAAACCGGGTCCTGCTGGAGAAAGCACACATCATAAAGACATATGGCAAAAGATCAATATTCATGCCTCAAAGAGGAGCCTCGATGACAAGCTCCACATTTGTATTATGGCAGGGAGGGAAAGGTTATTGTTAGCGCTGAGGCTTATTTACAGCCTTTCGCTGGGTGCTGACTCCTGTCCATTTCTTAGTAGGGATTGAGTAGAGCCTGCAGCAGCGAGGGGTCTGGGGATACTTAGAAGTGAGCACATACAACAGAGCATGGTCTACGGTGTGGCCAGCAGGTGGAGATGCAGTGAGGCGGAGGGCACCCTGGAACTGAGCCCACTCACCAGTCACAGAACTGGGCACGCGTGCTGATTGCAGAAGCCTGCCTGGCACAGCCAGGTGGACAGATGTAGACAAAAAGAGGCCGGCGCCCCCTGCTGGTCAACTCGGCTCTGCTTTCCCTCCGCAGCCCAGAGGGGCCCAAGAAACCGGGAAGAGAATGCAGGACCGGAGGCCAGAGCTGCCTCCGTGGCCCTGGGCAGGGCTCTTACTGTCTCTAAGCATCCGCTTTCTCCATCTGGAAAGGAAGAACTTCTCCCTGTCATTCCTAAGTCCCAGGACTGCTGCCAGGGTAAAATGAGGCAAATTATGGGCATATGCTACGAAAATAGAAGCTATTTTGGTTATTGTTCTTAGCACGGCATTCTTACATCAGAGCGAAAAGTGTCTGGGACATAAATCTGAAAACGATACATTTAAAATAAAGCAAAGAGTGAATGGGTCAAAAGACCAGTTTGTCCGGGGCTTTTTCATTCCGTGGCGGAGGCTTTCTGCTGAGCATTAGCATGTGATACACACATCTGCAGGCTTTGGGCCCACTGCCATGCAGAGCGTGCCACTATTCTAGGCCTGCTCCTCAACCCTCACCTTCCAGTTTCCCTCCTTCCAGGCCCCTGATCAACTGCCCAAGCCATTTGCTACTGCCAATGAGTCCATGTGTGTAGAAAGATAGTGATGATAGATAGATAGATGATAGATAGATAGATAGATAGATAGATAGATAGATAGATAGATAATAGATTTTTTAGCTAGGGTCTCGCTCTGTTGCCCAGGCTAGAGTGCAGTGGTGCCATCACGGCTCACTGTAGCAGCCTCTATCTCCTGGGCTCAAGTGATCCTCCCATCTCAGCCTCCCAAACAGCTGGGACTATCGGCATGCACCACGACACCCGGCTAATTTTTTGTGTGTTTTTTTTTTGCAGAGGCGGGGTTTCGCCATGTTGCTCAGGCTGGTCTCAAACTGCTGAGTTCAAGCCATCCTCCCTCCTCAGCCTCCCAAAGTGCTGGGATTACAGGCATGAGTCACTGTGCCCAACAAATAATAGATAATTAGTAAAGAGACAGACCAATAAATAGATGATAGATAAATAGATGATTGATAGAAACAGATGATAGATTCAATAGATAGAAGGATGATACATGACAGATACATAATGAATGACCAATGGATGATAGATAATTAGTAGATACGGATAAAGAGATAGAGAGATAGATGACACCTAGATAGGTGATTAATAGAAAATAGATCAATAGACACATTGATCAGTAGATGATGAACAAGAAGAAGGAGGAGGAGAAGGGAAGGAAGGAAGAAAGGAAGGGGAAACAAGGCAGGGAGGGAGGGAGGGAAGGAGGGAGGGAAGGGGGAAGATACGTATTCTTTATCTAAACCAAGTAGATGACCTGGTGCACCAATGAAGCTCCACCCATCAGGGTTTCCCCTTGATGTTGCCTTTCTGGCCCATCCTGAGTACAGCTGTAGGGCAGTCACTGTCCATTTTTGTCCACATTTGCCATCCAAGATCCAAGCTCACTTTTTCTTCCTCCATCTGTGGATCATAAGGATTTCCCCTTCCAAATGTGGCCATAGGTGTGAGTTGAGGGAGTACCCTTGGTGCAACAGTGGTGGGGGCTCTGGAATTCTGAGCTAGCTGCCAGTGTAGCTGGCTTGGGCCTTCAGGCCCTGCTGATATATTTGATCATGGATGCAGAACTTCTGTCTTGCCTTGGATACTGCAGGGCCCACCTAGCCTTAGAACCTGATGAGCCTGTGCGGGGCACCTCTGGAGGTGCATATGGTCACTTGGTGTCCCATGTCCAGCTGCTTCATCTCTACCGTGGTCCAGCAGCAGCACACCAGGAGCTCTTTAATGAAGAGTGTAAAATTTTCTACTGTAGATGGCATGGCGTTGCTCCGGAGCCCTAGGAGTCCTTCATGATTCCCCAGTGGAACTTTCTGTAAACTGAACATGGTGGCCTTTCCCTACCTCTGAGATCACTAGTAACCTAAGGCATGCTGGATTGTTCAGCCCAAGCAGAAGGGCTGTTTGCACTGCAGCCTGGATCTACTCCAGAGCCCTCCTCTGGGCCTTACTTACAGGAGGCAGCCTTCCATGTAATCCAGTCTATGGGTAGGAAGAGTATTCCCAGATATGGAATATGCCGCCTCCAGAAACGATGGGACCTACCAGCACTGTGCTTCCTTCTTCATGGTGGGAGGTGTGAGATGCAATAATTTATCCTTTACATTTATCCCCAGTGCGCCTTGGAACACCAGACTTCTACAACTGATGTGATGGGCCTCTGAAACTTAGGGTTTGTCTCCCATGATCTGAAGCCCATGTGTCTTTCCAAGGCCTTCAGTACACTTGCTGCATCTTGCTCACCCATCTGATATCTGATTGACATGAGGCATGATACAGTGGACCAGGGTGCCGTTCTGCAGGATGTCCAGGAGGTCCAGTTCTCTTCAGACTATATATCACACATGACAGAGGGTAGGAGAGTTAGCACCACCTGAGGGAAGACTAAATACATACGATTGTCTGGTCAAGGGAATGCAAACAGTTTTTTTCCTTTCAAGAGTGATGGAAAATAACGCATTCACCAGAACAATGGCCACATATCATCCCCTAAAGGCTACATTCATCTGTTTTAGTAAAAAATACCATACCAGGCCAGGCTGGGCACAGTGGCTCACGCCTGAAATCCCAGCACTTTGGGAGGCCGAGGTGGGTGGATCACAAGGTCAGAAGTTCAAGCCCAGCCTGGCCAAGATGGTGAAACCCCATCTCTACTAAAAATACAAAAATTAGCCAGGCATGGTGGTGGGTGCCTATAATCCCAGCTACTCGGGAGGCTGAGGCAGAGAATTGCTTGAACTCAGGAGGCGGAGGTTGCAGTAAGCCAAGATCATGCCACTGCACTCCAGCCTGGGCGACAGAGCAAGACTCTGTCTCAAAAAAAAAAAAAAAGTACCATGCCAAGCCCAGCAGCTGCAATCTGGGCTCCTTCTGATGGAGTTTGCAGTAGTGCACTATCATTATCCAGAATCCAGTGGTTTCTGCAGGGGCCAGGCTGGTGAATTAAATAGAGATGGGCTGGGGCCATCACACCTGCGTCTTCTAAGTCCTTAAGGCTGACACTCATCTCTAACACTCTTGGGATGCAGAATTGTCTTTCAGTTTTAGGGCATTCCACTCAGCCTTCTGTTACAACATCTCTTACCTCACAGGCCAAATAATGCAGCAGTTATGGCAGGTACCAAGTGTGTCCATTCCAATTGTACACTTCGCAACTGTGGAAACAACCACCACCTAAGTCCATGGAGACAGTGGACGCACTGTGGCTTGACCTAGGCCTAGACTTAATTAATCATCTTGTACCTATCGGCCCCCACCCTAACAGGGAGTCTACAATGAGGCTTTAATTCTCTGGGTATCAATTCAGACCTAGATAGTCATTGAAGTGTCTGGTCCCTATATTATTTATTTATTACGGTGTAACAAATTACACTAAAATTTAGTAGCTTAAAACAGCAATAAACATGTATTATCTCACAGAGTTTCTGTGGGTCTGGAATTTGGGAGTGGCTGACCTGTGAGGTTATGGCATAAGATCTTTCACAAGGTTGCAGTCAAGATGTGGGCTGGAGGCCGGGCGTGGTGGCTCATGCCTGTAATCCCAGCACTTTGGGAGGCCGAGGCAGGCGAATCATGAGGTCAGGAGATCTAGACCATCCTGGCCAACATGGTGAAACCCCGTCTCTATTAAAATATAAAAAAAATAGTTTTTGTGTGTGTCTCTTCCAGGAGTCTTGCCACCACTACAGTCCTAGCTACTTGGGAGGCTGAGGCTGGGGAATCGCTTGAACTCGGGAGGCGGAGGTTGCAGTGAGCCAAGATCGCTCCACTGCACTGCAGTCTGGCGACAGGGCAAGACTCCACTCAAAAAAAGAAAAAAAAAAAAAGATGTGGGTTGGAGCTACAGTCAACTGAAAGCTTGATTGGAACTGGAAGATCCAGTTCTATGATGCATGGCTGTTGTTCACAGGAGCTGTTCCCAGGAAGCCTTAGTTCCTTGCTACTTGAACCTCTCCAAAGGTTGGTTTGAGTGTCCTTATGAAATGGCAGTTGGCGTCTGCCAAATGCAGTGATGTTTAAGAGCAAAGCAGAAGCCACAGTGTATTTATGCCTTAGCTTCAGAAGTCACACTCCATCATTTGTGCAATGTCCGATTTGTTACAGGTTGGCCCCATTCAACATGCAAGAGGACCACACAGAGGCATGAAGACTAGGAGGTGAGCTAGGAGCTGATCTTGGGAGCTAGCTGCCATGCCCCTTCCTCTTGCATGTGGTTACCCAAGCAAGTGGCCTTAGGTCCCTCTAGGGACAGATTGGCCGAATCATTGCTGTGCATGTTTGCTGTAATATAGTAAAGTCCTCTCCCAAAGATCCAGACTTCTTTTCAGTCAATGGACTCCACGTTAGAAAATTGGCTCAAGTTTGAAAACTGAGCAAAGGATCATTATTTGTTTATTGGGCAGCTGCCCTCAGCTTCCTGATCATCCACCCTTGATTTCTTCTAGTTGTATAAAGTAAATAATATCCTCACTCATTTGCCATCTGTCTTACCCCTAGGGACATCACACTCTTTAACTGTTTTTACCACTCCATGTGGGTGAATCCTCCTTGACTGCCATCCATCTTTGACACTCTTTATCTTAACTGCACCTGCCTGGCTTCTGGTAGAGTGCTGCCACCTGGCCTCTGTTATTTCAATGTCCTATCATATCAATTTATATCAATAAACCAAATTCTGCAGTGGCATCTCCTACTACAGCCCTGGGAGAACCACCACTGAGCTTCTCACTGCTTCCAGCACCCCTCTCACTAGTGCATTTCTTATTGCTTAGGACAATGGAAGGCCCTCTGTGCCTTTGTGTGCAATGTAATCAATTGGTGAGGTTTCTAGCCTTGTGTGTGTATGAGTTCTAGATGCCCACTTCTCTGAGGCCTTCTTCTCTGTCTGCCACGGCAGTTCTGGCATTTCTGGCATTTCTGCTTCCCTTAGTGTAGTACAGTGCTTTTCCCAGGCTCTAAGAGCCATCCCAGTAGCGTGTCTCTTCCAGGGGTCTTGCCAGCATATTAAATTCTAGATCCCAGCAGGATGCTCCCAAATTGATAAGTTCTCCCTTTTCCAACTTTATGTTTCACTCCCCTTGATCCAGCACCTAAGAATCCAGTTTCTTCCATTCTTCTGCCAGCACGCATTGGGTAAATCCTCCCGCTCCTTCAACATAGGGTTGCATTGCTCCCTTATTCAGTTCAGCAGCTGTGCCATGTTGTGACTTAACTCTACTTGTTGGCCTCTTGGCCAGGAAGGGAGGTAGGATTAGGTTCTCTGCATCATCTCCAAGGAAAAGGAAGGAGCTGCCCTTAACAGGGAGATAAGACTATAATAGTGCTTTAGTTTGGATGTTTGACCTTTCCAAATCTCAACATGTAATTTGATCTACAATGTTAATGGGAGGTGTTTGGGCCATGGGGGGTAGATCCCCCATGAATAGATTAGCGCCCTTTCTGGGCTGGGAGGAAGTGATTGAGTTCTTCCTCTATTAGTTCCCATGAAAGCTGGTTTTTACAAAGAACCCGGCACCTCCTCCAGCCCTTTTCCTTCCTCCCTCACCATGTGATCTCTGCACACGCTGGTCCCCTTCACCTTCCACCTTGAGTGGAAGCAGCCTGAAGCCTCACCCGAAGCAGATGCTGCTGCCATGCTTTTTATACAGCATTAGTCAATTCATAATAAATATTACTGTAAAATAAATAATAAAATGAATTACAATGGCTAAAATGCACACAGTAAAATAAGCTAGAGATGTAAACATAAATACCCATTCACTGCAATTAAAATTTACAAACATTATCCCAGCATGAGCCAAATAGATCTCTTTTCTTTATCAATAACCCAGCCTCAGTATTCCTTTATAGCAACACAAATGGACTAAGACAAATAGTGAAGATAAATGAGTGCTCCAGGGTCAACGTAGACACGAAAAGTAGAAGTGTGGAAACCAACTACTCTTTTGAGATCAAAAGCCTAATATCCAAAATAGGAACCAATCTCAAAAGAGAATTAATACATTTAAGCTTATACAAACAGAAATCTAGATGCACAATAGAAAATTCAGGGTCCAGACTTGAACTCAAAAAAATGTAATAAAAGATTTTAATGAGGTCTACCTTAATTAAAGTAAAAAATCTAGCTTTTTGAACTAAAAGTAGAACTACCATTTGATTCAACAATCCCACTACTGGGTATCTACTCAGAGGAAAAGAAGTCATTATATGAAAAAGATACTTGCACACACATGGTTATAGCAGCACAATTAGCAATTGCAAAAATGTGGAACCAGCCCAAATGCCCATCAGTCAATGAGTGGATAAAGAAACTGTGGTATACGTATGTATTATGGAATACTACTCAGCCATAAAAAGAGATGATTTAATGGCATTCACAGCAACCTGGATGAGATTGGAGACTATTATTCTAAGTGAAGTAACTCAGGAATGGAAAACCAAACATTGTATGTTCTCACTCATAAGTGGGAGTTAAGCTATGGGGATGCAAAGGCATGGTAATGCTACAGTGGATTTTGGAGGCTCAGGGGGAAAGGGCGGGAAGGGGGTGAGGAATAAAAGACTACAAATTGGGTTCAGTGTATAGTGTTCAGGTAATAGGTGCACCAAAATCTCACAAATCACCACTAAAGAACTTACTCATACAACCAAATACCACCTGTTCCCCCAAAACTTATGGAAATTAAAAATTAAAAAAATTAAATAAATTTTAAAAATTCTAGCTTTTTAGTGATACAGTACATTGCACAAAAGAAAACAGGTATAAAATTCAAGCTTTGGGCAGGGCGCAGTGGCTCACGCCTGTAATCCCAGCACTTTGGGAGGCCGAGGTGGGCCGATCACTTGAGGTCCAGAGTTCGAGATTAGCCTGGCCAATATGGTGAAACCCCGTCTCTACTAAAAATACAAAAATTAGCCAGGCGTAGTGGCGGGCACCTGTAGTCCCAGCTACTCAGGAGGCTGAGGCAGGAGAATTGCTTGAACCCAGGAAGCAGAGGTTGCAGTGAGCCGAGATCATACATTCCAGCTTGAGTGACAGAGTGAGACTTTGTCTCAAAAAAAAAAAAAACACAAAAACAAAAAAATTAGCCGGGAGTGATGGCACATGCCCGTAGTCCCAGCTACTCGGGAGGCTGAGGTGGGAGAATCACTTGAACCCAGGAGGCGGAGGTTGCAGTGAGCCGAGATTGCCCCATTGCACTCCAGCCTGGATAACACAGTGAGACTGCATCTCAAAAAAAAAAAAAAAAAAATTCAAGCTTTGGTGACTTGGTGACTGGCCAATGGTGTGCATTCACTTCCAAAAAAAAGTGCTGAAGACTGACAAGGAAGAAAAACCCAGGAACCAAAGTAAAAACAACATGTAATACTTCCATGGAAGTATGATTAGAGGAACCATTAGGCTTTTTTGCCAGTTATTCCTCAGGGGAAAAAAAAAATGTGGAAAGGAGATAGCATTTGTGAATTGAGATAGTAGAATATTTCTATTTCTATTTTTATTTATTTATGCAATGAGCCTCTGGGCTTCCTGAAATTTTAATTAAGAATTCAAATATCCCAGAAATATTTTTTACAATTTCTGTAAACTCTAAGAATAATCAGACAGTTCTGATGTGTAAACTAAGAATAATCAGACAGTTCTGATGTGAACTTAAGCCTTTGTGTGGGGCCTATGGAAACATCTGGAATTCTTCACAGGTGGCAGGAGAAAGACTGAGATGCAGTGTCTCAGATGAGATGAGACTTATGACATATCATGGCGTCATAAGCTATGAGAATATAACCCATCATCAACAGGAATCAACTTCCTTCCCAAGGGACTTCTGAGTCCCTTAAGAATGACGGGAAACAATACAGACACTTCTAAGTACCCAGTATTGTCTTTCGGGTCCCGGGAACCCTGTTAACCTAACCCAGCCAGGACCACCGTGTTGCAAGTGCATAATCCTTGAATAAGTCAAGCCGCCAAAGTCCCAGCTGATACAAAGTACCAGTATGTTGTTATAACAGAAATTTCCTTAGCGTAACAACAACAAAAAAAAGTCTTGGCTGGGTGCAGTGGCTCACACCTGTAATCCTAGCACTTTGGGAGGCTGAAGCAGGCAGATCACCTGAGGTCAGGAGTTCAAGACCAGCCTGGCCAACATGGCGGAAACCCCGTCTCTACTAAAAATGCAAAAATTAGCGGGGCCTGGTGGCAGGCGCCTGTAATCCCAGCTACTTGGGAGGCTGAGACAAGAGAATCACTTGAACCCAGAAGGCAGAGGTTGCAGTGAGCCAAGATCACACCACTGCACTCCAGCCTGGGTGACAGAGCAGACTCTGTCTCAAAAATAAATAAATAAATAAATAAATAAATAAATCCTGCCCAAATCTGTTGAGTGAGTCTACATAAACTAATATTATATCTGAAAATTTGAAGTTTATTTTTTGTAACAAGAATCTTAAATGGTTATTTATTTCATCTTTTAAAACTTATTTTGAAACTTCTTGGCCGGGCATGGTGGCTCATGCCTGTAATCCCAGCACTTTCGGAGGCCGAGGCAGGTGGATCATGAGGTCAGGAGATCGAGACCATCCTGGCTAACACGGTGAAACGCTGTCTCTACTAAAAAAAAAAACAAAAAATTAGCCGGGCGTGGTGACGGGCGCCTGTAATCCCAGCTACTCGGGAGGCTGAGGCAGGAGAATTTTTTGAACCCTGGAGGCGGAGCTTGCAGCGAGCCGAGACAGCGCCACTGCACTCCAGCCTGGACGACAGAGCAAGACTCTGTCTCAAGAAAAAAAAAAAAACCTCTTTATGTGCAAATTTTTCATATTCTTCCCAGAACCCAGTGGAACAGCTAGCAAAAAAATGCCAACATTCCTATGGTGCTGTAAGGGAAAAGAAGGAAGCAAAGTTTGAGCCTATAGTCACATACTCTAGCATGTGTCTGGAACATGATTCCAACTATTGCAAAGAATTCCTCACAACGCCAGTGCTCACTTCACCTACACAGAAAGAAGACACGGTAAAAGAGCAGGAAGTTGGAAGACATAGTGGGAAACCTCTGCTGAACAGAGATCTTAAAAGTATTCATTAGAGGCTGGTGTCAGTAGTAGTGATAATGTCACTACAGGCTGTCAAGCTGATGCTGCTATAACACTACCAGAGAAAACAACTATAAATCATTTTATTTTCAATCTAAGAACTTGGAGCCTTTATTCTTTTATTCCACTATCATTTGCTCTAAAGAAGATATACATACAGATATATATATACACACACATATATATTTGCACTGAACATTTTGCAAAGATGTGATTTTTATGTTATATAGAGATATTTATTTTTATGTGATATATAGATATGTTTATATATAAAATATGCATATTTTATATATATGTGATAGAGAGAGATGTCTATTTTATGTGATATATATATATATATAGAGAGAGAGAGAGAGAGAGAGATCTTTTATAAGTCATCTTCCTGATACTGTTGAAGTGATTTGACATCACACTGGCCAGACTAAATATTAGATAGTTGGCCGGGTGTGGTGTCTCATGCCTGTAGTCCCAGCACTTTGGGAGGCCAAGACAGGAGGATCACTTGAGCCCAGGAGTTCAAGATGAGCCTGGGCAACATGGTGAAACCCTCTCTCTACAAAAAATACAAAAACTATTTGGGCATCGTGGCACACGCCTGTGGTCCCAGCTACTCAGGAGGCTGAGGTGGGAGGATCACTTGAGCCCAGGAGGCTCAATGAGGTTGCAGTGAGCCATGCTCACACCACTGCACTCCAGCTCGGGTTACAGAGTGAGATCCTCTCTCAAAAAATAAATAAATAAATAAATAAATATTAGATACCATAAAGCCAAACATAGAATGTGCAGTTTTAAAGCAAGTAGAACTTAATATATGTGTATAGGGAGAGCTTGATTATACAAAGATCATAAATTTTAAATACAGCTATCTTATAGTACAGTACAGTATAGTATAGTATCATGTTTCTTTACTATAAAAATTAGAGACTATAAAAATTAGAGTATGCATTGGTACAACACCCATCATTAATATAACGAAAGTTGTGAAAAATGAGATAGGGTGGTCCCTAACAAGATTAAAACTCATAGAACGCTATCATGTTCTAAGAGATGAAGCACTGTATCACTATCGCACAATAAAACCTGAATTTTCTCTTTATGTATATCTAGGCTCCAGATCTTTGTTCAAGCAAGTTTGCAAGTCATGGGTAATGTGCTATAGTCACGACTCTCGAGGTGCAATTTTCTTTGCTCCTAAGAACTGAGATGAATAGGTTTGCAGTGGAATTCAATTACTAGGGACACATTTCATTTTCAAATCTGAACATTTTGGCAAAGATGTGATATTTTTAGAAAGCCTCCTGATATTTCCTTTCAGAAGCACTACTGATTCGACTGAAATACCAACTGTAACAAAGCAAAAACCATAGAAGTAAATACTTAGAATAAAGGAGAATACCCTTATGTTTTATTGCTTTTGTTTTTATTGTTTTTGACCGAAATATGTGTTTAGATAGCTTTATTGTTTTTAAATAAAAGACATCTAACTTAAAATATGCAAAAAGGATTTTGTTGGATGTTCAGTTTTGGTTCCTCCAAAATGAGAAAATTATATTATATGAATATATACCGGTGATCTTGGAAATGCACATACTTTTTGACCCAGCAAGTTTACTTCTAGGAATTTATCCTTAAAAGAATTCCTAGAGGCTGGTTATGGTGATTCATGCCTCTAATCCCTGCACTTTGGAAGGCTGAGATAGGAGGATTGCTTCAGGCCAGGAATTTGAGACAAGCCTCAGCAACATAGCGAGACCCCATCTCTACGAAAAATTTTAGAAATTAGCTGGTTGTGGTGGTATGTTCGTGTAGTCCCAGCTGCTGGAGCCTGAGGCAGGAAGATTGCTTGAGCCCTGGAGTTTGAGGCTGCAGTGAGCTATGATTGCACCACTGCACTCCAGCCTGAGTGACAGAATGAGACCCTGTCTCTAATAAAATAAAAATAAAAAACAGTAAGTAAATAAAGCGCAGCAGATCCAGCTGTTTTTTAGACCCTATCTCAAAAAAAAAAAAAAGAATTCCTAGAAAAGTGTGCAAAGACGTTCTCATAAATATATTTATTGCTGTATTTACTTAGGATATTTTACAAAACACTGAAGACATCCACTTATCTAATACTAGGGGAATTAAATAGGTAAAATATGATATCTTCAAAAAGCATGCAACTACACAGCCGACTACACAGTGATTCCACAATTATTATGGTGTAGAAGAGTATTTATGAGCATGGGAAAGTTATAATACTAAGTAGAACAATACTATAATGTTAATAGTACTTATAGAAATAATTGAGTAAAAATAATATATGCAAATTAAGTCCAAGCATTGAAAAAATAGGTGGAAGCATATTCTAAGAGTGATCATCCCTAGGTGGTAAAATAAGTACAATATTTATTTTGTTTGGCTTGGGCTTTTCTGTTTATGCAATCAACAAACATTTCTTGAATACTTTTATGTGCTAGGAACTACGCTATGTGTTAAGCATGGGAGATGGTTTTGGAACATGGCCTGAAAATTTTGGACACTCTTTCAATTGAGAGATCCGTGTACCCCTCCTGTTGAATCTGGGCTGATGACTGCTTGAACCAACAGAGTGTGACAGAAGTGAAGCAATGTGACTTTTGAAACTAGACCATAAAAGGTCAAGCCACTTACACCTGGCTTTCTTGGGATGCCCACTGTCTGAAGACCCCCTTTGGGAAGTTCTCTCTCCAAACCCAGTCACCCTGCTGTGACACACCCAAGTGCCATGGGAGGCCACACACAATGCTCCATCAACTGTCACAGTTCAGCCCATTTTTCATCCATCCAAGCCCAGGCACCAGAAGTGTCCATAAAGAAGCCAGTTTAGGGGTGTTTCCTACAGCCCCCACTCTCTTAGCCCCCAGACTAAAGTCTTGCCAACAAAGGCCAAGACATCATGGAGTAGAGGATAACCATCCTCATGGTGCCCTTTCTAAATCTACACTCACAGAATGTGTGAGTATAATAAAACAACTGCTAACAGCTGTGCCACTAAGTTTGGGCTGCACTGTTACACAGCAAAGATAACCAGAACAGCATGTCACAGTGAATAACACACTGGTAGACAGGGCCGAGAGCAAAAAAGTTATCAACCTATAACCATAGCTGCAACTATCTGTACACTGGTCAGATAACTGTACCTGTAACTAACAAGCAAGATAGCTACAAGTGATGCTATGAAGAAAATGAAGATTATGGGGACTTGTCTGTTGCATTTATCACTAACTGCTGCACTATGTAATCTACTTTACTGATTTATCGTCTCTATTGTTTTAATTAGAGTTCTCCAGGGAAGCAAAACCAATAGGAGATATATATATATATACACACCATATATACACACACACACACCACATATATATATATGGTATATATATACACACACACACACCATAATATATATATATTGTATTATATATTATGGTGTATATGTACATATATATAAAGTATATATATATGGTGTATATATATACACTATAATATATAATACTATATATATTATGGTGTGTGTGTATGTGTGTGTGTATATATATACACAATGTGTACACATATATGTGTACACATAGTGTGTGTGTATATATATACACACACACACAGTGTGTATATATACACATACAGGAGGTTTATAGATCAAAGTGTCTTATATATATAGGAGGTATATAGATCAAGGTGTTTTATACATATATATACACACACACATACAGGAGGTATATAGATCAAGGTGTTTTATATATATATGAATTGATCTATATACCCCCTGTATATATGTATATCTATCTATCTATCTATCTATCTATCTATATGTGAATTGATCTATGTACCCCCTGTATATATATCTACATACCCCTTGTATATATGTATACCCCTGTATATATGTAGGGGGTATATATGTGTATCTATATACCCTCTGTGTGTGTATGTGTGTGTGTATATATATATATATATATATATATTCAGTGTCTGGTAAAGGACTCCCCATCTATGAACCAGAGACCCCCTTGCCCGTTGATAGATGGTGGCTTCTCACTGTATCGTCATTTGGCAGAACAAAAGCTCTCTGTGACCTCTGTATTAGTCCATTCTTACGCTGCTAATAAAGACATACCCAAGACTGGGTAATTTATAAGGGAAAGAGGTTTAATGGACTCACAGTTCTACATGGCTGTGGAGGCCTCACAATCATGGTGGAAGGCGAAGGAGGAGCAAAGATATGTCTTACATGGTGGCAGGTAAGAGAAGTGCCAAGCAAAAGAGGGAAAAGCCCCTTATAAAGCCATTGGATCTCGTGAGAACTCACTCACTATCATGAGAACAGCAGCATGGGGGTAACTGCCCTCATGATTCAATTACCTCCCACCGGGTCCCTCCCACAACACATGGGGATTGTGAGAACTACGATTCAAGATGAGATTTGGGTGAGGACATGGTCAGACCATATCAACCTCCTTCATAAAGGCACTAACCGTATTCATGGTCCAATCACCCTCCAAAGGCCCCACCTCCTAATACCATCACATTAGGGGCTAGGATTTCAACATGGGAATTTTGAGGAGACAGAAACAGTCCATAGCAGAGAGTAATAGGGAAATCATTATCAGTAACTCCAAACTGAAGTCTCAGCAGCTGGGTGTGTGACATGCCATGACTGAGATAGGCCGGTCTGAAGGAGGAAGGTGTATCAGATGGAGGGTGGCTTGGGGTCATGGAGGTGGAGAAAGATCAGGAGCTCAGTTAGACACCAGGTGGACATAGTAAATAGGTTTTGGACATACAAACCTGGAACTTAGAAGAGAAGACTGGCTGAAGATATAAATTCAAGAGTCTGCAGCATATTCTTATTTTTTTTTAGATGGAGTCTCGCTCTGTCACCAGGCTGGAATGCAGTGGCGTGATGTCAGCCCACCGCAACCTCTGCCTCCCAGGTTCAAGCAATTCTCATGCCTCAGCCTCCTGAGTAGCTGGGACTACAGGCGCCCACCACCACGCCCAGCTAATTTTTGTATTTTTAGTAGAGACAGGGTTTCACCGTGTTAGCCAGGATGGTCTTGGTCTCCTGACCTCGTGATCTGCCTGCCTCAGCCTCCCAAAGCATTGGGATTACAAGCGTGAGCCACCGCGCCCGGCCTGCAGCATACATTAATAGATGGATTTGAAACTCTGGGCCTAGATGGGACTACCTAGGGATGGGGGATAGAACAGAGAAAAGAAGAACACTGGGGATACAGCCTGCAACTTTTCTGCACTGTGCCTCCAATTCCCTTCAATAATCATATTGCTATGGTTCAGATGTGTGCTCCAAAACTTGATCCCCAGTGTGGAGGTGTTGGGAGGTGGACCTTTAAGAGGTGTTTAGGTCACGAGGGCTCTACTCTCATGAATGGATTAATGCCATTTTCACAGTAGTAGTTTCCTTATGAAAGGACAGGTTCAGCCCCCTTTGTCTGTCTCCATCTCTATCTCTACCTCTAGCCCTCTCTTCGCAATTTCTCTTCTGTCATAGGATAACACAGCACAAAGGCGCTCACCAGATATGGCCCCCTGATCTTGGACTTCCCAGCCCCAGAACTGTGAAAAAATACGTTTCTGTTCTTTATAAAGTGCCTGGTCTCAGGCCTTTTGTTACAGCAGCACAAAATGGACAAAACTACTTATGTTAAGGCTTGAATTAGGAGAAAAATGAAGAAATATCATCTTCTAAAAGATGAGAGGGCATCACACTGATGTTCCTTTCCATTGGGAACAGATGGTGCATTTGGAAGGGAAAATGGAAGATGAGGGAATGAAGCGAGGATTCTGAATAAGAGCATGGGCAGAGTTGAGGGAAACAGACAAAGGAGGGGAAGTCCTCTGAGGGGAACAAAAGCCGGGAGCACATCTCGCCCCTGGACTTGGAGGAGCAGAGGAGGGAGGGGTGTCTAAGTCCAGCACATGCTGTGGCCAAAGGCAGGGAACTGCAGCGATTCCACAAACAGCGCCCAGCAGGGAGGCAGCCAGGCAGGCAATGCTCCCACAAATCTCCTTGTCCACTCGCAGCTCTGGCTGGGGACTTGCAATGGCCAAGCCCAAGGAGAACCTAGGGGGCAAGGAGAGAGGTGGGAGAGACTCAAGAGTCACCAATAACGCTAAGGACAATTCTCCTCCAACTTCAATCTTAATTATTTTATGCACCTATATTATTGATAGGTTAAGGGTCTACCTTTTTTTTTTTTTTTTTGAGACAGAATCTCACTCTGTCCTCCAGGCTGGAGTGGAGTGGTGTGATCTTGGTTCACTGCAACCTCCGTCCCCCAGGTTCAAGCAATTCTCCTGCCTCAACCTCCTGAGTAGCTGGGATTACAGGCACGCACCACCACGCCCAGCTGATTTTTTGTATTTTTAGTAGAGACAGGGTTTCACCAATATTGACCAGGCTAGTCTTGAACTCCTGACCTCAGGTGATCCACCCACCTCGGCCTCCCAAACTGCTGGGATTACAGGCATGAGCCACCGCACCCGGTCCAAAAAAACTGTCTTGAGATATCCCTTTTTCAATCCTTTAGATGCTTCCGCATGAAATGTGAGACAAGGCGTCTGCACTCTTGGGGATTCAGCAAAAATATGATAAAAACAGCTCCATTATCACTTCCTGTCATGCCTTGTATATGGGAATCTAATATTTGACAACAGTGGACGTTTAAATCAGAAGGGAAAAGACCAGCCATTCAATAAATGATGATGCGACGTGGTTATCAACTGAAGGAAAAAAAATAAGTTAACCCCTACTTCATACCAATAATACAAATAAATTCCATCAGGATTAAAGCCCCAAAACATTTTAAAGTATTAGCTAGAAATAGAGGGTAACATGCTTATCTTCAGCTTTCTTAAGAGACAAAAAGCAAAAACCATACAAAAAAATAAAAAATTTGTTCATCTGTAGGAACCATGAGAACATGCCTAGAAGTTCTGTAACTACAGGGAGCCATAATTGTCCAAGGGCTTGGCTGCTGATTACTAAGCACAGTGGGGATATACTAAGATAGACCACACTTGGTTTCATGGCTGTGAGACCCATGCACTCAGTCAGGATCCTGAACTCAAAAGGACCCTGCACTCCGTTGAGCACTCTGCTATTTTGTCTTGAAATTCTCTCTCTGTCTCTTTTTTTTTTTTTTTTTTTTTTTGAGAAAGGGTTTTACTCCATCGCCCAGGCTAGAATGCAATAACCCAATCACAGCTCACCATAGCCTTGACTTCCTGGGCTCAGGTGGTCCTCCCACCTCAGCCTCCTGAGTAACTGGGACTACAGGTGCATGCCACCACGTCTGGCTAATTTTTTGTAGAGATACAGTTTCACCATGTTGCCTAGGCTGGTCTTGAACTCCTAGGCTCAAGCAATCCACCCACCTTGGCCCCCCAAAGGGCTGGGATTACAGACAGGAGCCACTGCGCCCAGCCCAAAATTCTTAATACATTTTTAACACTGAGTCCTGCATATTATTTTTGCACTGGACCGTCAAATTATGCAGCTAATCTTGCCTGGAGACAGGACCCTTCTGATGGCAACGTTGGCTGAAGGACCACATGGCATTCTTGTGGAACCTTCTTTAAACTTCCTATCAGTAGAGGAAACTTCCACTCACCCTTCCCTCCTTTCATCTCTCAAGGTTTGAGGGTGAGGCCAGGTGTGGTGGCTCACACCTGTAATCCCAGCACTTTAGGAGGCTGAGACAGATGGATCACAAGTTCAGGAGTCCAAGACCAGCCTGGCCAACATAGTGAAACCTGTCTCTACTTAAAAAAAAAAAAAAAACACACACAATTAACCAGGCACGGTGGCACGCATATAGTCCTATAGTCCCAGCTACTCAGGAGCTTGAGGCAGGAGAATCACTTGAACCCGGGAGGCGGAGGTTGCAGTGAGCCGAGATCATGCCACTGCACTCCAAACTGGGCAACAGAACAAGACTCTGTCTCAAAAAAAAAGATCTAAGGGTGAGGGGTATCCCCTTCCCATTTTCTCACAGGCATTTGCCCTAATAAAATTCCCACACACTTAATCCAATGTTAACGTCTGTTTCTTGGAGGACCTAGAAGCTTAAGCAGTAACTAAAGAAGTCAGACAATACATGTGGAAAGACAAGAATTTCTGACTTCCTCACTTACTGCCTGGCAGGCCAAGAGCATAAGGTCTGTGTGGTAGGTAGGGCAAGGATAACCGCTGTTACGTGGTATGGCTCTTAATATGACAGATTTCACCAGCAGTGGCCTGGCCAAATGTCCAGTGGCAGAGAAGCTTGTGGCAGGTGCAATGATGTGGGTTTTGAAAAATCTGGGGGAACAAATCCTATAAAGACAACAGCGTTGCTTGAGTAATGTTAAGTCATGCTGCCACCCTGCAGAAAGATGATGAGAGACTGAGGGTTGATTACCAGCAGTAAATGGCCAAGGATGAGAGCCAGAGGACCTGGGTGGCAGCCCACAAAGAGGCCCTATCAGCTGCAGAGAAAGAACTGACACAGGCCAGCAGCTGGCTAAAGATGCAGTTCTGTTGCAGATAGCTCTGGAGATGTTTAAAAGCACAGCCAAGGCAAGCGTGGCAGGCAACAGGCAAGGCCCTGATGAGGCAAAACTGGATGGATGCAACCCAGTCTGCAGAATAAAGCCAAACAAAAGCAAGGTGAAAGACAGAGAGTCCTGGTAATATTGCATGAGCTCCTGGATCCAGTCATATCTAAAGGCAAAATCCATCTCTGGACTTTTCAACTTTGAGAACCAGAATCATTTCCTTTTGCAAAGGCAACTTTGAGTTGAGATTTTTGTCGCTTACACTGCAGATTTCCAACCACAGCTTTCTCTTGTATATCTTTTTACACAGAGAAGCATCTTCCCCTTATGAAATCCAGCCACAACAAAAATTCTACATGCTTTCTTTCATGTTTTTGCAGAGAAGGGGGAAATGGTGGACTCACACAGAGCATGGTTCCATAGGTTGGTCTTGTTTCAATCAAGAAAATCCTCATAGCAGCCTGGAATCCATTTCATTCCTTCATAATCTGCACCCTGTTTTGAGGCTTCCTGTTGGCGGACAATTTGTTTTACATAAGATGGCTCCAGATTAGTTTTGAAGCCCCGTCTTATACAATCTGGCTCTGGAACTGAGCTCTTCAGCTCCCGGGGGGTTTACAGTCTTGCTTTCTGCTGATGTGAATTTCTTCTTAATCCTTAGAAGTTCCAGACCATTTTCCTTCTAATATTTTACAACACATTTTGAAAAGGCAAAATAGATGTGGGTTTGGGGACTGGATTTGTGGTTTCCTTACCCAGTTGGTGGGGAGTGTTGAAGGCCAGTTGTGACTTAGTTGTAACAGTAAAAATCTTGAGATTATTTTCAGCTCGTTTCAGCTCTCCCCATAACACAAAAAGCACAACATCTCAGAGACTCCTACTCAGAAAAACTGGTTTACAGGGTCGGGAGCTGAGAATGCACTGATACATGGTTGTTGATTGTATATAGTTGTTTAATCAGCACATATTTACTGAGCACTAGAGCACTTTGCATTGTTGTTACCAAATATTTGCTATCACTCCCTGTGGAAAGATTATATTTCCCTGTGCCAATGACATCCAGTGAAGCCATTTAACTTGTTTAGCCCAGGAGATGTCAATAGCAGAGACCTGTCTAACTCCCAGGCGGAAGCTGTAAGGACAAATGTTAACTCACTGTGTTTTTAATTCACCCCCACTATGGACAAGTGATGCTCCAGAAAGAGGCTGCTCCGTTAGCTGGAGTCCAAAAGTCAGATCAGACTCAAACTGGAGACAGAGACAATGCACAACGAACGTATAATATGAGCAAGAAATAAACCTCTCCTGTTGTAAGTCACTGAGATATAGGGGACATTTGTTACAGCAGCTTAATATAGACTACCCTGAACTACACACATACTCACTATGTGCTCCTCATTGTACAGATGCATAAACCTACAACTATTAGGCCACGGCCCCAAAATAGCTTTGCTTAATAAGAACTTCTATTAAATAAGGGCATTCCCTATGCCACAGAAGCCTTCAAATTTTCTTTAGGCAGCAGAACCTCCTCCCCCACATACCCAGATTGTCAACTACAAAGCAGACACCAGCAGAGCTGCTCTGGTTGAAGGAGTGAGGGCCAGAAACTTGGCAGTCCTGTCTCCCCAAAGACCAGGCCCAACCCAGTGTCAGATAACTGGCCAACACTCAGTGAATATTTGTTGAATAAATAAACAGATACACTATTTCCTGCAGAATTCATTAAGGACTCTCTGGAAACCTAGTGTTCCATGGAAGAAAATTTAAAATTCCCTTTAGCAACAGGACCCTACAGATTGTTTCAGATGCAGTTGTCAAATTTATATGTATAGAATAAGAGAACAAGAGCAGAGACAGTAAGGATTCAGATCTTATTTCAACCAGTGGTTCCATCTTTCCAGTCACGGTTCTATAAGAGACGTTAATGATTGTTATTAAATAGTTTTGTTAAGTGTTTCCTATGACATCTTTTTCCATGGTCCAGCCAACTGCAGACATGCTAATAAATAGAGAAGAGGGATGAAGACAAAAGGTCTAATAATTCACACATTGAGTAATTAGTCCTAAAGCAATCATTCAACCTCCTGTGTGGACAGTGTACGTTAGAGAAAATGCTGGAAAAAAAAACCTGATAAACTCTAGAGAATTGGCTCAAAATTATACTTTCTATTTTTTGTTCTTTGAGACAGAGTCTTGCTCTGTTGCCAAGGCTAGAGGGCAATGGCATGATCATGGCTCACTGCAGCCTCCATCTCCTGGGCTCAAGTGATCCTCCCACTTCAGGCTGCTGAGTAGTTGGGAGAATAGCCATGTGACACTGCACCTACCTAGTTTTTTAATATTTTGTAGATATGGAGTGTTACTCTGTTGCCCAGGCTGGTCTCAAATTCCTTTGCTCAAGCAACCCTCCCGCCTTGGCCTCCCAAAGTTGTGGGATTACAGGCATGAGCCACTGCACCTGGCCTCAAAATTATATTTTCAATATAAAATGAATTCCTCTTCTTACTAAATCTCTGTTTCTCCTTCTCTCTCTTCCCATAAGTGTAGCCTGCTATACACAATGAACCCAATGCTCATATTATTCTAGTAACAGTGATCTGTTAGCAAAGGATTCTGTGAAAAGAATAATGGGGGTGGGAGCTCTGCTGGGAAGATGGTCGACTAAGATAATAGACAACAGCAAAAAGCTCCCTCAATGGACGCCTTGCTATGCTGCCTAACACACAAGGATCTTTAAAACCCTTTTAAAATTTATAGTTTAGCCCACAAGGAAAAAGGAAAGAAGAAACTCTACTGGCCACATAAAGGAAAGAACTGAAAAGTGGTTATGTAAGCTGGCACTGTAGATGTGCAGGGGCCTGGTTGTTGGTCTAAATAACCAAGGTACTTGGGTTTCAGTGTTCATGTGGGAATAGTTGCTGAGGCATTGGGCAAGATGAAGAGGGAGGAACTAAAACCCCTGTGTGGATCTGAATTGTCAAAGAGCTGTAACCTCGGAAAATGGGTGGTACCTCAGCTCAGGCTACTATAACAAATTACCATCAACTGAGTGGCTTATAAGCAACAGAAATGTGTTTCTCACAGTTCTGGAGGCCAGTGGTCTGAGATCGGGGGCCAGTATGGTCGGATTCTGGTGAGGGCGCTCTTCTGGGTCACAGACAGCCAGCCACCTTCTCGTCAGAGCCTCACGTGGCAGAAGAGGGTAAGCTACCTCTCTGGGATCCCTTTTATAAGGGTCTTAGTCCCACTCATGAGGGCTCCACCCATTACCTCCTAAAGGCCCCACTTCCCAGTCCATCACAATGGTGATTATATTTCAACATATGAATTTTAGGGAGATAAAAATCTTCATTCCCTAACTGGTGGGCCAGAAAACATTCATCTATCAGCTCAGTAAGTATTTAAGAAAGGAAGCTCATACCATCACCTTTTAAAAGGAGAGAACTATTTACTTTAACATTTCTTTTGTTGTTACAAATTTACATCTCTTTTTCACTCCTAGGTTTGTCTTTACTCACACTCTTGTTATAAAGTACTTTAGGTTTTGGGTAGTCTGCTCCTAGCCCTATTTTTCCCATAAACCCTTCTTCTTTTTAGTGTGTAATTTCCTGAATGCAAGACCCGATTTTTTAATATACCAATCGTGTGCAAGACGTTGTGCCTGGTGTCCTTGGAGAAACATAAATGACTGGCACAGGCCATACTACTGAAGCCAATGCAACCTAGGAGAGAAAATAAAAGCAACTAAAATAATTACGATATGACCAAAAACGTGGCAAGGTCCATGTAGGAAAGACAAAAAATTCAAAGGAAATTCAGGTAATTTGGGCTTTTTAGCCAATATTTAAAAAGAAAATCTAAGTACCTACTAGTTATTCTGGAAGAAAAGTTAACATTGCTATTACAAAGTTGCTGATTGTTTTTAGCATTTCTTAATTTTATTGGCAACACCTTGGATTTCATGTGGACTTCCTTTTTCATGTCCAGTTTTATTTGTTTAATATTTTAGTCAGTAATTATTCTCTACTAGTTCATTATTCATCTTCAGAATATATAAATGGTCTTGGAAAAAAATCAAAGTGACCCTCCAGTGAACCTCTACTTATGCAGAATGTTTATATGAATAACACATGGTAGATACAAATCTTCATCAAACATCTCTACTGTTGAAAGGGATAAGATCATAACCATTCATATTTAAAGAAAAAGTCTCTGTACTTAACATCTGTACTCTGTGAGATGAATCCAAAGAACCACAGATCAATAAATAGCACCCAAAATGTAATGATGGTCAAGACTGTCAACATTGACAGAGACTCATCAGATTGACTCTTCTAGTGACGTTGAAATGATGCCTACTAGTTGGATCAGTTTTCAGATTCATGTCACACCTCCTATGCTCATGTAAAAACGGCCAGTTTAGTAGTTGTTAATTATGTTAAAGCTTATTTTATACCCCAGTGTTTACTAATTGTTTTCTTATTTTATGTAAAAGCGAGTCTAAAAAAAAGGTCTTTCCAAGAACACACAACATAAATGTATACTTCTATTTGAAACTCTCAGAGACTGTCTCTTATTAGAAACGGCAGAGAGACATCACCAGGAATGGCAGAGTAAGGATCTCCAAAAAGCTGCTTCTCCACAAAAACAACAAGAACACACACAAAAAAAAGAAAAAGAAAGAAGGAAGGAAGGAAGGAAGGGAGGGAGGGAGGGAGGGAGGGAGGGAAGGAAGGAGAAAGAAAGAAAGAAGAAAGAAAGAAAGAAAGAAAGAAAGACAGACAGACAGACAGAGAGAGAGAGAGAAAGAAAGAAAGAAAGGGAAAGAAAGAAAGAAAAAGAAAGAAAGAGAAAGAAAGGGAGTGAGAGAAAGAAAGAAAGGAAGAGAGAGAAAGAAAGAGAGAAAGAAAGGGAGCGAGAGAAAGAAAGGGAGAGAGAGAGAGAAAGAAAGAAAGAGAAAGAAAGAAAGACTAGCAACAATAGTCAGTATCAACTTTGTCAGAACTCTAGAAATTAGGCAAAGGTTTGCAACAATCCATAAAGAAAACATAATAATTATAAACATATATACACCTAACAACGGAGCCTCAAAATACATGAAGCAAAATCAGACAAAATGAACAGATATGAAACGAGAAATAGATAAGTCAACAATAATAGTTGGAGATTTCAAAATAGATAGAACAACTATACATAATCCAATACATATTTCAAGTAGGAAATAGAAGACTTGAACAACATTGTAACACAACTAGATCTAACAGACATCTATAGAACACTGCACGCAATGAGAGAACAACACACATTCTTCTAAAGTACACATGGAAAATTATTCAGGAAAGACTATACGTTAAGCCATAAAATAAGACCTTGATATGCTTAAAAGGGCTGAAATAAGAAATGCCTGTTTTCTGACCACAATGCAATGAAATTAAAAATCAGTTACAGAAGGCAATTTGGGAAATTTACATAAATATGAAAATTAATACAACTAAAGAACCAATGAGTCAAAGAAGAAATCACACAAGAAGATACTTTTAGATAAATGAAAATATCTACCAAGAAAAGAGATTAATAAATTTATTGATTTATTATAAATTTATAAATGAATTCTCATTTTTTTTAAAAAAGCAACTGCAGAGCTCTTAAAAAAAATTTTTTTTTTTGAGACAGAGTCTTGCTCTGTTGCCCAGGCTGGAGTGCAGTGGCGTGATCTTGACTCACTGCAACCTCCATCTCCTGGCTTCAAGCAACTTTCCTGCCTCAGCCTCCCAAGCAGCTGGGATTACTGGCATGCACCACCACGTCCAGCTAATGTTTGTATTTTTAGTAGAGACAGCGTTTCACCATGTTGGCCAGCTGGTCTTGAACTCCTGACATCAAGTGATCCATCTACCTTGGCCTCCCAAAGTGCTGGGATTACAGGTGTGAACCACCACGCCCAGCCTTTAAACTTTTTTTTAATTTTTATTTTTTTAGCTCCCAACCTGATTTCTGAATGCAAAGCTTTTAAAATACTATTTTTTGGGTTTTTCGTCTTCCAGACAGTTTTCAACTCACATTGACACTGATTTTCAAAGAGCAATAATCAAGCCTGCTGCTCTATGATAGTACTAAACTGGAAAAGGTTTTATTACTAATTTTTACGGCTGCCATATGGAGCTGAGGCATTAGGAGAGGGAAAGAACCAACCTACTGTGCCCAGCAGAGAGGGCAGAAGGTGAAAAACACCCCAAATTCACTCTTCTACCTTCTCATCTTTAGCCAGTGCCTTCCGCTGGCCAAACCCCAATGGAAGGCAGATGTTAAGGAAGCCTTCTGATGTAGTCTATAAAGATGAACCTTGCAGAACACCGAGTAAGGTGGAGAGCTGGAGAGCGGAGATAGAGACACAAGTGAAGAATGCCCAACACCCATTCTTATGTCACTTTGCATGAGATTTAAAGTCAGAGTAGAAGCCGAGTTGCCTAATTGGGAACCAGTTCGCAAGTCTTGGGTAGGGAAGGGCAGAGCAACTTGATCTGCCATTACATTAAAACAATAAGAAGTACATCAAGGTACCTTTAGAAAAACAAGGGGTCCTGATTGCCAAACAGTGATGTCCATCATGGACATCTTTTAGAGCCTTTTTTTTTTCTTTTGAGACAGTCTCGCTCTGTCACCCAGGCTGTAGCGCAGTGGCGTGGTCTCAGGTCACCACAACCTTCAGTTCCTGGAGTCAAGTGATTCTCGTGCCTCAGCCTCCCAAGTAGCTGGGATTATAGGCATGCACCATCACGCCTGGTTAATTTTTTTATTTTTAGTAGAGATAGGGTTTTGCATGTTGGCCAGGCTGGTCTCAAACTCCTGGCCTCAAGTGATCTGCCCGCCTCAGCCTCCCAAAGTGCTGGGATTACAGGCATGAGAAGAGCTTTATTTTTAAGGATTTTAATACTGTTGTAATCCCAAACAACTGGCTACACCACAAAAATGAAAAAGAAATGGATTGTAAAACCACTTGCACCCGATCACTGGGTCTTCCCTATCCGTGACTGGTTAAATATGGGGCACAGATCATGAAGTCAAGAGATCGAGACCATCCTGGCCAATATGGTGAAACCCTGTCTCTACCAAAAATACAAAAATTAGCTGGGCATGGAGGCATGTGCCTGTAGTCCCAGCTACTTGGGAGGCTGAGGCAGGAGAATCACTTGAACCCAGGAGGCAGAGGTTGCAATGAGCCCAGATCGTGCCACTGCACTCCAGCCTGGCAACAGAGCAAGACTCCATCAAAAAAAAAAAAAAAAAAAATTCCAGTGAAAGGTAAATAAATAAATAAATAAATAAACCTCTAAAAAATTCTAAAGAAATTTTGCTTCTCTCTTTCGCGGAGCTCCATGTGAGTATATATGTGGGTTGGGGAGGGGTAGTTGACAGCTCCAGTCTAGGTCACAGAGTTGTATTTTTTTAACTTTAAATGTATTTTATTTTTAGACAACCTATATATGCTATGGTTTTTTTTTTCCTCAAAAACAATGCCTCTACTCCAGATAAATCATGGTCAAAATAAAGTGCTCAAAGTGACATCAGTCCCATTTGTCTTCAATGGTGTTGTGTGGATGACAAGTGGCAGCCAGTTATAATGACAGGTGATAGATCAAAGCAATTGCCAAATCTGTTAACATTTTTCCATTTCTAAATCATCCTTAAAGAAAATCATATATGGGGTCACGTCATCTTCCTGGTAGTCCAATAGAGCCAGCATGCCATCTGGATTCATGTCCTCACAAATAATGAACTGGTAGTTTTTGAAATTAGCAAGGATGTGCTTGATTTGTTCTGCAGTCTGTCATAAAAGATTTTACTTTTTACGGTCTCTGTTCTTCACGTTTGCCTTTGACTCTTCTCACGTAATTTTTGATGTATTTCCTGTAGGCTTCTTTTGCGGAGCTGGTTTCTGGCGAGTGATGTTTCATGATGATAACAACAGCATCAAATACTGTGCTTTCTGTACCTTTACCCTAGGGGTCTTCAGTGGAGGCATTCTCACTAATGGGCAAGTCTTTGATGTTACCCTCTGTCCTACTGACCTTTTTCCCCTCCATCTCAAGGCACAGCCTGTCCCTGATCTCCAGGATCTTTGTAAAAGTCAGAGGATACCTCTTTGTGGCTGATGAGATCTCGGTAGGTAATCATGAAGGCAGCTGGAGGGAGTCGACGGTGGTGCTAGCTTAGCAGGAGCCTGGAGCTCGGAGCAAGCTCTGTGCAGCTGGAGCAGTGCTCAGGCGGAAGTAGAGAGCAGGTGGCAAAGCCAGAGTTGTATCTCTTAATGCCAGTGCAAGGGATATTGACTTCCAGGTCCTTTCTGTTGAACTGAAGGCATGGGAGATGGGGGAGAGAGTCACGGTTCCCTTCTGCAAGTTCTACCAGCAACTATAAAAACAACTCTGAGCACAGCATTGGCTGATGGACCACTTCCCCCAGCTAGTACCACCCTAGTGGGTATGAGCACTGGCATGGCCTGGAAGGCATTGAAATCTTTCCCTCTGGTGACATCATCAAGGGAGTACAAATAGGGTCCTGATAGTTAAATTATCTCTGATGGTAATTTCTAGAAATTGCAAGTCTGACACAGGGTGCAAGCAAGCTAGATTAGCTGTCATTAAGTCACCTTCCTTCATGTTTTAACACAGACTCGAGGAGTCTTTGCACACGAAGGAATCTTAGAGATAACAAACAAAACAGCTAACATCGAGAGGTGCTTATATTCCAGGCACTGTTCTAAGGGCTTTGCATAAAATGATCACCAAACATCCTCATTTTGCTAATAAGAACCTGTAGCACACAGTGGTTAAACTAAGTTATCCAAGATCACTCAGCTGGTAGGTGGCTGATCCAAGATCAAAATTAGAGTCCTTGCTTTCTCCACTGTGCCATACTGCTTAGAAATAACCTAGGCAACATTAAACTCAAATGTCAAATGAGGCAACTAAGACTGGAGAGAACAGAATTGTCCAATGTCACACAACTAGTTACTGAGAAAGCTAAAATTAGACCATCTTCTGATTCCCACGCCATGGCGTTTTCCATGATACAATGGAGAAAGGAGAAAATTCCACTATTTGACAGTTGCCTATTCTACCCACTATGACATGGAAGCAAAAATGATGAATGAGCGAGAAACAGAAGAGAACATCTAACTGAGCTCTGTATTTTATCTAAGTCTAGGACTTGATATAATTCCCCTTTTCTTTCTTTGGGGTTGCTTGAGCAAAGCTGACATAAATAGCTCTCTATGTTCTTCTAATACTGGAGGGCACCACACAGAGCAATAAGCGTATGCACCATCAGAAACAGTATGCAAATTTGAATGTGAAGAAAACTCATTTGATTCTCCATCTGTCTCCCTGTTTAATTACTTAGCCATAAATTAGCACTTTTTACTAACTACATTCAGCAAATATGATCAATTCGCTGACTTTAATGTCAAATAAGGAATACTTTTGACTTTCAAGTATTTAGCCTTTTAATTTACATTCACATTTTGAAATACAAATTAACTGTTGAAATCTACCCAAATACAATGTTGGAGGACTTTTTTTTCTCTCTTCTCATTAATGACATTTCTTTGATTGAATCATTGATGGGATGCTTTTTTTGAAACTTGGTTTTTCCCCCTAAAGGGCAAGAAAAGAAAGCACTTTCAACATTTAAAGGAAATAATTAGGAAACATATCATGAATAGTGTGAACTCGGGGCCTTAAAGACACAGCGCCTGTAAGCCTGCTCACATTTGCTTATAGCCTAAGGCCACATCCTGCCATCTCTACTTCACCAGGCACCAAGCCACCATCCAGGCCCAAATGGAAAAATAGATAGGACGAGACAATTTCTGGTTATTCTATATTCTTAGAATAGCAGGGATGAGAACAGGCCCTCAGAGGTAGAAACTGCTTAAGAAAATAGATAATAAAATAACCATATAAGTGTATATACCTAAGCAGTACACTGATATCTTGCTGCTCCTTATTCCTTGCCAACAAAATTCCAATTTTATTTAGGAAGGTAATGTGCTCAGCTTCAGGCAATGGATCAGGATTGGTTAAAGCCAATCATGACAATCCTATTCCCTAAGGTTCCAGTTCCTTTTCACCTACAGAGAGCCATGGGATACAATTCTAATTAACAAAAGATAATGGAAAGTCTTCTAGGGCTTCCTGGAAAGCTTCTGTCTTCTCAATATAAGCTCTGGGGTGCTTCTCCCACCCTTTCCTGTTATGAATGTAGATGTGATATTTGGCGTGGTGAAGCCATCTTGAGATCGTGAGAGAAAGACAAAAAGTACTGCAAGGATGCCAGCCCTGAGATCTTTGAGTGCCTGAACTAATGCCAAGAGCCACCTACCTTTGGACTTCTCGTTGTGTGAAAAAATAAATCTTCTGTTACATGCAACTGAATGCATTCCTAGCCTATATATATATATAGCCTATATATACATATATATGTATATATAGGCTATATATATATACACACACACACATATATATATGTGTGTATATATATGAGCTGCAAAATATATTTAACTACAAAAGTGATAAAGTACATTAACAAAAGGGGAAAACTTACTGGAAATCTAAGAGCTAGTTCAGTGTCTGCTTTCCAACTGAGCCTCTAAACACCCAGCTGGTCCAATTTCAGTTCCTCAATTGGATGCTGATTCATCAACCCACTAAGACAGTGGGTTCTAAAGTGTGGTCTCCAGGCTGGAACAAATGCAAGAGAGATGTGTTGGTATTTTGAATGTTGTGTTCAGCCAGCTCTGGGAGAAAAGATAGGCAATGAACATTCTGACTGATTTCCCTGCTCCAACCTCACCATGTACAGAGTGTTGAGAAGTTATTAAGCCTCCTGGCTAAGGAGATTCAAGGTTAGCACCTCTGGAACCAGGTAAGAAGCCTTCCCAATAATTCTAATAGTCCAGGAAAAAAAAAAAAAAACAGAGTTGTACCCAAAGTGATCTACAGATTCCAAGCAGTCCCTGTCAAAATTGCAACAAACTGTTTTGCAAAAATAGAAAAACTGATCCTCACATTTATATGGAATTCCAAGGGGGCTCTGGATAGCTAAAATAATCTTGAAAAAAAAAAGAACAAAATCAGAGGGCTCAAGTCCCAATTTCAAAACTTACTTCTAAAACAAAAGTAATCAAAGCAATGTGGTACTGGCATAAGGGTAGACATATAGACCAATGGAAAAGAATTAAGAGTCCAAAAATAAATCCATGCATATATGGCCAATTGATTTTTGACAAGGATGCCAAGACCATTCAATAGGAAAATAACAGTCTCTTCAACAGATGGTGCTGGGACAACTGAATTTTCACATGTAAAAGAATGAATTGAAGTTGGACCCTTATCTTACACCATATAAAAAAGCTAACTCAAAATAGATCAATGACCTAAATATAACAGCTAAAACAATAAAACTCCTCAAAGGAAATATAAAGGTACATTTCTGAGCCCTTGAATTTGGCAATGGCATCTTAGATATGGCACCAGAAACACAAGCCACAAAAGAAAATATAAATAAACTAGACTTGATCAAAATTTGAAACTTTTGTTCATCAAAGAACATTATCAAGAAAGTGAAAAGACAGCCAACAGAATGGGAGAAAATATTTGCAAATTACTTATCTCACAAGGGTTTAGTATCCAGACTATATAAAGAAATCCTGTAAGTCAACAACAAAAAGACAAACAACTGAATTAAAACACGTGCAAAGGACTTGAATATACATTTCTCCAAAGAAGTTACATAAATGGTTAATAAGCACATAAAAGATGCTCAGTGTCATTAGTCATTAGGGAAATGCGCACTAAAACCACAATGAGATACCACTTCACACCTAATAGGATGGCTGCCATTTTTAAAAATTGAAATGAACAAATATTGTAGAGCAGGTAAAGAAACTGGAACTTTCATACTTACTGGTAGGGATGTAAAATGGTGCAGTCTTTGTGGAAAACAGTTTAGTGGTTCCTCAAAAAACTAAACATAGAATTACCATATGACACAGCAATCCCATTCCTTACCCAAAAGAAGTGGCAACAGTGACTCAACCAGATACGTGTACACCAGTGGTCATTGCAGCATTATTCATAATAGTCAAAAGGTAGAAGAAACAACCCGTGTTCATCAACAGATGAATGGATAAACACGATATGGTTTATTCATACAATGAAATATTATTGAGCCAAAGAAAGGAATGAAGTTCTGACACATGCTACAACATAATCGAACCTTGAAAACATTACGCTGAGTGAAATAAGCCAGACACAAAAAGAACTTCCGTATTTCTGTTTAAGAAGTTCTGTTTAAGGTGATGAAAAAGTTTTAGAACCAGATAGATAGTGTAACAGTTGCACAACATTGTGAGTGCACTTAACGACACTTTAAAATGGTTAAAATGGATAATTTTATGTTATATATATTTTACCGCAATAAAATAAATATAAGCAAACAAACAAAAGCAAGGTCCCCAAAAGCTGGGACCCAGAGCCCTGGTAAAAGGTATCACCTCCAACCTTTCGGTGTGGGCACTGTATTAGTCCATTCTTGCACTGCTATAGAGATAGTATCTGAAACTGGGTAATTTATAAACAAAAGAGGTTTAATTGACTCACAGTTCCACATGGCTGGGGAGACCTCAGGAAACTTACAATCATGGCGGAAGGCAAAGGAGAAGCAAGTAACTTCTTCACAAGGTGGCAGGAAAGACAGAAGAGCCCAGGGGAAACTGGCATTTATAAAACCATCACATTTCATGAGATCTCCCTCACTATCACGAGAACAGCAGCGTGGAAGCCACCTCCATGATCCAGCCACTTCCCACCTGGGGTCTCTCAACACCTGGGGATTACAATTCAAGATGAGATTTGGCTGGGAACACAAAGCCTATAGAACACAAAGCCTAACCATATCAGCCACCTCTCTTGATGTCCTGCTCTTGTCTTCATGAGAATCCAAGGATTCCTGATCAAGAGCTCCGAGCTAATGCTTAGCTACAAGAATGGAGTGTCTTAAGGTTGCTGCCCTGAGGAAGTTACTGGGGTTTTTCCCTCCCTTTTAATTCATGAGCATGATTAGTTATCATTGAGGTATATTTCTCATGGGCTTTCTTTCTGACAGAAGATCTACAGACCAATGTTTGAGAAGCACAAAAAGCACCATGGTTTGACCCCAAAATTGAGTCTAATCATGGAACCCTTCTCAGTTTGGGTAGCTGAGTAATCCAAGTGTCTGCTGACTAAACAGGCCCTATTCATATAACAGTAAGGGCTGTCCTTCCCCTATTTTCTTCTTAATTAATTAATTAATTAATTAATGTGTTTATGGTTTTTTTAACTTTTATTTTAGGTTCAGGGTACATGTGCCTAGTAGGTGCAGGTTTGTTGTATAGGTAAATTGCATACCACTGGGGTTTTGTGTACAGATTATTGCATCACCTGGTAAGACGCATAGTACCAAGCAGGTAGTTTTTTTATCTTCTCTCTCCTCCCACTTTCCACCCTCAAACAGGCCCCGGTGTCTGTTGTCCCTTCTTTGTGTCCACGTGTTCTCAATGTTTAGCTCCCACTTATAGCTGAGAACATGCAGTATTTGGTTTTCTGTGGCTGTGTTAGTTCGCTTAGGATAAGATCAGGCTTTTCTATGTAGAGCCCATGTGCTCCATGGCTACTCAACTCAGTTGACTGGAGTACAAAAGTACATTATTAGAACTTTTATGCTGATTTCTTATTTTTACCCTATTTTTTGTAATGTCAATAATACATTAGTACAGTAGCATGCATATTATATGTGTTATATAGTTATAAGGTTCATCCTTGAATAATGTGGAGGTTAGGAGGGCTGACCCCGTCGTGCAGTCTAAAATCTGTGTATAACTTTCACTCCCCAAAAACTTCACTACCAGTAGCCTATGTTGACTGAAAGCCTTACCAATAAAATAAGCAGTTGGTTAATACTAATTTTGTATGTTCTATGTATTAGACACTGTATTCTTAAAATAAAGTAAGTTAGAGAAAAGAAAATGTTATGGAAATCAAAAGAAAGAGAACATATATTTACTACTCATCAAGTGGAAGTGGGTCATCATAAAGGTCTTCATCCTCATGATCCTTGCATTGAGCAAACTTAATGTAGAATCAATCAATTCCATACAATGGAATATAGTGTCCATGTCCAAAATTTTTCTTTACTGATAGAGGTGCCTGAGCAGAAATGGTAAGACACCACTGCTTTAGTACCTCTGGCGAGAAAGAGGGTGTGGGTGTGTTGCTCCCCACTTTGACTGGGGCTTGCTTCAGCCAGCTTCCCTGCCTTCCTGCCTCCCAACTAAGGCTCTCAGTTCCCTCTCTGTGCACCCTCTCCGCAGACCCATCACCTCCTCACCCACTTCTGGTCCAAGACCAGTTTGTATAACAGATTTACTGGGGATTGGAGGGCCATTGAAGGGCATTATGATTTATAATGGCAAACAACTTAAATAGGCAACATCACAGTTCTGAAAAGTTTCTTGTTTACTCCCACCACTGGGAACTTTTCTCAGCCCATCTTTTCCCCTGGCTCTGGCCTCCTACCAGTTCACTGGGCTCCTCCTCTCTCATGAGAGAGCCTCTTCCACTTTTAAGAAGCTTCTAGGCTGGGCATAATGGCTCATGCCTATAATCCCAACACTTAGAGAGACCGGGGCAGGAGAATCACTTGAGCCCAGGAGTTCAAGGCTGCAATGAGCTATGATCATGCCACTGCCTCCAGCCTGGGTAGCAGAGCAAGACCTTGTCGAAGAAAGAAGAAGGAGGAGAAGAAGAGGAAGAAGAAGAAGAAGTTCTAGCAATTCTAGATTCTTATTGCTTGATCACACATAACAATGCAGTACTGTCTTTGCTCACATCACTTCTTCCAAACTCTAGCCACAGAGGTGGACAACCAAAATCTGCCTACTAGGGTATTCCCATAGACCAAAAGAGCAGAGGTTTTTTTTTCCCTAAGTGGATCCCACAGTCTTTCCAGACAGTGATTTCCAAAGTGTGGTCCAAGAGCCTCGAACACCTAAATCACATAAGTACTTATTTAAAACACAGATCCCAGGGCCCCAGTCTAGTGCAACTGAATTCAGTGAAAGCTGAGGTTTAACCTAGGAATCTGCCCCTCCAGGTGATTCTGATGCACACTGAGATTTGAGAAGCACTGCCCTGCAGGTAGATGACTCAACTTGCAGATAGTTATTGTTCTTTTAGTTACAGTCGATTTGATACTGAATGTGTTTGAGCAAATTAATCTTTTGCCCTGTCTTACCCATTCCTTTGTGTTTTGACTATTTTTCCAAAACACATCTTGAACTGGTGTTTAAATGCAACCCTGCAGGGGAATGGGCCCAACAGGTGCACACTTTGGTGAACTGATAGTGCTTCTGCAAAGATTAAAAAAAAGGCATCCCTTCTGGGGACACAGCTCTACACAAGAGCAAGACACAAGCCAAACAGGTGTGGGCTAGGTTCAACTGGGGACTCTTGTCAACAACTTACACACCCTTGCCTTTGGAAAAACCAAGTAAAATAATAATTATCTTAGCTCTTCTTTCAGGTTTGTGCTATCCTGAGGAAAATGGGCAGGAGCTAGTGCCTAAATTTCCTGGAACTGGGACAGCAAATAGCTGAAACATCTGCATTGAAACTACTGCAATGAGTTTATGTTCTTGATTACTACTGAAGAAAAAAATTATTCTGACACTTGTTAAAATGGTAAGGAAGACTTTATTTGGGATTATTGCAATTTGTGTCAAAACTACTGCAATAGAGGAAGGAGATTAGGCTCATCACCAAATATAGCAAAGACATCTGGGGATTTATAGCCAGTGAGCAGGGGAGAAGGTCAGTGGAAGGGAAATTACTACGAGGAGACATCAGGGGTATGAGGACTCTCTAAACTGACTTAACAGGATGCTTGCTGAAGGCAGCCCAGGGTGGTAAGATAGCAAGGGTAGGGGGACTCTGTCTAAATGGACTTAGCGGGATTCTTGCTACAACTGAGCTAGGCAGGCCTGGCAAGAACAGTGGCCAAGGCCGAAGCCTAGTTGAAAAGAGGACTTGGAGGAGCCTGACTGAAGTTTGGCCAAGTAGAGAGTCTTTGGCATTACTCAGTGGCGTCATGGCTTTCCTTCTTGATTACTCAAAGGTGTCATTGGGTCTGAAACACCATCGTGCCCTCAGTGGCTACCGAGGTATGCAGGGTGGGTTCTTCCTGCACTAAATGGCCCCAGGAGATGCCTTCTCAGGTTGTTAAGTCTAGCTGTAATATTTTGGTCGTCACTCTTCTGATTATTCCAGTAGCTGTTGTCTTTGCTCTTGTCAGCATGCTCGATTTTCCAATTTACTGTTCCAGTCTGCTGTGAACTAGGGAATCAGACTGCTCGGTATGTGTGAAATATGTCAAATTAATATGGTAGAATGAGGATGCTAGAATTCTGGTTGTTTATTCTGAGAGACGCTGGGCCAAATTCCCCTTTAAAAGCCTAGTGCTACTTCTCCTCACCATTTATAATTCCCCCTTCTCATTCTGGGGGGACAAAAGAACAAATTAACACAGACAGATGTTGTATTTAAGGAATAAGAACCGCACATACCTGGTTCAGAGAGAGAAATTCCACAGCACTGCAAGAAATTCAACACATAGAGGCTTGCAAAGCCTGTGCAAGAAATCTATCCCAAAGACCAAAAAGGGGCAGGCCTAGTCATGGAGATGTGATTAAATGCTGTAGCTGTCAGTCACATTTGCCCCAAGAGAGGCCCTGAAAGTTCCAGCACTTTCCCCTCCTGAGCAGATCCCAGTTTCAGGGTCCCCTACAAGTTGGTGGCTCTTGTGTTGCTTAGACTCATGCAAGCATAAATGATCTCACCAACAGAGCACAGATCTGTGTGATTATAGCTAAAAGATGTATTTTTCTGAGATGGAATTTCACTCTTGCCGCCCAGGCTGGAGTGCAATGTCATGATCTCAGCTCACTGCAACCTCCGCCTCTCAGGTTCAGGCAATTCTCCTTCCTCAGCCTCCTGAATAGCTGGGATTACAGGCACATGCCACCACACCCTGCTAATTTTTTTATTTTTGCTAGAAATGGGGTTTCACCATGCTAGCCAGGCTGGTCTCGAACTCTGGACCTCAAGTGATCCGCCCGCCTCGGCCTCCCAAAGTGCTGGGATAACAGGCGTAAGCCACCGCGCCCAGACTAAAAGATGTATTATAATTTCTGAATGAAAATAAAGAGAGAGCAAAATGACTCTTTGAAGAATCTATGTCTGCAGACATCCTACAACATTTATCCCATCCCCAAGAATTCACTGGAATTAAAGGAAAGACTCCACCCCGGATTTTGGCCAACAAATACAATAGCTTTTCACATGTTTTAAATTTAAAATAATACTTCTTTTTAAACTATTAGGGTCTAAAATAAGAATAAAGAGACTGAATGAGAGCCAGAGGAGTTTTCCTGCGAATAAAGGTGAACTTCAGGGCATGAATTTTAAGACACTTAGGCTCACTGACTCGTAAACTTTCTTGCTTTCTTCTAGGCTCTTGGGTGAATTCCAAATGGAACTGGAATTCACTGTGTAATAAGTTGCTCCCCTTTTAAAAATCAATATGAATAATTTTCATTTAGAGATTGTTGCTCTAACACACAATTTTTTTTTTTTTTTTTTTTTTGGCCCTGGCGAAACAGGAAACACTGAATTTCACATACGGGGATAGGAGATTTCCCTCTGCCAAGTCAAGGCTTCTCTTTCTACTGAGGGATAAACAGGCAGCCCTTGCTTGCTCTGATGGTGAGAGTTTACTTCCTGTCTTCACTGTCCTCACCTGGATGAGTGCAAACCATCTCTCTGGTTGCTCCCTGAATATGGAAACATTGTGGGCTCACTCCCACCCAGTATTTTTCAATCATTTTAGGCTATAAATCTTAAGAATGTGTGTGTGTGCATGAGTGTGTGTATATGTGTGTATGTAAAATCAAAATTAAGTTTCCACAAAATAATACTTACCCCTTGTATTAGTTTGCTCAGGCTTCCATAACAAAGCATCACAGACCAGGTGGCTCAAACAACAGAAAGTTATTGTCTCACAGTTCTGGAGGCCAGAAGTCCAAGATCAAGGTGTCAGCAAGGGTGGTTCCTTCTGAAGCCTCTTTCCTTGGATTGTAGATGGTTGTCTTCTCCCTGTGTCCTCACATGGTCTTCCCTCAGTGGGCGTTTGTGTCTTAATCTCCCTTTCTTATAAAGATACCAGTTATATTGGAATAGGGTCCACCCTAATAACCTTATTTGACCTTAATTACCTCTTTAAAAAACTCTATCTCCAAATAAGGTCATATTCTGAGCTACCGGGGGTTAGGACTCCAACATATGAATTTGTGGGGATATGATTCAGCCCATAGCACTCCTTATGCATGTATCCAATGCAGTCTGGCATTTTCTATTCTATTCTGTTTTTCAAAATTACATATTCAGTTGTGCTAATTTGATTTCACAATCCAAAAACTGGGACACAACCCAATAGTTTGAAAAGCACTATTTATCACTTTGATTGTGCCCTTTGGCTTAGTAATTGGCAAATATAACCTTTTTTGTTTCTTGAGTTGGAGTCTCGCTCTATCACCCAGGCTGGAGGGCAGTGGCGTGATCTCAGCTCACTGCAACCTCTACCTCCCAGGTTCAAGCGATTCTCATGCCTCAGCCTCTCAAGTAGCTGAGATTACAGATGTGCACCACCGCACCTGGCTAATTTTTGTATTTTTAGTGGAGATGGGTTTCACCACGTTGCCCAAGCTGGTCTTCAACTCCTGACCTTTATTTGGGCCTGCGCCAGGCCCAAATAAAACCTTAATAAGGAGTCAGAAAAATGGCCCTCAGATCCCAATCCTTGCCTGTCCTCAAGAAAACTTGCTGAAATGCAAAGAACAAAAGCTTTGGGTGAGACACCCCCAGACAGAAATCTCACTCTTATCACCCGCTGCGTGCTCCTGTTCTGCGAGAAAGCTGAAGGCTGTGATTAGAGGGGCCACCCAAACATTTGACTTCTTTCCTTTCTGACTTCCTAAGTTCAAGATGGTGAGCCCTTAGGCTCTGATCCCAGAATAAAATGTCGGTCATGCTATGTCCTGTGGTCTCCCCAGAAACGATCAGACAGTGATCACAGATCTGAGCAGTAACTCCTCAAAGGAAATTGCATTCCTTGTTCAAACAAATTCCTCCATAAATCAGAAACTTTGTTCTCTGAGAGTTTGCTTTACAGCCAGCCCTCTTCACCATGCCTCAGAGAACTGTGTTTCATGTTATATAAAGGAGTTCCTATAATTAGTGTTTCTAATTTGAATTATTTTTTAAAGGATTGTTAACATCCTTACCTTTTTTTTTCAATTTAATTCCTAGTGAATTAATTCTGAGTGAATTGCTCTTGTGCATAATTAGATTTTTTTCTTTTGGAAAAAAAGTCTTTAAAGTATAAAAAAGGCAAGCTGGTTATTAGGTATGAATTTAAATTATTGCCACCTACATCTCCATGTTCAATGAAGTGTCTTGGGTTGATGACATCAAATTATTCACTCTCCCCAAGGAAGGAAGAAAGGTGTTGTATACAAAGCTGAAGATGCTGGTATATTCCCTGTGAGAAATTATGTACATAGAAGAGGAAAGAGTAGACCCAAGATTTGGAAACCCCTAGGTTAAGAAAAAAGGAAAATTCAAATGCAAGTGCCCAGAAAAAGCCATGTACACAAGACAACCTGTATTAGTTTGTTTTCACACTGCTGATAAAGGCATACTGAGGCTATGTAATCTGTAAGTAAAAAGAGGTTTAATGGACTCACAGTTCCATGTGACTGGGGAGGCCTCACAATCATGGTGGAAGGTGAAAGGCGAAAGGCACGTCTTACATGGCAGCAGACAAGACAGAATGAGAGCCAAGTGAAAGAGGTTTCCCCTTATAAAACCATCAGATCTCGAGAGACTTATTCACTATCATGAGAACAGCATGGGAATAACCCACCCCCATGATTTAATTACCTCCCACTGGGTCCCTCCCACAACACGTGGGAATTATGGGAGCTATAAGTCAAGATGAGTTTTGGGTGGGGACACAGCCAAACCATATCACAATCTAAAAGGAAGCCCTTGTTTGGAAAGGAAGAAATACGGGCAGCATGGTGCATCCAGCAGCTGGGGCCGCAGACACTTTCATCAAAACCCACATTGGAGTACTTTCCACTTCCTAGCTAAGGAAATGAGGTGAGAAGTGCACTTGAGAAAGAAGTAATGCCAGCATCATTTTTAAGAAGAGAAAGGACACTAGTGGTGGCTGAGAAAAGCATTTCTGCACTATTCTTGAACTACATGGGCCTTCCTTCCTCTGCATCTTCCCCTCTTTCTCCATCTTGTCCAGGCCTGCATGCAAGTTTGCATTATGCCTTTCCCATGCGCTTTTTTCCATCTCTACCATCTCACCCCATTCTCTCATCCTACTACCCCATTTCCCATAATATTTGCCTTCTCCCATAATAGTGCCTTTTAGAGGCATCTTCCTGAATTTTTTAACACCACCCCTAAGTCCTCACCCATTCACCCATTCACCTTTACCCCACGGCATGGAACCTAGGGCATGCTCTTAACCCAGATTCAAGATTTTGTAGTAAACACACTGCTGTGCTATGCCTTATGAGATGTTATCATCTATAATAGAAAAATGTATTGCTGGATTACAAGCAATTCTAAAATCTCAGAGGCTTCCACATCAAACCTCAATTTCTCGTTTTGGTTACATGAAGGCAGCAGGTCAGCTGTGGCTTTGCTCCAGGGGTCAGAATGTCTTCAGGTTGCCTCTGTATATCTTTTCACTTTGGGCCCCAAGGTTAAGGAACAACCCCTTCATTCTGTAAGCCAGAAATAAAATCCTAAGCCTTCCAACCAACTTAATGGATCCCCCTTTGGCCAAGAAACCTTAAAAACTGAGTTCTTAGCCATGATGGGATGGGAGGTCAGACATGCCTCATGATGCCCCTTACCTTTTACAGTTTTGTTGTCGTTGTTCTTGTGGTTTGAAACAGGGTCTCACTCTTCCACCCAGGCTGGACTGCAGTGGCACAATCATAGCTCACTGCAGCCTCTAGCTCTGGGGCTCCAGCAATTCTCCTCTCTCAGCTTTCCAAGTAGCTGGGCTACAAGTGTGCACCACCATGCCCAGCTAATTTTTAAATTTTTTTGTAGAGATGGGGTCTTGCTATGTTGCTCAGGCTGGTCTCAAGTTCCTGAGCTCAAGCAATTCCCCTGCCTCAGCCTCCCAACGTGCTGGGGGATTATAGGCGTGAGCCACCACACGCAGCCCCTTTTTCAGTTTAGACACAATGCTGACAGTCAATTATGTTAAAATATAGATGATAAGACATAAGAACAGACTATTTGTGGCAATGGGATGCCAATTTGTAAACAGAACCTAAGGCCATGAGAGGCAAGGTTAAGTCACATAGCCTCCACTTAAAGAATACAGCATGTTCTAACTACCACAAGGTTTTTCTTTGTCTTTAGCAGTTAAATAAGCACTGGCTTATTTAGATAAGCAATATTAAAACAATTACAGCTCATCCTCCTCTAGATGCTGACTAAATAACCCCCTGTTCCACAAGCCGTAACTACAGCTTTGAGTGGACAAGGGACAGATTTCAATAACTTTCTCCTGATAAGACGACCGCTGTGTATGGACTGGTTCCAGCCAGTTTACAGAGGCTGCACACTGAGTGCCCACTTCACCTTTTGACATACAGGGCCTAACAGTCATACATGGAAATGTTGAGTCTCCACCCCAAAGTGAACATGGGTCACTTGGAACACATGTGTGCTTGTCATGCATGTGTACAACCCCCTTTCATGAATATTCATAGCTCCTCCTATATCCTGTTGAATATGTATATAAGCCCAACCTATTCAGCTTACACTCCTGTCTTTCCTCTCTTTTCCTTGAAGTTCCTGCTAATAGCTTCAACAGGAGACTCCTCTCTCCAACCTGTGAGAACGGCCACCTTGTAGGATATGACCTTGATATGAAATAATGCTCTCCTTTTTCTAAATATACAAATTATGTAATTATTTTGTCTTGTTTGTTTGTTTGTTTTGAGATAGAGTCTCACTCTGTTGCCCAGGCTGGAGTGCAGTGGTACAATCTCAGCTCACTGCAACCTCCGCCTTCCAGGTTCAAGCGATCCTCCTACCTCAGCCTCCCAAGTAGCTGGGATTACAGGGATGTGCCACCACTCCCATCTAATTTTTTGTATCTTTAATAGAGACGGGGGTTTCACCATGTTGGCCAGGCTGGTCTCGAACTCCTGACCTCAGATGATCTGCCTGCCTCAGCCTCCCAGAGTGCTGGAATTACAGGCATGAGCCACCACGCCTGGCCACATTGTGTAATTTTTAAGCTAACAATTCTGAGAAGACATCTTGCCTTTCTCTTGCAGAAGGAAGTGGCCAAGCCAAACCAGACAACAACATCTGAAGCATTTTGCTCCAGTGTGGCCTCCATCATGTTTGCTAACATTGTGCTAGCTAAAGCAAGTCACATGGCTAAGAATGCCTACATCCTCCACCTACAGAGAGGGAACAAATCACTGTGACCAAAAATGTAACCTACGGCAGACATAATGAACAAGCAGGAACCCAGCCGTAGACAGGAGCAAACATCCAGTTGATGGTTTTGAGTCAATATTGTCACCAATCTGGGTAATTCTTTGTCTTTAAAAAAAAAAAGTGTTATTTCCTGGGTAAAAATGTTAATTGTGTGTTTTTTTAAAAAAAGATTTGGAAAATAGGAGGAGATAAAAGAACAAATAAGAATATAAGAGCCACGCATAATATTACTGCCTATAGACAACGTAGTACATTTCCTTCAAGAATTTTATCTACAGGTGGGTGTGAGGGGGAGAAGGTGGTTAAATTGGGATTCCATTTCAAGGTTTTATAACCTGCTTTTCTTCATTAACATGTTGTGTGCCTTCTCCTGTATCCGCAGAAGTTCATCACAAATCTCATATTATCTAAATACATAATACTTATTTTTATGATAGACAAATACTTTATATCCTTTTATTATTGGGTGTTTGATCTGCTCTGATTTTTTTCATGCTAGTATAAATATTTCTGCTATGACCATCCTTACAAGTAAATTTTTATGGTACCTATGATTATTTCCCAACAACAGAATGGTACTGAGTTATAATACAATGCACTGTATATATTTAAAGTGTGTAATTTGACATGTTGACATATGTAACCATACATGAAAATAGCACCAGAAGCAATCATGGATAATGAATACATTCATTACCTCCAAATTTTCTGTGTGCCTCCTTTTCTCTCTCCATCCCATCCCACTCAATCCATTAAAGAGCCTTCTGTCAACATAGATTAGCCTTTCTAGAATTTTATAAAAATTAGTAGCAGTCAGTATGTACTATTTCAGCTGGCTTCTGTCACTTACATAGTTATTTAGAGATTCATCCATGTTGTTGCATGCATCAATTCAATACTCCTTTCCTTTTCTTTTTATTGTGCAGTAATATTCTAATGTATGACTATACACAATTTGTTTATCCATTTATCTGTTCATGGACCTTTCAGTTGTTTACAGTTTAGGTCTATTACAAATACAGCTGACATTAATATTCATATTCAAGTCTTTGTATGGACACATGCTTTCATCTCTTTTGGGTAAATGTGTAAGGCTGGAATGACTGGTGGTAGAGATATTTTTAACTTTTAAGAAACTGCCAAACTGTTTTCCAAAGTAGTTGCACCATTTGACATTTCCACAGTAGTGCATATGAGTTTCAGCTGCTTCACAACATCATCACTTGGCATGACAGGTCTCTTTAATTTTAGCCATTGTAATAAGTGTGTAATGGTACCTCATACTGGTTTTAATTTGCATTTCCTTAATGACTAAAGATGTTGAGCATCTTCTCACGTGCTTATCCATATATCCGTATATCTTTCTGGTGAACTGTCTGTTCAAATCTTTTGCCCATTTAAACATTAGGATTGTGGCTCACGCCTGTAATCCCAGCACTTTGGAAGACTGAGGCAGGCAGATCACCTGAGGTCAGAAGTTCAAGACCAGCCTGGCCAACATAGTGAAACCCCATCTCTACAAAAATACAAAAATTAACCAGGCATGATGGCGAGTGCCTGTAATCCCAGCTACTTGGAAGGCTGAGGCAGGAGAATTGCTTGAACTCAGGAGGCGGAGGTTGCAGTGAAAACACACCACTGCACTCCAGCCTGGGCAACAGAGCTAGACTCTTTCTCAAAAAAAAATTTTTAAAGATAAAAATAAAAATTAGGATTGTTTATTTTCTTATTATTGAATTTTGAGCATTATTTATATATTCCATACACAAGTCCATTATCAGATATGTGATTGGAAAATAATAGTTTTTCTCTGTCTTTGGTTTGTTTTCTTATTCTCTTAGAGGGACTTATGAAGAGCAAAAGTTCTTAATTTTGATGCAGTCCAATTTAACAATTTTTTTCTTTTATGGATTATACTTTTGGTTTGTATCTAACAAATTTTTACGTTACTCAATGTCACAAAGATTTTCTCTTACGTTTTAGTCTAAAAGTTTTATAATTTTACACTTTATATTCAGGTCTATAACCCAGTTTGAGTTATTTTTGTACATGTTATGAGGTATTGGTTGAAGTTAACTTTTTGCAGGTATATGTTCAATTATTCCAACATCATCTGTTGAAAAGACTATCCTTTCTTGACTGAACTGCCTTTGTACCTTTGTCAAAAATCTTTGCCTATATACATGAGGACTAATTCTGGACCCAAGTGTATTCCCTTTATCTATTTGTCTCTCTTTGTGCTAATACTGCACTGTGTCTTTGTTACTATAACTTTATAATAAGTTTGAAGTCAGGTGGTGTAAGTCCTCCAACTTTGTTCTTATTTTTCAAAGTTGTTGTTCTGGGGTCTTTGCATTTCCATGTGAATTTTAACACAGTTTATCAATTTTTACCCAACCCCCCAAAAGCCTGCTGCAATTTTGATTAAAATTGCATTGAAACTGTAGATTAATTTGGAGATAATTAGCATCCTAACAATATTGAGTCTTTCAATCCGTAAACATGGTATATTTCCCCATTTACTTAGGTCTTCCTTAATTTGTTTTGGCAATGTTACGCAGTTTTCAATAATAGGTCTTTCACATCTTTACCTCAAAGTATTTCATATTTTTGATAAAATGTAAATGGTGTATTTTAAAGTTTCAATGTCTGATTGTTTGTTGCTAGTATATAAAAATACTATGATTTTTAATCTTAAATCCTGCAACCTTGCTAGACCCATATATTCGTTCTAGAATCTTTATTTTTATGAGTTACAACTGACAAATAAAATTGTATATATCTGTGGTGTATAACGTGATGTTTTGATATATGTATACATTGCAAAATTATTAAATTGAGCTAATTAACAGATCCATCACCTCACATACTTATTATTTTTTGTGGTAAGAACATTAAGTTACACTCTCATAGGAATTTTCAAGTATGCAATGCATTATTATTAACTGTAATCATCATACTATATAGTAGCAGAGCTTATTCATTCTGTCTAACTGAACCTTGGACACTTTGACCAACATCTCCCAATTCCCATCTCCCATAACCTGCCAGGCCACTGACAACCACATTCCATTCTTTGCTTCTATGAGTTCAACATGTTTAGATCCCACGTATAAGTGAGATCAAGAAACATTTGTTTTTCTATGCCTGGCTTATTTTTCCTGGCATAAGGTTCTCCGGGTCCATGCATATTGTTACAAATGACAGGAGTTTCTTCTTTTTTAAGGCTGAATAGTATTCTATCCACATTGCCTTTATCATTCATCCATCGGTGGACACAAATTGATTCCATATCTTGTCAATTATGAATATGGGAGTGCAGATATCTCTTTGATATTTTTATGTCTTTTGGGTATATATCCAGAAATAGGATTGCTGGATCATATAGTAGTTCTATTTTTTAATTGATATATAATAATTGTACATATTTATAGAGTACATGTGATACTTAGATATGTGCATACCATCTATAATAATCAACTCAGAGTAATTAGGATATCCATCGCCTCACACATTTATCATTTCTTTGTGCTGACAGCATTTCAACTCCTCCAGCTGTTTTGAAATATACAATAAATCATTGTTAATTGTAGTCACCCTACTGTGCTATCAAACAATAGAACTTATTCCTCCTATCTAACTGTTATGTTTGTACCCAATAACCAACCTCTCTGCATGCCTCTGACCCATCCCACTGATGCTTCCCAGCTTCTGGTAACCATCGTTCTACTACCTACATCCATGAGGTCCACTTTTTTAGCTCCCATTTATGAGTGAGAATATGCAATAATTGTCTTTCTGTGCCTGGTTTATTCAGTTAACATAATGATCTCCAGTTTCATCCATGCTGCTGCAAATGACAGAAGTTCACTCTTTTTATGGCTAAATACTATTCCATTGTATAACAAAGACAGTCCGGAAGTATACCTTTCTCTTCCATTTTTAGGAAGATTTTGTGTAGAATTGGTTTAATTTTTCCCTTAATTGTTTGGCAGAATTTCCCAATAGAACTAACTGGGCCTTGAGTTTTCTTTGTGGGAATTTTTTTTTTTTTTTTGAGACAGAGTCTTGCTTTGTCACCCAGGCTGGAGTGCAGTGGCGATCTTGGCTCACTGCAAGCTCCGCCTCCTGAGTTCATGCCATTCTCCTGTCTCAGCCTCCCGAGTAGCTGGGACTACAGGTGCCCACCGCCACGCTCGGCTAATTTTTTGTATTTTTTTTTTTAGTAGAGACGGGGTTTCACCATGTTAGCCAGGATGGTCTCGATCTCCTGAACTCATGATCCACCCGCCTCAGCCTCCCAAAGTGCTGGGATTACAGGCGTGAACCACTGCGCCCGGCGAAAATTTTTAACTAGATATTAATGCTCTTAAGAGATACGGGAATTTTTAAGTTACCTATTTATTCCTCAGTGAGCTTTGTGTCTTTTAACAATTTTTTTTCATTTGTTATCAAATATATTGGCACAAAGTTGTTACTAATATTATCCTTTTAATGTCTATAGAATCTGGAGTTGGACCTTTTGTTAGAATTGGACCTTTCATTCTTGATATCGGTGTCTCTATTTTTAAAATAAACTTTTAATATTAAAATAGTTTTAGATTTACAGAAAATTCTGATAAATCCCAGGCCCACTTTGCCCTATTATTAACATCTTTCATTAGTATGGTAAATTTGTCATAATTAATGAACCAGTATTGATGCACTATTGTTCATTAAAGTCCATACTTTATTCAGATTTTCTTTCTTTTCACCTTATGTCCTATTTCTCCTCCAGGATTTCATCTAGGATGCCACATTACAGTTAGTAACCATTTCTCCTTGGGTGCCTCTTGTCACAGTTTCTCAAATTTTCCTTGATAGTTTTGAGGAATACTGACAAGAAATTTTGTTTAGAACATATTTCAACTTGGGTTCGTCTGATGTTTGTCTCATGAATTAGACAGAGTTGTGGGTTTGGGAAAGATCAGACAAGACCAGAGAGAAAGTGCCATTCTCATTACATTATGTAAGAGGTACATGCTATCAACATGACTTATCACTGTTGACATTAACTGTGATCACCAACTGAGGCGGTGTTTGTCAGCCTTCTCTACTGTACAGTGACCCTTCTCTCCACCCAGTGTACTTATCAGAAAAAAGCCATTATGTGTAGTCCACACTTCGGGAGTGCGGGGGTACATTCTATCTCCTTGAGGACAGAGTAGCTATATAAATTACTTGAGATTATTCTGCACAGGAGTTTTTTTATTCTTCATTTATTTATTTAATCATTTATTTACATCAGTATTAACAGATATAACCAGAGTTTGTTAATACGGAGGTTAAACTAAGTTAAGGTTCAAGATTATTTTTGTTTTTCTTTTTCACTAGCTTCAGTGTGTTGGCTTATCCTTTTGGGCGGGCATCTCTCATGGCCCCTAAAAGGCTGCCACAGGTGGTGGGTTCCAAGATGGCTGAATAGGAACAGCTCCAGTCTACAGCTCCCAGCGTGAGCGATGCAGAAGACGGGTGATTTCTGCATTTCCAACTGAGGTACTGGGTTCATCTCACTGGGGCTCATTGGACAGTCGGGGCAGGACAGTGGGTGCAGCGCACCAAGTGTGAGCCAAAGCAGGGCGAGGCATCGCCTCACCTGGGAAGCGCAAGGGGTCAGGGAATTCCCTTTCCTAGCCAAGGGAAGCTGTGGCAGATGGCACCTGGAAAATCAGGTCACTCCCACCCTAATACTGTGCTTTTCCAATGGTCTTAGCAAACAGCACACTAGGAGATTATATCCTGCGCCTGGCTCAGAGGGTCCCATGCCCACGGAGCCTCGCTCATTGCTAGCACAGCAGTCTGAGATCAAACTGCAAGGCAGCAGCGAGGCTGGAGGAGGGGCACCTGCCATTGCTGAGGCTTGAGTAGGTAAACAAAGCAGCCAGGAAGCTCGAACTGGGTGGAGCCCACCGCAGCTCAGGGAGGCCTGCCTGCCTCTGTAGACTCCACCTCTGGGGGCAGGGCATAGCTGAACAAAAGGCAGGAGAAACCTCTGCAGACTTAAATGTCCCTGTCTGACAGCTTTGAAGAGAGTAGTGGTTATCCCAGCACAGAGTTTGAGATCTGAGAATGGACAGACTGCCTCCTCAACTGGGTCTCTGACCCCCGAGTAGCCTAACTGGGAGGCACCCCCCAGTAGGGGCAGACTGACACCTCACACAGCCAGGTACCCCTCTGAGATGAAGCTTCCAGAGGAATGATCAGGCAGCAACATTTGCTGTTCAGCAATATTCGCTGTTCTGCAGCCTCCACTGCTGATACCCAGGCAAACAGGATCTGGAGTGGACCTCCAGCAAACTCCAACAGACCTGCAGCTGAGGGTCCTGACTGTTAGAAGGAAAACGAAAAAACAGAAAGGACATCTACACCAAAACCCCATCTGTACATCACCATCATCAAAGACCAAAGGTAGATAAAACCACAAAGATGTGGAAAAAACAGAGCAGAAAAGCTGAAAATTCTAAAAATCAGAGCACCTCTCCCCCTCCAAAGGAACACAGCTCCTCGCCAGCAATGGAACAAAGCTGGATGGAGAATGCCTTTGACGAGTTGAGAGAAGAAGATTTCAGATGATCAAACTTCTCTGAGCTAAAGGAGGAAGTTCAAACCCAACACAAAGAAGCTAAAAACCTTGAAAAAAGATTAGACGAATGGCTAACTAGAATAACCAGTGTAGAGAAGTCCTTAAATGACCTGATGGAGCTGAAAACCATCGCACGAGAACTATGAGACGAATGCACAAGCTTCAGTAGCTGATTCGATCAACTGGAAGAAAGGGTATCAGTGATTGAACATCAAATGAATGAAATGAAGCGAGAAGAGAAATTTAGAGAAAAAAGAGTAAAAAGAAATGAACAAAGCCTCCAAGAAATATGGGACTATGTGAAAACACCAAATCTACATCTGATTGGTGTACCTGAAAGTGATGGGGAGAATGGAACCAAGTTGGAAATCACTCTGCAGGATATTATCCAGGAGAACTTCCCCAATCTAGCAAGGCAGGCCAACATTCAAATTCAGGAAATACAGAGAATGCCACAAAGATACTCCTCGAGAAGAGCAACTCCAAGACACATAATTGTCAGATTCACCAAATTTGAAATGAAGGAACAAATGTTAACGGCAGCCAGAGAAAGGTCAGGTTACCCACAAAGGGAAGCCCATCAGACTAACAGTGGATCTCTTGGCAGAAACTCTACAAGCCAGAAGAGAGTGGGGGCCAATATTCAACATTCTTAAAGAAAAGAATTTTCAACCCAGAATTTCATATCCAGCCAAACTAAGCTTCATAAGTGAAGGAGAAATAAAATCCTTTACAGACAAGCAAATGCTGAGATTTTGTCACCACCAGCCCTGCCCTACAAGAGCTCCTGAAGGAAGCACTAAACATGGAAAGGAACAACCGGTATCAGCCACTGCAAAAACATGCCAAATTGTAAAGACCACCAATGCTAGGAAGAAACTGCATCAACTAACGAGCAAAATAACCAGCTAACATCATAATGACAGGATCAAATTCACACATAACAATATTAACCTTAAATGTAAATGGGCTAAATGCTCCAATTAAAAGACACAGACTGGCAAATTGGATAAAGAGTCAAGACCCATCAGCATGCTGTATTCAGGAGACCCACGTCACGTGCAGAGACACACATAGGCTTAAAATAAAGGGATGGCGCAAGATCTACCAAGCAAATGGAAAACAAAAAAAGGCAGGGGTTGCAATCCTAGTCTCGGATAAAACAGACTTTAAACCAACAAAGATCAAAAGAGACAAAGAAGGCCATTACATAATGGTAAAGGGATCAATTCAACAAGAAGAGCTAGCTATCTTAAATATATACGCACCCAATACAGGAGCACCCAGTTTCATAAAGCAAGTCCTTAGAGATCTACAAAGACACTTAGACTCCCACACAATAATAATGGGAGACTTTAACACCCCACTGTCAACATTAGACAGATCAACAAGACAGAAAGTTAACAAGGATATCCAGGAGTTGAACTCAGCTCTGCACTAAGCGGACCTAATAGATATTTACAGAATTCTCCACCCCAAATCAACAGAATATACATTCTTCTCAGCATCACATCACACTTATTCCAAAATTGACCACATAGTTGGAAGGAAAGCACTCCTCAGCAAATGTAAAAGAACAGAAATTATAATAAACTGTCTCTCAGACCACATTGCAATCAAACTGGAACTCAGGACTAAGAAACTCAGTCAAAACCACTCAACTACATGGAAACTGAACAACCTGCTCCTGAATGACTACTGGGTACATAAAGAAATGAAGGCAGAAATAAATATGTTCTTTGAAACCAATGAGAACAAAGACACAACATACCAGAATCTCTGGGGCACATTTAAAGCAGTGTGTAGAGGGAAATTTATAGCACTAAATGCCCACAAGAGAAAGCAGGAAAGATCTAAAATTGACACCCTAACATCACAATTAAAAGAACTAGAGAAGCGAGAGCAAACGCATTCAAAAGCTAGCAGAAGGAAGAAATAACTAAGATCAGAGAAGAACTGAAGGAGATAGAGACACAAAAAACCCTTCAAAAAATCAATGAATCCAGGAGCTGGTTTTTTGAAAAGATCAACAAAATTGATAGACTACTAGCAAGACTAATGAAGAAGAAAAGAGAGAAGAATCAAATAGACACAATCAAAAATGATAAAGGGGATATCACCACCAATCCCACAGAAATACAAACTACCATCAGAGAATACTATAAACACCTCTACACAAATAAACTAGAAAATCTAGAAGAAATGGATAAATTCCTAGACACATACACCCTCCCAACACTAAACCAGGAAGAAGTTGAATCCCTGAATAGACCAATAACAGGCTCTGAAATTGAGGCAATAATTAATAGCCTACCAACGAAAAAAGTCCAGGACCAGATGGATTCACAGCTGAATTCTACCAGAGGTACAAGGAGGAGCTGGTACCATTCCTTCTGAATCTTTTCCAATCAATAGAAAAAGAGGGAATCCTCCCTAACTCATTTTATGAGGCCAGCATCATCCTGATACCAAAGCCTGGCAGAGACACAATCAAAAAAGAGAATTTTAGACCAATATCCTTGATGAACATTTATGCAAAAATCCTCAATAAAATACTGGCAAACCGAATCCAGCAGCACATCAAAAAGCTTATCCACCATGATCAAGTGGGCTTCATCCCTGGGATGCAAGGCTGGTTCAACATATGCAAATCAATAAATGTAATCCAGCATATAAACAGAACCAAAGACAAAAACCACATGATTATCTCAATAGATGCAGAAAAGGCCTTTGACAAAATTCAACAACCCTTCATGCTAAAAACTCTTAATAAATTAGGTATTGATGGGACGTATCTCAAAATAATAAGAGCTATCTATGACAAACCCACAGCCAATATCATACTGAATGGGCAAAAACTGGAAGCATTCCCTTTGAAAACTGGCACACCACAGGAATGCCCTCTCTCACCACTCCCATTCAACATAGTGTTGGAAGTTCTAGCCAGGGCAATTAGGCAGGAGAAGGAAATAAAGGGTATTCAATTAGGAAAAGAGGAAGTCAAATTGTCCCTGTTTGCAGATGACATGATTGTATATCTAGAAAACCCCATTGTCTCAGCCCAAAATCTCCTTAAGCTGATAAGCAACTTCAGCAAAGTCTCAGGATACAAAATCAATGTACAAAAATCACAAGCATTCTTATACACCAATAACAAACAGAGAGCCAAATCATGAGTGAACTCCCATTCACAATTGCTTCAAAGAGAATAAAATACCTAGGAATCCAACTTACAAGGGATGTGAAGGACCTTTTCAAGGAGAACTACAAACCACTGCTCAATGAAATAAAAGAGGATACAAACAAATGGAAGAACATTCCATGCTCACGGGTAGGAAGAATCAATATCGTGAAAATGGCCATACTGCCCAAGGTAATTTATAGATTCAATGCCATCCCCATCAAGCTACCAATGACTTTCTTCACAGAATTGGAAAAAACTACTTCAAAGTTCATATGGAACCAAAAAAGAGCCCGCATCACCAAGTCAATCCTAAGCCAAAAGAACAAAGCCAGAAGCATCACGCTACCTGACTTCAAACTATACTACAAGGCTACAGTAACCAAAACAGCATGGTACTGGTACCAAAACAGAGATATAGATCAATGGAACAGAACAGAGTCCTCAGAAATAATGCCGCATATCTACAACCATCTGATCTTTGACAAACCTGACAAAAACAAGAAACGGGGAAAGGATTCCCTATTTGATAAATGGTGCTGGGAAAACTGGCTAGCCATATGTAGAAAGCTGAAACTGGATCCCTTCCTTACACCTTATACAAAAATTAATTCAAGATGGATGAAAGACTTACATGTTAGACCTAAAACCATAAAAACCCTAGAAGAAAACCTAGGCAATACAATTCAGGACATAGGCATGAGCAAGGACTTCATGTCTAAAACACCAAAAGCAATGGCAACAAAAGCCAAAATAGACAAATTGGATCTAATTAAACTAAAGAGCTTCTGCACAGCAAAAGAAACTACCATCAGAGTGAACAGGCAACCTACAGAATGGGAGAAAATTTTTGCAATCCACTTATCTGACAAAGGGCTAATATCCAGAATCTACAAAGAACTCAAACAAATTTACAAGAAAAAAACAAACAACCCCATCAGAAAGTGGGCAAAGGATATGAACAGACGCTTCTCAAAAGAAGACATTTATGCAGCCAGCAGACACATGAAAAAATGCTCATCATCATTGGCCATCAGAGAAATGCAAATCAAAACCACAATGAGATACCATCTCACATCAGTTAGAATGGCAATCATTAAAAAGTCAGGAAACAACAGGTGCTGGAGAGGATGTGGAGAAATAGGAACACTTTTACACTGTTAGTGGGACGGACTGTAAACTAGTTCAACCATTCTGGAAGACAGTGGGGTGATTCCTCAAGGATCTACAACTAGAAATACCATTTGACCCAGCCATCCCTTTACTGGGTATATACCCAAAGGATTATAAATCATGCTGCTATAAAGACACATGCACACATATGTTTATTGTGGCACTATTCACAAAAGCAAAGACTTGGAATCAACCCAAATGTCCAACAATGATAGACTGGATTAAGAAAATATGGCACATATACACCATGGAATACTATGCAGCCATAAAAAAGGATGAGTTCATGTCCTTTGTAGGGACATGGATGAAGCTGGAAACCATCATTCTCAGCAAACTATCACAAGAACAAAAAACCAAACACCGCATGTTCTCACTCATAGGTGGGAATTGAACAATGAGAACACTTGGACACAGAAAGGAGAACATTGCACACTGGGGCCTGTCGTGGGGTGGGGGGAGGGGGGAGCGAAAGCATTAGGAGATATACCTAATGTAAATGACGAGTTAATGGGTGCAGCACACCAACATGGCATGTATACATATGTAACAAACCTGCATGTTGTGCACATGTACCCTAGAACTTAAATAATAAATAAATAAATAAATAAATAAAGGCTGTCATAGTTCCAGGCATCACCTCCTCACCTATGCACACCAGAAGCTGAAAAAGGAGCTTGCTGCCTTCTTTGAAAAGCAAAGGAAAATTTCCCATAAGACCCCTATGGATTCCCTTCTCATCTCATTGGCCAAAATTCTGTCACATGACCATTCATAAACCAATCCCTGGGTGGAGAAGGATAAGATTCCCTACACTGGGTCTGGGGCCACTGTAAGGACCATCCTCATGTGAGTAACATTGCCACACTCTAGAGGATAATTAAAAATGGGATTCTATTGACGTAAAATAAGGGAGATAGCTGTTTGCAGGGTAACTAACAGTGTCTGCCATAGGAAACCATTATAATTAGAGACCTCAAAAATATGTCTTCATTGATAGAAGAGACTGCTGGTGTAAAATCCTGAAATGCCAGTGATACAAAAGACTTCTTTTCATCCTCCCTTTCCCGTTCTTCCATTGTCTTTGTCATTTTATTTTTATGCCTGCCCTCCTCTCCACCCCAAAGTTTTTTGTGACATTTTCTCCTTTAGGTATTTTTCTCATCAAAGAACCATCTAAGTTTCTAAATTACCAGCTTCCTTTCAAGGCGCTAAATAAAATAAGCAAAGCATCTGTAATGACCTCATGAGCACAGTGGAAAAGTTTAGGTCTCTGCCCTTGAATATTTTTGATAGCTTCATAGAAGTACAATGAGAATTAAAGAGGGGAAATTTCTTTATTCAAAAAAAATGATTGTTGAGCATATGGGCTTAATATGGGTTAGAGGAAAAGAAGAGGTGAGGAGAGTATAAGTGGGAAGGGGAAAACAGAAAAGAAAAGGTGACTCTGTCTTCAAGATGTGCAACACATAAAACAATTAGAAGGCGGGGCACCAGTAGCTCACCCCTGTAATCTCAACAATTTGGGAGGCTGAGGCGGGTGGATCACCTGAGGTCAGGAGTTCGAGATCAGCCTGGCCAACATGGCAAAACCCCATCTCTACTAAAAATACAAAAAAAAATTAGCTGGGCATGGTGGCAGGCACCTATAATCCCAGCTACTCAGGAGGCTGAGGCAGGAGAATCACTTGAACCTGGGAGGCAGAGGTTGCTGTGAGCCAAGATCGCACCACTGCACTCCAGCCTGGAAAACACAGCAAGACTCTGTCTCAAAAAAAAAAAATTAGAAAACAAAGCAATGTTCCTAACACATCACCCTGCACTCCAAATAGGTTCACCTTTCCTTCCTACCTCATCTCCACTGTGCTTATTATACCAGCTGGCACATGGTCAGCTAGAAATAATGCAAACACATGAACTCCTAGAAGTTTACCTTTTTCACATACTAAGAAGTCTGGAAGGAAAATTTGCTGCCATTAGTTCAACTTCTCAGGCTCATTAGGTGTCTAGCTTTTTCCAGTCTCCACCATTAATTTGTTGGTTTTTTGTCTTTGTGATTATTGCTTCATGGTCACAAGACGGCTGCCACAGCTCCAAGAATCATGACTGCATTCAAAGTCGGCATACAGTGAGGCAGCCAGATAACATAGGATCTCCTCTTTTCTGCCTTCTATGGCAGGGATCAAAAATATTTTTCACAAGCCCTCAACAGACTTCCTTTTCATCTCATTGAGCGAAATTTGGTGCAATGGCTCCCATTAGCTACAAGAGGAGACAGCGGCAAAGTGAATACCTGGCAAATGGTATTGGCATAGCCATGACTGGCTTAAAAGCAATCACAATTCATTCATAGGAGCTGGACACATGGCTACCCACCCTCCCAACCCCTCAAGCCAACCACCAAGAAAAAGAAAATCAGAGATCCATTAGCAAGAAAGAAAGCAGAGAAATAGCAGGTGCCCAGGTTTTCCAAGTTCATTCCCAAGTGCCTTTTATCCTCTGCATGTCACCTGTAGTGGCCTCACTGACCCCCGCTTTTTACCCAAGATCAGTTCATACTTCAGGACCCTGGCTCTTGCTGACCTTGCTGCCTTTAAGATCCACCCAGGACCTGCACCTCCACCCCAGGGAGGGGGCTTGGCTGAACCATGCCTCAGGCCCAGTGGACAAGCCCTGGAATCTGCTTTTGTGGGTTTGAATCCTGGCTGTGCCTCTTTCTGGTTACAGCCTTTTAGGAATTGATTTGACCCTCTGGGAGTGAGAACTCTTCAGTTTCCTCATCTGTCCAATGAACGTAAATATAGTGACTGGCACAAAGTGGTCCCTTAATTTTAAAAACTATGAGATGGATGGACAGAAGGATGACACCTACCCCCATGGAACCACTGAAAATATTAAATGAGATAATGTATGAGCCGGGAGCGGTGGCTCATGCCCATAATCCCAGCACTTTAGGAGGCCGAGGCAGGCGGATCACAAGGTCAAGAGATCAAGACCATCCTGGCCAACATGGTGATACCCTGTCTCTACTAAAAATACAAAAATTAGCCGGGCATGGTGGTGCACACCTATAGTCCCAGTTATTTGGGAGGGTGAGGCAGGAGAATCACTTGAACCCAGGAGGCAGAGGTTGCAGTGAACCGAGATTGCACCACTGCACTCCAGCCTGGTGACAGAGTGAGACTCCGTCTCAAAAAAAAAGAGAGAGAGATAATGTATATGAAAGACCAAATGACTCCTGGCACACAGTAAATGCTCATTAGATGCAGGTAGAAACCGATCACATCACCACCCTGCTTCAAAGCCTTCAATAGCTTCAGTTACACTTAGGGTGAAGGTTCAAGTCCAAACTGCTTGAACAACATGGCCTTTTCCTACCTCTTGGGATTCTGCCTTGTTGCTTCAATCATCCTGTCTCTCCCTTGGGCAGCTGTACACTTGCTCCTCCCACCCAGTATGGATGACATCTTCCATTCATCCTTGATGTCCTATCTAAGAGTCTCTTTCCCCTATAGGCCTTTGCCTCAATTCTTCTCACACACTAGCCAGGCTAGTTTCCCAGGGAGACAAGAAATGAGGAGCCAGAGCATTCAGGAAGAATGTATTCAGGGAGAATTTTTGGAGTTGGGAAACAGGAAAGCATTCTCTCAAGTCTGCACTGCCAGGGCCCCAGGCGAAGCCCCTGAAAATGCAACAGGATGGCCGGCATGGTGGCTCACGCCTGTAATCCCAGCACTTTGGGAGGCCGAGGCGGGTGGATCACCGGAGGTCAGGAGTTCGAGACCAGCCTGGTGAAACCCTGTCTCTAGTAAAAATACAAAACCAAGCTGGGCATGGTGGTGGGTGCCTGTAATCCCACCTATTCAGGAGGCTGAGGCAGGAGAATCACTTGAACCCAGGAGGTGGAGGTTGCAGTGAGCCTAGATCGCGCCATTGCATTCCAGCCTGGGCGACAGAGCAAGACTCCGTTTCAAAAAAAAAAAAAAGAAGAAAAAAGAAAGAAAGAAAGAAAGAAATTGTTCTTCTATCTGGAAAGTTGTGGGAGCCAGGACTGCAGATCAGAGGGGGATATGGAGTTCTCTAGATAGGACTACCAATAAAGAGCAGATTTCTCAAGGAAACAAGCACAGAAAGAATTTATAAAGGCCCCGTAATTATCCGGGAACCTACAATTTGCCAAGTTATAGTTACAATCTCCCCACAGTTTCTTATATTTCTTGCATGTCTAAGACTAAACTATTCATCTTCTGTTTATTCCAGCTGCTCCTCCTGAACCCCTATCTCTGCCCAAGGTGCCATAATTGATCTTTCATCTTCAACTTTACCCTTCTGCCGGTGGTCCTCAGACTTCCCACAAAGCACTCCCATCCCTGCTACCCTACGAGATACCCAGATCCTATCACCAGTCTCCTAGGGCTTCTCCCCACCACTGGCCCCTCCCTGCCCCCATGCATGTTGCATACAGAGCCTGGATCCCTTCCTAGCCTGCTGCTCTCATCCCCTTGGCTGCCTGCTCAAGTATCTTTGCTGGCTCCCTGTCTCCTTCGTTAAACACGAATGTCTTGCCTGGAACTCTGAACTCTGCACGCCCTCTCCATATATATTTCTGACTGTCCTCCCCATTTTTTCTTTCTTTATTTTAAAACCTGTCATACATTCAAAAGAGCGTTCCTAAGAGTTGTACAAATTATTGTTCTAAAGACCACACCTGCAAAACCACCTCTCACAGTAAATCATCAAATATGTCGAGTTTGTTAGCCATTCCCCTCTGCTCCCTCACTTAGCATATTCCCCTCCCACCTCCTCAAGCTAACCCATCCCTGACATGTTCATAATCATTGTCTCGATTTGCTTAGAGTCCTACCACGTAGCTCTAAATGACATATTTGCTCGGTGTTGCCAAATTCTGAATTTTCTATTGACTGTATCATTCCACATTTATTTTGCTGTGACTAGATTCTCCTTCCCCTGTTTCTCAGCCTATTTGAGATATAATTCACACAGCAATTCACTCACTGAAAGTCTACAATTCAGTGACTTTAGTATATTAACTGCAACCATCACCACAATCTGAAGTTAGAAAAATATTATCACTGCAAAAAGAAGCCCTGTACTCATTGGTGGTTACTTCCCATTTCTCCCCACCCCTCAACCTTAGGCAACCACTAATCTACTTCCTGTCTCTGTAGATTTGCCTCTTCTATTCTATTTCATATAAGAGGAATCATACTCATTCTATATACTGTGTGCTCTCATGAAACTGACCACTCTCTTTCCCCAGGCGCGGAACACCAGTCATTCTGTCTAGAATAACCTCCCCACCCCAGCCATCGCTGCCCACCCAGGTCTGACAGCTTCTGTGTGATCCAGCCCCAAGCATCACTCTTCTACTTAGCTTTCCTCTTTTCACTCTACCCCCCTGTAATTTTTCCCCTGTCAAATTCTCAAAAGACACTATAACTTTGTCTCAGGAGGCCTAGTGTCTTCTCTACTAAACTGTCGGCTCTGTGAAGGGTCCATACCTTGCCTGGTTTTATTCCCTGCCGTTCTCCAGAGTCCAGTCAGTGCCTGGCACATAGCAGATGTCTGATAGGTATGCATTGAGAGGATGAGGACCATGCACATTATTCTGCCTGAGATTATCACTGCTTGTGCACATAACTAGAACTTGAATGTGAGGAATTAACTAGGTGTGTCTTAGTCCATTTTGTGCTTCTGTAAGGGAATACCTGAGACTGGGTAATTTATAATAAGCAGAGATTTATTTCTCACAGTTCTGGCGGCTGGAAAGTCCAAGATCAAGGGGCTGGCATCTTGTGAGGGCCTTCTTGCTGTGTCATAACATGGCAGAACGCATCACATGGCAGAAAGGCAAGGAGAGGGTGAAAGACAGAGAGAGAATAACTCGAGCCCTTTTATAATCAGCATTAATCCATTCATGAAGATGAAGCCCTCATGACCTAAACATCAGCCATTAGGCAACGTATCTAACACTATTGCATTAAAGATTAAGCTTCCAACATATGGGGACACATTCAAATCATAGCAAGATACAATCAGAAAATGATGTTTTCTTTCCCCTGAAAGGGCCTGCTCCACCTGCTCTGTGAGACTGAGTCCTTCACCATTCTGGGAAGAAATCACAGGTGGTCCCTGTGGCTTACTACTCACTCTCACAAAAATGCATTCATGACATCTAGCCCATAGAATCACCAAATCTCTATTTTCAAGTCCACACCCCTCCCTGGGTCAACCTAGGCCTCTTTCTGGCTGGTGCCTTGGGAATCATGGTTGGCTTCTTGTCTCTTTCCCTCACCTCACAGGCTGTACCTTCTGCCCTCTCCACGGTTAGACAGGGGGAGGGGCAGAGGTAAACACACATCTGATGTTGGTTTTCCCCAGGCCATGGCTCATGTAGAACACCAATTCTTTCCCTCGGCTCTCCCTCCTGTCCCCCATCACTGGGAATATTTCTCATCTGTCCTGCTCTTGACTTAGGCAAAATCATTCCATCGACATGGCCACTTAAGAGCTCTCTCTTGGTCCCTGGCTATCTAGCAATACCACTAGCTTCCTACTGCTCTGGGAATTATCTGATAACCCTAGCAGGGCTTTCTCTCTCATATGACCCACCTCTGGTCCACAGTGAACTTGTATCTTTGGCCTGTGGCCAGTGGAAGGGCAGGCACATAACTCTCTTCTCTGTGACTTTGGCCAGCCTCTGCCCCTTGAGACTGTACCTGTGAAATCAGCCTCCAGTACCCCAAGTTACCTAAGTTTCTGGGGACACCTAATATGCTCTCTGAAAGGTGTCTTTGAACCCATGCTCACAGACATGAAGGAGGAAGGTAGCATGCAACCTGCCTCCATGAAGGGACAAAACTTTTTACACAAGGATTATTTCTATTCCAAGAAATCATTTCTTTAATCTCCAACCCCTCTCCCGGCCTCTCCATGTGGTATATAGGTTGCAGCTGGGTGGTCAACTGGGGGCCCTCAAAGCTGGTTTTCAACCACCTCCAAGTCCTGCATCGGAAACCACACCCTGACTTTGGAACACCATTGTTTTTGCCACCTATTGACTTGAGGCCTCAGCCAAAACTGAGACAAGAGTTTCATTTTAGCCTCCTGTCCTTGTCTCATCCCTTCACATAATTGTAGGCTCCTGAAAGGCAGAAACTCTGCCACACCCATCTTAATTGCCTTTGCCCCTCTTACCTAGTGTTTAGTGGTGCCAGGCTCAAGATGCCAGCAGGCATTTTAGAGAAAAATAGCACTGGTGATGACCCAGCATCAAAAAGGAAGATGGAAGAGGAAAAAGTGGGAGACTTTGATTCTGCAGTGATGACTCAAAGGGGAAGCTTTAGAGGGTTCACGTTAGAAGTTAATCAGGCTTGGGAGCTATGAAAGCGAGCTCTCCCAGGTCCATTTTCCCCTGGCATTGACTCAAGAACAAGTACATAACACAAGTAATGTTATACAGGTTGGCCTTACAATGCTGAGAATGCACAGATAGCAATATTGAGGTTTAAGAGGGGAAAAGGGTCACTCTAACTGCATCTAAGTCCTTTCAGTTATTTTCCTACATGTCCCTGTTTCTGAAATCATATCTATCACCAATGTCTTCTTTAGGATATTAGGAAACGTATTGGTCCCTTTATTTTGGCCTGGTTAAAGCATGTGCTGAAGGTCTCAGGCACATAGAGAAGCAAGCATTTATTAGCAGGATGAAGAGTTCTCGGATAAGAAATTACTATTAAAAAATGTCAAACTTTCACGTAAACAACACATGCTGGGTGCTACATAGAGCTGGAGCTCATCACTTTGCAATCAGAGTGTCTGTTACATTCTAAACTCATAGGATTTTACCTATACCCATTTATTTGTCAATAATTCATTGACAGTAGCTAAGAATTCTTAGTTAAGACCTCCAAACTTATTCCCTCTACTAAATTCCTGCCGTTCGTTTAAGCCGCCAGCCTCCTCTTAAAAGGTCCGTGCTAGAAATGGCCCAGCATCACAACCTCCTCTTCCCCACATTATTGACATGGAATCCACCTTCCGAATACCTTCCCCATCTGCTGCCTCCTGATTATGTCCACGACGGCTCCCAATCAGGTCTCCACCCTCACTCAACAAGTGGACTTGCACAAAAGAGCTTTATCACTGGCTCACCACATACCAGTCCTTCCTACCCAGTCCACCTCCAACACAGATGCCTGACAAGGCTGAATTCCATCCTCCCAAAATTCATATGTTGAAGTCCTAACCCCCAGTAAACAGGAACATACATACAAGAAAGAATACATGAGGACGCAGTGAGAAGGCGGCCATCTACCAGCCTGGGACAGAGGCCTCAGAAGGAACCAACCCTGCTGACATCTCAATCTCGTACCTGTAACTTCCAGGACTGAGAAAATAAGTTTCTGTTAAGCCACCCAGTCTGTGGTACTTGTTGTTGTTGTTGTTGTTGTTGTTGTTGTTGTTGTTGTTGTCGAGACAGAGTCTCCCTCTGTCGCCCAGGCTGGAGTGCAGTGGCACAATCTCGGCTCACTGCAAGCTCCACCTCCCAGGTTCACGCCATTCTCCTGCCTCAGCCTCCCGAGTAGCTGGGACCACAGGTGTGTGCCATCACACCCAGCTGATTTTGTTTTGTATTTTTAGTAGAGATGGGGTTTCACCATGTTAGCCAGGATGGTCTCGATCTCCTGACCTCATGATCCTCTCACCTTGGCCTCCCAAAGTGCTGGGATTACAGGCATGAGCCACTGCGCCCAGCCAATCTGTGGTAATTTTTAATGGTAGCCCCAGCAAACAGATACAATGCCCACTAGCTTCCTGCACATAAATCGGCACACTTTCCTGGTTAAAACATTTCCAGAGCCCTCAGACTCCCCATTTCCTTTGGGATCAGGTTCAAATTCCTTAATATGACACATTTAGCCCTTCTTCCACCCCCAGCCTGCCTCTGCATGTCATCTCCTGCCTACCTACCCTACCCCATCCATCATTTCTAATCCCACAACCCAATGTATCAACACTGACCTCAACACACATTGCCTTGACCCTCTCCCTGATTTAGTACACACTGTCATTTCTGTCTTGGACTCACCCCCTCTGTGTCTCCCTTGTCCTTCCAGACCCCATTCAAATGTCACCTCCCCATGAAGTCTTCTCTATACCCCCACACAGTGTTTGCCCCTATCCTCTGTGCACTCTAGAACTTTAGTGCTTATTTCTTTGAGTTGCAGTTGTTTGCAATGAGTTTCTAGAGGAAGAAAAGGTGTTTTACTCTGATACAACCCTAGCACATAGTAGGTGCTCAATAAATATTTATTGTATTTTTGGTATTGTAGACTGAATATCTACAATCCATCCAAATTCACATGTTGAAGCCCTAACCCCCAATGTGATGGTATTTGGAAATGGTGGGGTCTTTGGGAGGTAATTAGGTTTAGATGAGGTGATGAGGGTGGGAAGAAGAAGAGACCAGAGGTCACCTTCTCTCCCTCTCCACAATTTAAGGACATGGTTAGAAGGCAGCCCTCTGCAAGACAGGAAGTGGGCCCTCAACAGGAACTGAATCAGCTGGCACCTTGATCTTGGACTTCTCAGCCTCCAGAGCTATTTGAAAATAAATTTCTGTTGTTTAAGCCACCCAGTGTATGCTATTTTGTTATGGTAGCCCAAGCAGATGAACACAGCTGGATAGAAAAAGAAACAAAGGGGGCTGGGTGCTCACGCCTGTAATCCCAGCACTTTGGGAGGCCAAGACTGGTGGATCATTTGAGGTCAGGAGTTCTAGATCAGCCTGGCCAACATGATGAAACCCCATCTCTACTAAAAATACAAAAATTAGCCAGGCATGGTGGCGCACACCTGTTATCCCAGCTACTTGGGAGGCTGAGGCAGGAGAATTGCTTGAACCTGGGAGGTGGAGGTTGCTGTGAGCTGAGATCATGCCACTGAACTCCAGCCCAGGTGACAGAGCAAGACTCTGTCTCAATTTAAAAAAAAAAAAAAAAAAGAAGAAGAGGAAGAAGGCCAGGAGGAGTGGCTTATGCCTTAATCCCAGCACTTTGGGAGGTCAAGGCGGGTGGATCACGAGGTTAGGAGTTCAATCCCAGCCTGACCAATATGGTGAAACCCCGTCTCTACTAAAAATACAAAAATTAGCCAGGCATGGTGGCATGTGCCTGTAGTCCCAGCTACTCAGGAGGCTGAGGCAGGAGAATCACTTGAACCCAGGAGGCAGAGGTTGCAGTAAGCCAAGACTGCACCACTGCACTCCAGCCTGGGCAACAGCGCCAGACTCTGTCTTGAAAGAAAGAGAAAGAAAGAAAGAAAGAAAGAGAGAGAGAGAGAGAGAAGGAAGGAAGGAAGGAAGGAAGGAAGGAAGGAAGGAAGGAAGGAAGGAAGGAAGGAGAAAAGAAAAAGAAAGAAAGAAAGAAAAAAAGAAAGAAAGAAAGAAAGAAAGAAAGAAAGAGAAAAATAAAGGGCTACCTCCTGTTGTTTTAACCAAGAACTCTTCTCCAAATCTAGGAATCGTTCCCGTACATAGTCTCTGTCTGACACCCACGCTCAGGTAGGCCTCATCAATCTTGTTTTCTGACACTGATGAGCTCTCTCGGGTTTTTAGATCCTTTCCAGGTGTACACCATTGTCTGCACTATATTTCCAGCCACTTCCTCCTTTCAGGGTTTCACCATTGCCTTTGACTTTTGCTAAAAAGTCTGAGGTTTTTTTCCACCCTGGAAATGCCTTGTCCCTTTGTCCTCTTTGTATAAACAGATGCTTCCTAATCGTCTCCCTCATCCTAGGTCTTTGCCAACAGTCACCCAATTACAGTCAGATTCCAGTAATGTCTTAGAGAGACAGTGCCTCAGTTGGAAGCTTAAATGCAGCCTTGAGCTTCTTTCCTCCATGCAAACCCGGGACTCTTCAAATTCTTCTCCGGTTATGTAACTGTAATTCCCATAAGCTTTCTCCCAAAATGTTCGTCATATAGTACCTTCAAGCGTACATAACTCTAATAACTTACGTTTGTTTAAACATGCATTAAATTGAAATAGAACTATGAGCCACCTGGGACCCAGGCATTTCATTTCAGGGTTTAGCCATTGCTTTCCTTTATGCGTAAGCAGGTAAACCTGTTGTGTCAAGAAAGAAAATGCTTGGCGAAGAACTGAAATATTCTCACCCATATTAATGACATTTCAGCAAGCTTTTCCGAACCCAACCTCTTACTCACCGTGTGAAGGACTCTCAGAGCTGTAGGAACAGCAGGGCAAAAAGCTGAGTGTTTGCCTACTTCCTCTCATGCCAAGGGGGCCGAGAGAAGGATGAAGGAGTGTGCCTGGGTTGCTCAAGGAAAAAGCAATCTGAATTTGCTGGGATTTGGAGGAGGAGCACCTTGGAGATCCGTACTTGTTCCCTACTTACACGGTTAGCTACTGCAGCCACTAGTCACATGCGGCTATTTACATTTTAATTGAATAGAATTAAGTAAAATTGAAAATGTGGTTTCTCGATCACACTAGTCACATTTGAAGTGTTCAAGTGCTACAGGTGGCTGGTGGCTAGTTTAATAGGACGGTGCAGGTACAGAACATTCCCATCATTTTGAAAAGTTCTAGTGCATCGCTCTGATCTATAATGTAAGTAATGCTTATAAGAAAGACCGATAAGCGAAATTTCTTTTTTTTTTTTTTTTTTTTGAGACCAAGTCTCACTCTGCCACCCAGGCTGGAGTGCAGTTGTGCAATCTCGGCTCACTGCAACCTCCGCCTACCAGGTTCAAGCGATTCTCCTGCCTCAGCCTCCCAAGTACCTGGGACTACAGGCGCCCACTACCACGCCTGGCTAAGTTTTGCATTTTTAGAAGACACGAGGCTTCACCCTGTTGGCCAGGCTGGTCTCAAACTCCTGACCTTAAGTGATCCACCCACGTCCGCCTCCCAAAGTGCTGAGATTACAGGTGTGAGCCACTGTGCCTGGAGAAATTTCTACTTTTAAAATGAACATTGAGAAAATATAAAGTGAACTTTGCTGACTACAGTAAGAGTAAAACAATTTTTTCAAAAGGATGATTCCTAGGTGCTTTGTCAACACAAGTCAAAGAAAGGAATGAAAGACCGAGAGAAAAAAGGAAGAATAACCAGATGGGTATCAGCACTGAAGGGGCTCACCGAAGACCAAGGGAACCCATCAATTCTAAGCGGGTAAAAAAAAAAAAAAAAAACAGTGACCCGAGGTTGACTTGTCTGAAATGCTGTCGGGAGGCAGGAAGCACTTTGTCATTTAGAAAATGTGAGCCTGCAGGCACAGGGTCACAGGCCATGCTGGCCTTTGGTGAGTCAATTTTAAAAACGTGAACATTGTGCGCATGTACCCTAAAACTTAAAGTATAATAATAATAAAATTTAAAAAAAAAGTAATATGAGGGAGGAGATTGTTCCCTTTAAATAGCCCTTAACCCCTATTTACACATCTTTCCCTTTCCTTAAGACCACACTGGGTCAGTTTTGCAATAATTTATGAGGGCACCACTGTTGGGATGGGGGTTGGGGGGACACCCAGAGGCCAAGGAACTCTTGTCCAAACCTGTCAGGAGAGAAACCCCAGGAATCTGTAATTTCCAGGAATCTTTGATATTCAGACTCCAGGGCTCAAATGTCTCCATCTGTCTGTGTTTTTAAACCACTGCTTTACTTGGTAAGACTCCACCCCTCCCTCCACTACCAAACAGTAAATGGCTAGTGTGTATTGTACTGCCATATCGATTTTTCAAGGCTCATGTATAGCAGTCCTGCAAGAGTAGCCTCCATTTCTGGAATTCTACGATATTGTGAAACACGTCTGGTTTTCATCTTGTTTCCTGGCATATAATTCCTAAAATCCTCAGAGTCTCCAAAGTGATGTCTTCTCTATGTAAATGATTTGACTGATGACTGGCAACCCCTAGATAACTTTGGGATGGGGGCTGGTCACCAGAAAGACCAAGGCGGGATTAGAGGGTTGGGACTTTCAGCCCCCTCCCCAACCTCAGCAAAGGGGAGAGGGGTTGAAGGTCAAGTTGTTCACCAATGCCCAATGATGTCATCAATCATGCCTGCGTAATGAAGCTTACATAAAAACCCGAAAGGACGGGGTTCAGAGAGCCAGCAGATAGCCAGACACACAGGGGCTTACACAACAACCATGTGCCTGGACCGTGGCGCACCCCAACTCCACGGGGACAGAAGCTCTGGGCTCAGGACTCCTCCAGACCTCCTCCTGTGTATCTCTTCATCTGAGTGTTTATTTGTATCTTTTCGTTGTTGTTGTTTGAAAGGAGTATCACTCTGTCGCCCAGGCTGGAGTGCAGTGGCTCAATCTTGGCTCACTGCAACCTCTGCCTCCTGGGGTTCAAGCGATTCTCCTGCCTCAGCCTCCCGAGTAGCTGGGATTACAAGCACCTGCCACCACACCCAGCTAATTTTTGTGTTTTCAGTAGAGACAGGGTTTCACCATGTTAGCCAGGTTAGTCTCGAACTCCTGACCTCAGGTAATCCGCCCCCCTCGGCATCCCAAAGTGCTGGGATTACAGGTGTGAGCCACCGTGCCCAGCCTCATTTGTATATCTTAAAATATCCTTTGTAATAAACTGGTAAACATAAGGATTTCCTGAAGTCTGTGAGCAGCTCCAGCAAATTAATCGAACCAAAGGAGGAGGTTGTGGGAACCCCAATTCAGAGCTGGTGAGTCACAAGCACAGGCAAAATAACCAGGGGCTTATGATTGGCATCAGAAGAGGGGGGCAGCCTTGGGGGCTGAGCCCCTGGCCCTGTGGGATGTGACGCTAGCTCCAGGTAGATGGCATTCAACTGGAGTACAGCCAGCTGGTGTCCGCTGCAGACTGATTGCTTGCTTGGAGTGTGGGGGAAACTCACACACATTTGGTCTCAGAAGTCTTCTATGTTAATTGTTGTGGAGTGAGAGAATAGAAATAACACTTTGAGCTTGTTTTTACTCAGGCTTTATAAGAGCTCTGAGGAAAATCGGCTCTGCTGACTGCTCACTCCATCCCACCTGCGTGGTGGGCTGGCAGAGGGGCAGCCTGATCCAGGGAAGCTCTGGAATTGGCATGCCCCCCATGAGCAGGACTGAGGCAGACCTGTCTGGGCGTGCACTTTCTTATTCAGGAGACCCCAGCCGAGGGTGGAGCCGCAAAGCACAGGATCCCATCCGATCTGTGTGTCACTGCTCAGTGACAATAGCCGGGGAGCTGCTTACAGCAGCTCCGCAGATTGGCAGCAGGTCCGAGACTGATGACTGCTAGCAGCAAAATCAGCCTGTCACTCCCTCTGCCTCTCACTCTAACTGGGAGAGGGGTGAGGATGGGAGGCTCGCCCAGGCCTGGAAACCGGCCTCCCGCCCTTCCTGTGCTCCACACCTGGGACTCCCCGACTCCCCATTCTCCAGTCCCCCTGCAGGGCTGTCACCGACTCTCTTGCCAGAACAGGGAGCCAGGAATGTCTTCTGCGCCCACATCTGAGGGCTGGCAAACTTGTGCAACTGCTGGGGCTCAGAGCACAACTATCAACTCTTGGGATCACATGAACACATCATACACATACCATTCCATTCCCCCACACACACCTATACTCACACACACACCCTCTCCAAACACATACATATAGCACACATGCCTCCAAACTCATATGCATACATATATACACATAGACACCCATTCCACACACACACACACACACACACACACACACACACACACACACATCCACACTTACATGCTTTTGAGAGTTCAGCCATTACCACGGTCGTTTTGCCTGGCTAAGCTTGAAGCTGCCTGTGAATAGGAAGCAGGCTCCACGGTGGGGCTCAACTCACCCCCCAACTCCTGTGGCAGCAGCTCTGGACAGGGAGGAAGTCGCCTGTGCTGAAGCCCTTCCCTCTTCTGCCCCACCCAAGGGACATAGGACTCAGCCTGAGCTCAAGCAAGAGCAGGCTGTCATCCAGGGTTTGTGGTCGTTGGGTGACACTAGCATATCTCTCATTATAAGATGTATTACGTAATATCATATGGTCTATGATATCACATGTATGGCATATGAAAGATGTGTGTGTGTGTGTGTGTGTGTGTGTGTGTGTGTGTGTGTGTGTAGAAACCATGTCTACGAACAGGCCAACAAGAGAAGAGACAGAGAGGATAAATGCAACCTGTTCTAACAGGAATGCAGCAGCATACTGTTTGGAAATTGGCCCCGCAGCGGAGCAATAATGCAGCCCAGGCCCAGGGTCAGTTTGTAATCACATTCACGCAGGTGTCAGGCACTGTGTCCACTTGAGTACCAGTGAGAGGCTCATGCTGAAATCTGCAGGAATCCAGCTATTTCAAAGAAATTGGGAAGAAACAAGAGCTGAAGGGACTGCAGCAATGTGGTATTTTTAAGGTGTTGCTAACTGGCTAATAATATCCGGGTTGTGGGGCGTACTGCACACACTCAAAGGCTCTGCCAACACAAGCTAATTAACCTGTACTCAGAGGTGGGTGTGCATATGAACTGTTACCACTTCTGCTCGCAGAACCACTTAGCTGTGTCACACTTCTTGTAGCAACACGCCAAGTGATCGCTAAAAACACACTGGGTTTTAAATACCTGGATTTAAACGAATAGTGCTGGGAATCTCTGAGGCTGCTCATGCATTCAAATTACAGTTCTGCCTCTCTCCTCCTAGCTCCCGGCTGCTGTACATTCTTCTAGACTTTAACGCCCACTCAGATATCTCCCTCATCTACAAAGCCTTCCCCAGCTGTGCTTGCACGCAAATCGATCCTTCTCCATGGTGACCAGCCATCATGTTTGCCTGGGACTATCTCAGTTTAATACTGAAAGCCCTGTGTAGCAGCCAACCCTTTAGTCCTGGGCAACCTGGGACCACAAGACTCTCACCATTCTAACGGATGCATTGCATATGATTTTGCTACTAATAATACTGTCTGCTGTCTAGTAATATAACCTAGTAATTTGTAATGAGTTTGTCTCAAGATTATAAACTGCTCAAGAACAAGGTTCTTTCTTCATCTCCTCGGAATATCTAATCTGGGCACAAAGAATTACATGTTGACTTCATTTCTTATTTCTTTTTTTTTTTTTTTTTTTTGAGACAGAGCCTTGCTTTGTCACCCAGACTGCAGCACAGTGGCACAATCTCAGCTCACTGCAACCTCTGCCTCCTGGGTTCAATTCATTCTCCTGCCTCAGCCTTCCGAGTAGCTGGGATTACAGGCATGCCCGGCTAATTTTTGTATTTTTAGCAGAGATGGGGTTTTGCCATGTTGCCCAGGCTGGTCTCGAACTCCTAACCTTGTGATCTGCCCACCTCGGCCTCCCAAAGTGCTGGGATTACAGGCGTGGGCCATGGAACCCGGCCAACTTCCTTTCTTGTAATACCAGGTTTCTGCTATGACACAAGTCAAAAACAGACCCCTAAAAGGTTTTTCCCTCTGGAGACAGGATAGGGCCTTCCCACCAAATGGTACCTTGAGCCTTAATCCTCCAGATTGAAGGTTCAAACCAAGGACTCAGGAAATTTGCCCTGATTGACAGAAGAGCCCTCGCTAGCCAACTCTTCTGAGTTGATCCCTACAGAGTTTGTTCTGGGCCCACCCTAGAACTTCCAATTCAGGGCTGCAGCTCCCTAGTGATTCCGATTCAAGCAGTCCTTGAAAAATAAGAGTAAGGCCAGGCACAGCAGTGCATGCTTGTAATCCCAGCACTTCAAGAAGCCAAGGTGAGAATATCCCTTGAGGCCAGGAGTTCGAAACCAACCGAGGCAACATAGTGAGACCCCGTCTTTATAAAAAAAATTTTTTTTAATTAGCCAGGTCGTGGCTGTAGTCCCAGCTATTCAGGAGGCTGAGGTAGGAGGATCAGTTGAGCCCAGGAGGTGGAGGCTATGGTAAATTGTGATCACGCAACCACACTCCAGCCTGGGCAAAACAGCAAGACCCTGTCTCAGAAGTAAAACAGAAAAAAGAAAAGAAAAATAGAGTAGAAACACTTTCATTCAGCTCTGTTGGGACTAGTTGTCGACTGTCAATCGAAAAAGCCACTTACAGTGAAAATTCATTTTTAAAAAGAAAAAAAGATAAATATTTAACCTTAAACATTTCATTTTACTGTAAAACAAGTAAAAAATTTTTTGATGTAAGTCCAAGGCCTTCCTTTGGATTTGCTCATTGGATTTCTTCGTTGTTTTTCTTGTATAAATCATGCCTGTATATTTCTAGTTATGATTTCTTTAAAATAGAACGAGAATTTAAAGACACTTGTGAAGTATCCTGAGTGTGGAATCCTTCCAGAGCCTTGCAATATTTTTCTCAATCTTTTTACAGTTGTCTCAACCACACCAAATTAAGCAAAAATTTTAAGCAACTTACATTTGTTGGATCTTACCAAAGCATTCAACTTAATTATCTGTGAAGTAATTATGTTTTTTTTGCATAGAATATAAGTGTCATGAAAAAGGGGATCTTTGTTTTCTTGTTCACTGATTTATTCCAAGCATGAAGAACATTGCCTTGCATACTGTAGATGTTCAATTTGTTGAATAAAGTGGTTCCCCTAATAATTAAATTAGTTAGTTACAGCAATGAGTACAAATGGCAGAAAGAGGTTTGGGAGCTAATGTAACTAACTCTTGGTAAGCACAGCAGGTAAATCAGCAGGTGGGTGCATGGGTGCACGAGAGAGTCATTGACTAGCTATGAGCATTCAACTTGCTGTAAGTGTTAGTGTGTGTTCTTGGGAGGGCGTGAAGAGTGTTCATTAATTTGGGGAGTCAATTAAATGGAGGTTTGTTATGAGATATTCCTCTCTCCTGATCAGATAAGAAGCCCAGGTCAAAGGAGGATTGAGGCAAGAGTCAGTGGAATGAGTCAGAGAGTACTTCTCTCATTCCAGTTCAGGAGGTGCCCTGTTTGGGTTTCTAGAGCCAAAGAAGAAAGAACAGGGCAAGGAGATTCTCTGTAAACCCCAAGTTACCAACCTGTCTTCCTGAATTGCCAAGAAGCTCTTCTCCCAAAGAAATCATTAAAGGTCTTTCAACCTGTTCTAAATAGCTAGGGGCTTCTGTGGTTCCCAAAAGGAGTTATACATCCTGCCATCATTTTATTTATTTATTTATTTATTTATTTATTTATTTTGAGACGGAGTTTTGCTCTGTCGCCAGGCTGGAGTGCAGTGGCATGATCTCAGCTCACTGCAACCTCACCTCCCAGGTTCAAGCGATTCTCCTGCCTCAGCCTCCCGAGTAGCTGGGACTACGGTGAGCACCACCATGCCTGGCTAATTTTTGTATTTTTTAGTAGAGACGGGGTTTCACCATGTTGGCCAGGATGCTCTCCATCTCTTGACCTCGTGATCCGCCCGCCTCGGCCTCCCAAAGTGCTGGGATTACAGGCATGATCCACCCCATGCCCAGCCCCTGCCATCATTTTAAGAGAAAAAAACCCACCCATTTCTCGGTGCTTTTTATTCATGTCCTTCTTTGCCAAAAATGCACTTGAATAAGCTCATTTGAGACCACACCTAGAATGATGTCAATGAGTCAGATCGTCTTGCTGCAGACTCTGGGATTACACCAGCAATGTGAAACCTTCTCTATACCTTGGGGGATAATACTTCATAGGGTTGTTGTGAAAACTCAATGAGATAACATATGTGAAGCACTTAGAACAATGTCTATCCACGAGTTGATCAACACATCATCATTGTTGTATTTGCATCTGTGTTCTGCTTCTTCACCAGAACCTCAGGAGTGTCACAAACAAGCCAACAACCATGAAACAGTTTTGTTAATTGAATTTCTGCTTCTGCCACAGAAGACTTAAGTGTTCAAGCCCTGATCCATTGCAAATAATTAGTCTTTGCTTCCTCAGACCACTTTGGTTTGGGGGAAAATCAAGATTAATGATAAGAGGCAAGTAGTGAATGCTGTCACTTTCAGGCAAGTTTGAAAAGCCTGCAGATGGCTGGGGACGGTGGCTCATGCCTGAAATCCCAGCACTTTGGGAGGCCAAGGCGGGTGGATCACTTGAGGCCAGGAGTTCCAGACCAGCCTGGCCAACATGGTGAAACTCCATTTCTACTAAAACAGAAAAATTAGCCAGGCCATAGTAGCACATGCCTGTAATCCCAGCTACTCGGGAGGCTGAGGCATGAGAATCACTTGAACCCCAGAGGTGGAGGTTGCAGTGAGCCGAGATCACGCCACTGCACTCCATCCTGTATGACAGAGTGAGATACTGTAAAAAAAAAAAAAAAAAAAAGTAAAGAAAAGCCTGCAGAAGAGGCAAGGAATGGCAAGAATCACTTCATTTCCCAACAGTGTCATTCTTAGACCAGACCCAGCTCACTAGAAATGTAATGTTACATTCATTGGATAAAACCTTACCTAGCCATTAAAACTGATTGCATAAAGGTCATTATTAATAATGAAAAATGATTGCAATACTAGTTGAAGATTTATGAAACAACCATTCATTTAGGCATGCATTTATTAGTATGAAGTCAGTGGCAAATAAAACAGATGACATCCCTGACCTCATGAAATATTTGTTCTTATAAGACAAATATTCATTAGAGGATATGTGGAAGAAACGCATCTAAATTTTAATAAATTTTTTATTTCTGAGTTATTGGATTACATTTTATTCTTATGTTCTTCTTTAAATTTTTCTGTATTTTTTCAAAAAGGGTGGAGGAAACATATATTGGAGATATTTTGACTGCCTAACGTCTGAATCCCCTTCTAGTAATTGGAGAAAATCTCTTTTTATAAAGCTTGTCTACCCACCCACTACAGAAGCTGAAAACACAAGATATTTTCTTTCCCAGCTACCCTCGCAGTCAGGCGTAGGCATGTGATCCTAGGTTGCTTGGGCCTCGTATAATCATAGTGCAATTTGCTTTAAGACCAAGTGATACAGGCAAGTGGGGATGACAGTGAATTCTTGCCGGTGGTGCAAACCATTGCAATAAGACTGGATCCTGGGCCAGGTGCAGTGGCTCATGCCTGCAATCCCAGCACTTTGGGAGGCCGAGGCAGGTGGATCACCTGAGGTCAGGAATTCGAGACCAGCCTGACCAATATGGTGAAACCCCATCTCTACTAAAAATACAAAAATTAGCTGGGTGTGGTGGCCTGTGCCTATAGTCACAGCTTCTCGGGAGGCTGACAGGAGAATTGCTTGAACCCAGGAGTCGGAGGTTGCAGTGAGCTAGGATCACGTCACTGCACTCCAGCCTGGGTGACAGAGTGAGACTCTGTCTCAAAAAAAAAAAAAAAAAAAAAAACTAGATCCTAGCCAGCAGTTCAACAATGTTGGTGGCATTGTTGAATGCCAAATGGCCACATGATCTGGATTGCCCCGGTTGAAGTGGTCAGTTTTTCTGCCTTAACAAAAGTCTAGTGTGATCATGTGATCCACAGAGCTCCATCATCAATGGCAGAGGGACAGTCAAGCGGGAGCTTAAGCAGGCTGTGATGACACAAGTTGTTCCATGAGCAGCAGCCTCACCCCTGCCATGCCGCCATCCTTCTCTCCACTCAACCTCCAGCCTCATGGGGCGTTCCCTATGACAGCTTAAAGCCAAGCGTGGCCTCAGATGGATCTGCCTAATCCACTTGCTCCAACCAGAATTAAACAACTGGCTCTACATCCTCACTCTTGAATGGCCCTAAAGGCTGCGGGTAAAGGGAACCAATCTCAGAGGATGGAAGCGTGAGTGGAGCACTTTGTTGGCCACTCTTGCTGGACAGTGAGAGAACTTGAGGTGCAAAAGCATTATCAGACTCTTGGGCTTCAGGCTGTGGCTAATGTTTGGATAGCTGGTCATGAACATGGAAGGAACAAGATTGGAGAATTAGCCACAGGGAGGTTTGAGGAGGTATGTGGATCAGCATCTAGAAAAGTTTCCCGAAAGTGTACTCTCTCCCAAAGACCCTACTCCACAGTGGGAAAGGTAATGAATAAACCAGTGGACAAAATTATCAGCCCTGTAGATATCAGTCAACTTCCTTCCCAGCCACCTCACTGACTGTTTGATGGGCTCATATGCAAAGTGGCCACGGAGTAGAAATGGAACCAACTGATGGACTCAAAGACATTGATTTCCCTTCACCACGGCTAATTTGGAGACTTCCAGTGCTGAGGCCCAACTTGCAAGCAGCATGAACCTTATATCCCAGCTTGAAAATATTCAGGGAAGTCCTGCAGTCTGCTTTCTTCCAGCCAACTGGCTGCCTAGTGAAGGATTCCCTCCTTATCTGCTTCACTCTTCCCTCATTTCATCATTTTAGCTGATCTCCTGTAAACCTCTTCCAAGTTATCTTCATCTTCTTGATACCACGACACTCCAGATTGAATACCAGGCATATTTACCTTGGGTCTCACCTCCTCAACCCATTATGTGCCTCCGGCAGCAAAGGCAACAAAACCATGTAAGCATCTTATCCACAGAAACCACATCTCTCTTGGTTAGAAAAGGCAGGGAAATAAATAATCTTGTAAAATTGATGAATCTAACCATAGGAAGAGCAGTGGATGGAGCTTTGAGGATGTTGGTAGGTGATCTAGCTCTACCCTCACAACCTGGGAGACCTTGGAGAAGTCATTTCACCAGCTGAGCTCTCCCTTTCCTGATGAATAAAAATGAATGGGTTAAATCATCGCAAAAGTCCTTTCTGTCATTGCTATTTGTGAAAAGATAAATGCTGTTTTAAGCTAACATTTAAACCAGTGGATCACAATGAGAGTGAGGCTGAATCAGAACCCCCTGGGGTGTGTTTGCAAAATACACCTGCTTCTCCAGGCCTGGGCCTCCTGCCCCTCCAAGGCCTTTCAACATTTGGAGAAAGGGGAAAGAGGCATTTCTGCTTTATGAAAGCAGATTATGATGGTAACTGTGGTAGGCAGAATAATGTCACCCTCCTAATCACCAGAATCTGTGCATATGTTGGGTTACATGGAAACGAGGGCTGCAGATGGAATTAAGTTTGCTAATTAGTCGACTTTAAGAGAAAGAGATTATACTGCATTATTCAGGCAGGGCCAATGTAATCACAAGGATCCTTAAAAGCAGAAGAGAGAGGCAGAGGAGCAGGTCAGAGGATTCAAGAGGAGAAAGGCTGGCTTTGAAGATGGAGAAAGTGCCACAAAGCAAGATGCAGTTTCTCCTCTAGAGCCTCCAGAAAGAACACAGCCCTGCTCACACCTTGATTTTAGCCCAGTGAGGCCCATTTCAGCCTCTGACCTCCAGAACTGTAAGATAACAAATGTGTGTTGTTTCAAGCCACTATATGTGCGGTAATTTTGTCACAGTGGCAATAGGAAACAAGTACAGTGACCTCTAGGAGCAATGTACCTATACACTGACTCTCACATACAACACACACAAACACACACACACAGACACATATGTGCATTCTCACATTCTATGTAGTCACACTCACATACGTGCATATTCCCACCCACCCACGTGCTCACACAGTCACTCACACACACTTACACACATAATTACACATATGCTCAAACAAATCCTTTCCACTGCTCTGGATTTTATGGAATAATACCCACGGACTTTTCAGCATCCCCAAGAAAAGACTGAATTTCTACTAACTGAACTAAGAAACAAGTTGCAATGAAAGAAGCTATGGAATGTGGAGGGGGCTGTGACATCCAAACTTCTGCCAGGCTCACCTCTGCCTCCCTGCGCCAGTCTCAGTCCTGTGACGACTCTATGCAGCCCCTTCCCTCAGCTCATACAGACCTGTCCTTTCCCACGGAAGAACCTCTCCTGCCTCTCACAGCCTTAACCATCTCCCTCAGTTGGTTTGAGAGGAACTCCTGGCTTTCTGTATCACTCTACGCCGCCAACTCTTAGACCAACTCTTAGCTCATGCTCCCTCATCTTTCCTTTTAATCCATGTTTCTTATTTTCTCCAAAATGCATTTGATATGCTTTTCATGATACCAACATCTGATTTTGCTGGGCACGGTGGCCCACTCCTGCAATCCCAGCACTTTGGGAGGTCGATGCAGGCAGATCACTTGAGATAAGGAGTTCGAGACCAGCCTGGCCAACATGGTGAAATCCCACCTCTATTAAAAATTTAAAAATTAGCCGGGTATAGTGATGCATGCCTGTAGTCCCAGCTACTCAGAAGGCTGAGGCAGTAGAATCACCTGAACCTGGGATGCGGAGGTTGCAGTGAGTTGAGATCGCGCCACTGTACATTAGCCAGAGCGAAATAGTGAGACTTCTTCTCAAAAAAAAAAAATCTGATTTTGTTTTCTTTACTTGAACTCCCCCTCAATATTTAGGGCACAGATTTGTACTGCAGTTGATGGGGCTCATTAGGGTTGGTGGCAGAGTGACCTGATGGGAAAAGTTCCACAGGGAGTCAAGAGGTCTGAGGGCCAGTCCTGGCCATCCCATTACTCTGTAGTCACTTAATTACAAAATATATCACCCTTCACAAACTAAGTTAGACTGCTTATCTCTAAATCTCACATGAAATGTTTCCTTATTATTAGTGTATTTGTGTTCAGCAGGAGTGTTCTGTGTCTCCAGGAAATTAAAAGCTCCTTTAGGGCATGAATTAAGCTTCTATTTATTTTTAGTTTGCCCCCACACCTAGTAAAATGTGCCATACCCTGTGGGTGTCCAGTAAATGTGGACTGACTGACTGCTGACCTGAAATTAAGAAGGCATGACTCTTCCTTCTGCTGCTGAGATGTGAATACAAAAAGGAAAATAAGAATCACAATTTTTTTAAAAAGAAGCATGACTTGATTCCAATACTGCAATCCATGAATCTGCTGGGGAAGGAAGACTGCTTTGTCAGTGTGCATTTGCATCTTCTTCATGTCAACAGAGACATTTTGAGAATCTCTGTCCAAATGTATAAAATAGCTTTTATCAAGCTATAAAACAGGAGTTCTCAACCACCGGGCCACAGACCAGTATCAGTCCACGGCCTGTTAGGAAGTGGGCTGCAGAGTAGGAGGGGAGCAGAGGGAGAGCTACAGAAGTTTCATCTGTATTTACAGCCACTCCCCATCATTCGCATTACCACCTGAGCTCCACCTCCTGTCAGATCGGTGGTGGCATTAGATTCTCATAGGAGCACAAATCCTACTGTGAACTGCACATGTGAGGGATCTAGATTGCCACTCCTTATGAAAATCTAATGCCTGATGATCTGTCACTGTCTCCCCTCACCCCCAGGACCATCTAGTTGCAGGAAAATAAGCTCGGGGCTCTCACTGATTCTACATTATGGTGAGTTGTATAATTATTTCATTACATGTTACAATGTAATAATGATAGAAATAAAGTGCACAATAAATGGAATGTGCTGGAATCATCCTGGAACCACTCCCCACCCCCAGTCCATGGAAAAATTATCTTCTATGAAACCAGTGCCTGGTACCAAAAAGGTTCCGGACCGCTGCTATAAAATAATTATTAGTATGATCATGTCATGCTAATATTTATTAACAGAAGGTGTTTCCTATGAAAACTACAAGGCTTCCATATTTTATTTAGAAGGCAAGAGTAGGGGCAGAATTGAGTCCTCCCTAAAATTCATATGTGTAGGTCCTAACCCCGAGTACCTCCAAAGGTAACTGGACTTGGACATAGAGTCTTAAACAATCATTAAGTTAAATCATCAGGTCATCGGCGGGGGGGCCTAATCCAAAGTTACAGTTGTCATTTTAGGAACAGATTGGAACACACAGGAGGAAGACAGTGTTAAGACACATGAGGAAGACAGCCATCTACAGCCAAACAGAGAAGCCTCAGAAGAAACCAGCCATGCTGACACCTTGAGCTCTGACTTTCGGCCTCCAGAAGCATAAGAAAATGATCTTCTCTTGGTTAAGCTGCCCAGTCTGTGGTACTTTGTGGAGGCTGTCCTAGCAAATTAATACAGCAAGCATATAGACTAAGTTTGTTTATTTTAAATGTTTGGGGGAAAATATATTAATTTTGAAATTACATACTTAATACATAACTATTATGAAAATTTTTTGGAAACAGAAATTTAATGGCATTTAATTTCTCCCCTTGCCATTGATCAATGTCCTTCCAGAACTTTTTATATGTAAATATATAAAAGTTTTGAATTGAGTAATAATATACATATAGTCTATCATCACTAAATATGTTAGTTTTGCCCTTCCATTTTAGTAAATATAAATTTAGTTTTAATGGTGGATAGTTCTCCAGTATATAAATGTAACTTCTGAGTGCGGTGACTCGTGCCTGTAATCGCAGCACTTTGGGAGGCCAAGGTGGGTGGATCACCTGAGGTCAGGAGTTGGAGACCAGCCTGGCCAATGTAGCGAAACCCCGTTTCTACTAAAAATACAAAAATTAGCCGGGTGTCGTGGCCCATGCCTGTAATCCCAGCTACTTGGGAGGCTGAGGCAGGAGAATCTCTTGAACCCAGGAGGCAGAGGTTGCAGTGAGCTGAGATCATGCCATTGCACTCCAGCCTGGGTGACAGAGCGAGACTCCATCTCATAAATAAATAAATGTAACTAGGGCGGGTGCGGTGGCCCAGGCCTGTAATCCCAGCACTTTGGGAGGCTGAGGGGCGGATCACGAGGTCAGGAGATCGAGACCATCCTGGCTAACACAGTGAAACCCCGTCTCTACTGAAAATACAAAGAAAAAAAAATTAGCCGGGCATGGTGGCGGGTGCCTGTAGTCCCAGCTACTTGGGAGACTGAGGCAGGAGAATGGCGTGAACCTGGGAGGAGGAGCTTGCAGTGAGCCAAGATCGCGCCACTGCACTCTAGCCTGGGTGACCAAGTGAGATTCCATCTCAAATAAATAAATAGATAGATAGATAGATAGATAGATAGATAGATAGATAGATAAATGTAACTAATTCACTTAATCGGTGCTCTATTGCTCAACAGCTAGATTTTTCTTCCTGTTTCTTTACTGATAATGCAAACTGTTTATCCATCTTTGCACATTTTCCCAATATTTTTTTCAGAATAAATACCTAGGAGGTTGCTGTATCAAAAAAGAATGCTGTTTCCAGATTTTTGATACCGTAAGGGATGACTTGTTTTTTGATACCCTTAAGGGTGCAGTGCTGCAATCATAGTTCACTGTAGCCTTGAACTCCTGGACTCAAACAGTCCCCCTGCCTTAGCCTCCCTCTTGTCTCAGCCTCCAAAGTAGCTGGGACTACAGGCATGTGCCACCATGTTCAGTGAGTTGTTTTTTTTTAATTTTAGAGATGGGGTCTTGCTATGTTTCCCAAGCTGGTCTTGAACTCCCGGCTTCAAGAGGTCCCCCCTACCTCAGACTTCCAAAGTGCTGTGATTACAGGCATGAACTACCATACTCGGCCATAAGATGTCATTTCTAAATCTATTCTTAGAGGTCATAAACTTAAAAGTGATTTGAAGACCCAAAATTCTTAGAGCATGATAGAAACGATCGGCCATTGGTTTCTTGGATCCCACATAGATCAGTGAATCTTACATGGCCCATTATGAACCAGGGCAATGCCTCTTCCAAATGATGTGTCTCCCCAAAATCTGTGCTTCTGGCATTTTTTGGATCTGGAAAGAGTGGAAGTGGGTCAGCCTAAGTCAGTTACCACTATTAAAAAAAAAAAAAAAAAAACGCTAGGGCCGGGCATGGTGGCTCATGCCTGTAATACCAGCACTTTGGGAGGCCGAGGCCAACAGATCACTTGAGGTCAGGAATTTGAGATCAGCCTGGCCAACATGGCGAAACCCCCATCTGTACTAAACATACAAAAAAAATTAGCCGGGCGTGGTGACACGTGCCTGTAATTCTAGCTACTCAGGAAGCTGAGGCACGAGAATCACTTGCACCTGGGAGGCAGAGGTTGCAGTGAGCTGGGATTGCATCACTGCACTCCAGCCTGGGCAACAGAGAAAGACTCTGTCTCAAAAAAAAAAAAAAAAAAGTAAAACACTAAACACACACATTCACTCATGCACATCCACCCCCCAGCTTAGCATTTTACACGAAGGCCAGCATATAATGCCTGCACCCCCTTCTTCAACAGAGATAAGAAAAGCAACCCTTTGTCTCTATCTAGTGGACTCTCTTTCTCTTTTTTTTTTTTTTTCTTGAGACAGAGTTGCACTCTTGTTGCCCAGGCTGGAGTGCAATGGCGCAATCTCAGCTCACTGCAACCTCTGCCTCCCAGGTTCAAGCGATTCTCCTGCCTCTGCCTCCTGAGGAGCAGGGATTACAGGCACCTGCCACCACATCTGGCTAATTTTCTGTATTTTTAGTAGAGACGGGGTTTCACCATGTTGGCCAAGCTGGTCTCGAACTCCTGACCTCAGGTGATCCACCCACCTCAGCCTTGAAAAGTGCTGGGATTACAGGCGTGAGCCACCACACCCAGCCTAGTGGACTCTCTTTCTAGACCAAATATTGGAACCACCTATTTTATTGTTGTCTGAAATAGAATCCATAAATAGCATGACCACCACACATCCATGACAATGTGACTACAATAGAAGACGTCAGTAAGAAGTCAGATGCGTGCCTTGCATGTAAAATCCCTGTGAACAGGACCACTACCCGTGCATGCTGAACCCAGTGTGCTGCTTTGGCAACTCAGATCCCAGGGGCAGCGCTGTCATTGGTGAGGCAATTTTCAGAAATGGTAAGCAACTCTTGGGGAAGTTTCTGCAAAACAGAGGGATAGATTTCAATTTATGTGATAGTTATACAACTGGGAAATTCTGTGTGTATTAAAAGCACAGGAAAATAATGTGTGTTAGATACAAAATAGAGTTCAGGTCTGGCATTAGATTATTATCAACAGGTTTTTCACCTATATACATGACCAACAAGATACTCAAAACTAGCACAGGCTGGGAGAGAAGTTTTCATCATGAGGGAAAACCTCACACCTCACAGGGTGAATAAGCAATCCTGGCTCCCACCTACCATGTGCCAGATGTGTCCCCACTGGCTGTGATTACTAAGAAATGGCCACAGATTTGCACACCCTGGGAGGAGAGCTGCCCTCATTAAGCATCACTGCACAAATATTCTTCTGAAAATAGAATGCCCTGACCCAAACACTATGCTTCAAATGGAGAGTGATGGAAGGAGTGTGACGTAGAACATCTCAGAAATGCCAAGTTGGTTTTATCTCAAGTGCCATTGATCGCTAGAAGCTGACTGAAGTGGTGTGTTGAGAAAGTATCTAGAACTGCCTTTGGACTCAGTGAGGAAGATTGCCATCATCTATCAACCATGCCATCTGTGAGCACAGAGGAGGGAAGTGTGGCCTGCATGCCACCATGTTTGCTGGCCCAGAAGTGTAAACTCTCTTATCCTAGACACCTTTTGCCTATGTCTGCAGCTGAAAATTGAAATCACTTTTTGGCAGGAAAAAAAATGCAATTGACTCATATCAAGCTCCACTTTCCCACATTTGGCAAAACATTTCAGAAGTTAGAGCAAAGAGGAAAACATCGGGTTCAAATATTCAAAACCATACATATTTCACGGAACAAGAGGAACTCTTTGTGATAGAGAAATTAAAAAATAGAACTGCTTAGCAGATATATAAAGATGGTTTCTGTCAGGGAGAGTCTGGAAGAATTCATACACTGGCAGCTCCGAAATTCAAGGACAGAGTAAAGTCTTGCATTGAACCTTTTTCTTCCACAGCCTGCCCCCTGGTGGAGATGTTAATAAGCAGCAGACACACAAGACTGAATTTACCGAAGGAAAGGGGAAAATAAAGCCGCTGCCCCAAGACCTTCTGAAGTAATGGAGAAAAGAAGCTTTGACGATGATGGTGGTAGTGGTGGTGATGATGGTAATGATGATGATGGTGGTGGTGGTGGTGGTGGTAGTGGGGGGTGATGATAGTGGTTAGTACAATTTGGATTTGTGTCCCAACCGAAATCTCATCTTGAATTGTAGTTCCCATAATCCCCATATGTCGTGGGAGGGACCTGGTGGGAGGTAATTGAATCATGGGGGCAGTCACCCCCATGCTGCTGTTCTCGTGATAATGAGTGAATTTTCACGAGATCTGATGGTTTTATAAGGGGCTTTTCCCCCTTTGCTCGGCAATTCTTCCTGCCACCATGTGAAGAAGGATGTGTTTGCTTCCCCTCCACCATGATTGTAAGTTTCCTGAGGCCTCCCCAGCCATGCTGTACTATGAATCGATTAAACCTCTTTCCTTTGTAAATTGCCCAGTCTCGGGTATGTCTTAATTAGCAGCATGAGAATGGACTAATACAGTGGTGGTAGTGGTGGTGGTAGTGGTGGTGGTGGTGGTGGTGGTAGTTGGTGGGTGATAATGGTGGTGGCAGGGATGGTGATGATGATGGTGGTGGTGATGATGGTGGTGGTGGTGGTGATGGTAGTAGTCAGTGATGATGATGGTGGTGGTGGTGATGGTGATGGTGGTGGTGGTGGTGGTGATGGTGATGGTGGTGGTGATGGTGGTGATGGTGGTGGTGGTGATGACAGTGGTGGTGGTGATGGTGATGATGGTGGTGGTGATGGTGGTGGTGGTGGTGGTGGTGATGGTGGTGATGGTGGTGGTGGTGGTGGTGATGATGATGGCGGTGGTGGTGATGGTGGTGATGGTGGTGGTGGTGATGGTGGTGGTGATGGTGGTGGTGATGGTGGTGGTGATGGTGGTGGTGAT